>NC_000012.12:123777897-124079521 GCF_000001405.40 Homo sapiens | reverse complement strand
TGCCTGTAGTCTCAGCTACTTGGGAGGCTGAAGCAGGAGGATCGCTTGAGCCTGGGAGGTTAAAGCTGCAGTGAGCTGTGATCACGCCACTGTGCTCTAGCCTGGATGACAGAGTGAGACCCTATCTCTTAAAAAATTTAAAAAAGAAAGAAAGAAAGGAAAAGAAAAGAAATGACCAAAGAAAAGAAATCAGGCTAAGATAGCTCCATGAATGCAACCAGAGTGTTGGATGCCACTGAGGCAGGAGTCCCAAGTCAGTGCTGTGAGTGTGCGTATGACTTTCCCTCTTCTCTGATAGCTTAATGCATTAATGGCCCCGATTCAGGTCCATGGAACCCTCCAGGGCCTTCCCACTCAGCCTCTGGGCTCATCTGTGCGGCCTGCTTTGGCTAATGAGATTTCAGCAGACTTAACACATGCAGAGGCTCAGAGAAGCCCTTGGCATTTCTGCATGCCTCTTGACCTCCTGGCCACAAGAACATGCCCAGACTGACCTGCTGCAGGAGGAAAAATACATAAAGCAGGCGGAGCTGTCTCAAGCTTCCCAGCAGTGCCCTCTTAGATCAGCCCAGAGTTGGCCAACCCCCAGGCATATAACCAAGCCCAGCAGAAGCCCTCACAGACCTGCACACCCGTGAGCTAGATACACGTGTTGTTCTAAGCCATGGGGGTTTGTGGCTATTTGTTACACAGCATTACTGTGGCCATAAATAACTGATACATCTTCCTTGTCTAAAAATCGCACTTAGAGACAGGATGCCTGCACCATGGGTTTTGCAGTCAAACGCTGTGCAAACAGTGGCACATGACAGTGAAAACTGCATACCTCTTCCATGGATCTAACAGAGACTCCCTCCTCCACCAAACTTTAGTCAGGTTCCTTTGAGTCCTCTTCTCAGCTGGGCCTTGATGTGGGCCTCCCCTAGCCCTTGGCCTGCCCAAGCCAGTTTTAGCAAAAGAATCCTGCTCAGTTTATCAAGAATCCTCCCACCCTTGATATCTGATCAAGTTCTTCTTTCCCCACCCCTGCTATCTATGTCCTTGGTCTGCCTTTAGTGAGAATCCTATGAAGCCAGTTTATCAAGAATCCCCCTACCCCGGCTGTTGAATCAAGCTCCCCTGAGTAATGTTGCATCTACTCACTCCCTCACTCCCGCTATAAATGCCTTGCTGTCCCTGCTGTGTGCAGAGTGGAGCTCAACCTCTCTGCCTTCTTCAGCAGTCTTGACCCCTATCGCAATAGTCTTGAATAAAGTTTTCCTTGCCATTTTTAGCAAGTATCTGGTGAATAATTTTTCTAATACAGAGCTAAGCCTTCATAGCTATACCTCCTAAGTAGATCTTCCAATATCAGAAAGACATCCAATTCTGGAGCCTCTGAACAATCGGAAAATTGTCACCGTCAACGTGATAACAAGACTCATCCATTTATTCATTTCTGCTATGAGTATTTATGGAGTGTCTGCTCTACAAAACAAACAGGAAGAGGACATGGCTGGGGCAGGCATGAACAGTGGGGTGTGTCCCACTTCAGCATGCCATGAGTAGAGTATAAAGGGGGTGAAGGACTAAGAGAGCGCAAAGGAAGGGGTGACTCAGGACACTTCACAGAAGGGGAGACGGTGGAGCTGGGGCTCCAGTCAACAGTATCAGTGATTAGAGAGTAAGGTTTCCGAGAGAAATTCTGCGAGGGAGGAGGGGACTGAGGAGACAAGTGGCGCGGAACGCGTGCTACAGTGTGACAGCGGTGAGGGGACACAGGCACTCAGAGTGCCTGCTTTCAGGATCCCAGAGGCAGGGTCATATTTTAGGACAAGGACAATGAGTCACTCCAGATGCCTCCCAAAGAAATGATGGCGGGGGGTGGGAATTGCAAGACAGCTACAGGGTACTTCTCCCGAGTCAGTACCGCAGGACATTGCAATGAGCCATCAGTTACAAAGTGAAGTGCTCAAGACACCAAGGCCTTTGCAGGTGGCACAGTCCCCAAATGCTCTGGAAGCAATATTTTCAGTAAGACCCACTTCTCAGCCTCTTTGGATTTCCACACAGTGAGAAATATCTATCCATCAGTTTCCTCCAGGCCGAATTTTCCCTTTCTGCTACCCCGTCAACCTACCCCACACACAAACTTTGTTTCCCTTTATGTTAAACAATGTTTTTAATTATAAAAGCCATGGTGTTTGTGAATGAAAAAAAAAATGGAAAATCAGAGTAAGTACAAAAAAGAAATGAAAATTGTCCATTGTTTCGCCACCCAAGCCCGATCACTGCTAATATTTTGGTGGATTTTCTTTCAGTCTTTCTTTGAGGCATAGTTGTGTTGGATTCTTTTACCTATGCAATCATGTGGTGCATTTAATTTTGTATCTAGCTCTTATGACTTAATATTATATCTTATGGGGCTGGGCGCGGTGGGTCACACCTGTAATCCCAGCACTTTGGGAGGCCGAGGTGGGTGGATCATGAGGTCAGGAGTTCAAGACCAGCCTGACCAACATGGTGAAACCCCGTTTCTACTAAGAATACAAAAATTAGCCAGGAGTGGTGGTGCATGCCTGTAATCCCAGCTACTCAGGAGGCTGAGGCAGGAGAATCGCTTGAACCTAGAAGGTGGAGGTTGCAGTGAGCCAAGATCGCACCACTGCACTCCAGCCCGGGTGACAGAGTGAGACTCCCATCTCCAAAACAAAAAATATTATATCTTATAGATTCAGTTTTATGATTAGTGTGGCTAGTGTGCAGTTTGACATCCTATATGGTATAAGTCTGAGTTTGTTACCACATAAAATTTCATGAAAATATTTTTATGTTGTTTTGTATTCATCATAAATATATATTTTTAAAGACAGGGTCCCACTCTGTTGCCCAGGATCAAGTTCAGTGGTGCAATCATAGCTCACTGCAGTTTTGAACTCCTGAACTCCAGCAGTCCTCCTGCCTAAGTCTCCTGAGTAGCTGGCACAAGTCACCACACCCTGCTAATTTTTTAAAAAATATTTTGTGGAGATGGCGGTCTTGCTATGTTGCCCAGGCTGATCTTGAATTCCTGGCCTCAAGGGATCCTCCCACCTTGGCCTCCTAAAGTGCTGGGATTACAAATAGGAGCCACCACACCCAGCTATAAACACCTTTTTAAGGACAACAGAATCATCTATGGAATAGATGTCTTGCATAATGGTTCTGCGAACATATTTGTGCCTGATAATCTTTAGAAATACTTCCTTGAGCTAGACTCCCAGAAGTGAAATCAGAAGGCCAAGGGGCATAAACATTTTTTAGGTAAGACGGTAAAGCATAGACTTCAGAGGACTGCCTGGTTCAAATCCCAATTCCGTTGCTACTGGGTGATCTTTGGCAAACTACTGTGTGGCAGATGCACCTGACAGCAATCGCTTAAGCATCATCTGAGGATAACCTTGATAACCTTGTGGTCTAAGAAGAATGTGAGTTCAGAGTCTTAAGTGAAGGAATCCAGGAGTGGCCAAACCCTTATCTAAGAAGGACACCCAAACCCCCAGCCATCCTTTGGAATGCAAGCTGTACAAGGGGTCAAGGCTCTTTGTTTGGGTTAAATGGAGGTTGCTAGGTGAAGGGTGCTAAGTGAAAATGCTATATCAATTACATGCTTTTCACAAATGGTAGTGGTTCTCCTGGCCAGCCTGCCGCCACTGGACTGTCCCTGTATGTAAGTCCCCCCAATAAACCCTACGTCTCCTTTGCTGTCTCCAGGTCACTTCTTCAGCTCTCAGACACAATGTCATCCCTACTGGAGTCCATCGGGGTTCGGCACAGCTACTTAACTGCTCTCTGCCTCTCTCTCTTCCACTATAAGATGGGGATGATTATAGTCCATCTGATACAGGAGCTAGAAAGAAATTCTTTAGGCAGTTAGTAAGGGTAAGAGAGTCCTTGGCAAGGCTTCCTTTTTAATAAAAAGCAGCCCCCAAATCATTTCTTTTCTAACAAAGGGCAGCCTGAAAAATCAAGCTGCAGACATAGATAAGCAAGCTGGAAGCTTGCGCAGGTGAATGCCAGCAGCTGTGCTAACAGAAAAGGGCTACCTAGTGTCTCACGCGTCCATGTGAAGAGACCACCAAACAGGCTTTGTGTGAGCAACAAGGCTGTTTATTTCACCTGGGTGCAGGCAGACTGAGTCCGAAAAGAGAGTCAGCAAAGGGTGGTGGATTATCACTAGTTCTTAGAGGTTTGGGGATAGGTGGTGGAGTTAGGAGCAATGTTTTGCAGGCAGGGGGTGGATCTCACAAAGTACATTCTCAAGGGTGGGGAGAATTATAAAGAACCTTCTTAAGGGTGGGGGAGATTACAAAGTACGCTGATCAGTTAGGGTGGGGCAGAAACAAATCACAACGGTGGAATGTCATCAGTTAAGGCTATTTTCCCTTCTTTTGTGGATCTTCAGTTGCTTCAGGCCATCTGGATGTATACGTGCAGGTCACAGGGGATATGATGGCTTAGCTTGGGCTCAGAGGCCTGACACCTAGGACCCAGGCATATCCAACATGGAGGCTTCTGTTTTGTCACCATGCGTGCAGTAAGCAAACAGGCAACATGACGCTGGCCAGGTAGAGAACACATCTGTATAAAAACAGATTAGGATGGGACAGCCGGCTTCTTTGCATGCTATGTAAATGGAATTGGTCCAACCAATCTTTTGCATCCTACGTACATCAGATACCACCTCCTCAAGCTCATCTATAAAACCAATGGCATCTTGCTGGGAACCCAGAAACCCGTTCAGGACCCCTTCCTCTGCACGAGGGAGCTTTCCTCTTTCTTTTGCCTATTAAACTTCTGCTCTTAAATTCACTCCTTGCTGGTCTGCATCCTCAATATCCTTGGTATGAGGCGATAAGGCTTGGGTATGTACTTCAGACAATGGGGGTTGTTGTCAGGATTAAGTGAGATAATATATATGAAATGTCACAAGTAGTGTGAGTAAGCCCTCAACAAATGTTCACATTTATGATTGGGATTATTACCATAATTATTATTGTCTTCATCACTGCTCTGACATTTATTGATTTATACATTTATATGTATATATAATTAATTATTGTGTATATGTTTATAATATGTTTACATATTATTTATATACATTAATATTTATGTTTATGTGTTGAATATATTTATGCCAAAAAACATACTTCCACTAGAATCTCGTTCACTGCAACAGCATTGCATATTATTTTCTTCTTTGCTGATTTGATGACAAAATATTTTAATTTGCATTTCTTTGAATCCAATTTAGGTTGATCTTTCAAAAGGTGTGTTTCATATTTTTCATGGTTTATGTTTGTTTTGTCAATTCTCTGTCCATATTCTTAGCCTACTTATGTATGGAGGTTGCTAGATGGAGGGTGCTAAGTGAAAATCGTACATCAACTACATGCTTTTTACAATGGTAGTGCTTCTCCTGGCCAGCCTGCCGCCACTGGACCGTCCCTGTATGTAAGTCCCCCCAATAAACCCTACGTCACCTTCGCTGTCTCCAGGTCACTTCTTCAGCATTTCCAACTCTTCCCAAACTCATACTGTCAGAGACGTTCCAACCAGAGCAACTGCATCTTGAATAGGGGCTGGGTAAAATAAGGCTGAGACCTACAGGGCTGCATTCCCAGGAGCTTAGACATCACTAGTCACAGGACGAGAAAGGAGGTCAGCAGGACTGGCACCACAGATACAGATCACAAAGACCCTGCTGATAAAACAGGATGTGGTAAAGAAACCCACCAAAACTAAGATGGTGATGAAAGTGACCTCTGCTCATCCTCACTGCTCATTATATGGTAATTATAACGCATTAGCATGCTAAAAGACACTCCTACCAGCATCGTGACAGTTTACAAATGCCACAGCAACATCAGGAAGTTACCCTATATAGTCTAAAAGGAGAGGAACCCTCCGTTCCAGGAATTGCCTGCTCCTTTCCCAGAAAACTCATAAATAACCCACCCCTTGTTTAGCACATAATAACAAAATAACCATAAAAATGGCCAGCCAGCAACCCTTGGTGCTGCTCTGTCTATGGAGTAGCCATTCTTTTTTCTCTTTGCTTTTCCTTTATGGACTTGCTTTCACTTTATGGACTCGCCCTGAATTCTTTCTTTTATGAGATCCAAGAACCCTCTCTTGGGGTCTGGATTGGGATCCCTTTCCAGTAACAGCACCTTCATTAAAATATTCCTGATGTGAGCACATCCGTTCTTTGCCAGGCAGAGTGGGAGGCCCTGGGGATAGAATGGAGACAGGGAGGGATAAACAGACATTCAATTGCAACCTGTCTTGAGGTGTGGGTGCCATGAGGTTATTTGAAAGGGGGATATTTCTAGTCTAGGGGATGGATGCAGGCTGCTCTGAGAAGGTGATGCTGGGCTGAGAGACCTGAAGGAGGAAAAAGGTGACAGAGAGAGGCAGAAGAAGAGGTGTGAGCGAGAGAGAGCCCAAACCACAATCATAGAAACCAGACAGTTGCCACAAAATACATGAAAGTGCTTCCGAATTCTCAGGCAGCTAGGCCTTCTAAAGAAATGTAATAATGGCTGGCTGCGGTGGCTCACGCCTGTAATCCCAGCACTTCAGGAGGCCGAGGCGGAAGGATCACCTGAGTCAGGAGTTCGAGACCAGCCTGGCCAACATGGGGATACCCTGTCTCTACTAAAAATACAAAAATTAGCTGGGTGTGGTGGCAGATGCCTGTAATCCCAGCTACTCGGGAGGCTGAGGCAGGAGAATCGCTTGAACCCGGGAGGCAGAGGTTGCTGTGAGCTGAGATTGAGCCATTGCACTCCAGCCTGGGTGACAGAGCAAGCCTCCATCGCAAAAGAAAGAAAGAAAGAAAAAGAAATATAATAATAACAGCTTGGCTCTTTCTAGAAGCTATGTGTAATCCAATTAGTTGTCTCCAAGGAAAGACAAATGCACCAGGAGAGACTGAGCCGTAGGCTCACCAGCGTCTGAGCTCTGCTTCCTGTCTATTTCCTCTTTAATTGTTTCAGTCAACAGAGCATTCCCTTGTGCTTCCAAAGTTTCCAGAAATGTGGCTTTTGACTTCTATGTTACACCTAACAACGTATTTTAGGATCAGCCCCAATGGCTGGAAATCAGCTCACACCGGAACTTCTAGGAAAGATTTACTATTGGCTGTTAGGAAACACAAGGGCTTTCAACTCTCAGCCAAAATTTCCTCCTTTTCTAGACGCTCAAAACCATGAGGGTCAAGGTTTTCTTCAAAATATGCAATGTTCATTCCATGTATTATATGGTTTCCAATAAATAATGTTGGAATGTTCCCTACCGTTAACTAGACCCTCAGATATTCAAGGGTCCTCTCCTGAAACCATTTCCAAGTCTGCTGGAATGTTTGAATTAACATAAGAAAAGAATCCAAAGGCTTAACTCCCAACCAGGAGAACACAATGACCAAATGCAAACAATATAATAGAAAAAGCTGGGTGCAGTGGTTCACGCCTGTAATCCCAGCACTTTGGGAGGCTGAGGCAGGCGGATCACGAGGTCAAGAGATCAAGACAATCTTGGCCAATATGGTGAAACCCCGTCTCTACTAAACATACAAAAATTAGCTGAGCGTGGCGGCGTGTGCCTGTAGTCCCGGCTATTCGGGAGGGTGAGGCAGGAGAATCGCTTGAACCTGGGAAGAAGAGGTTGCAGTGAGCTGAGATCCTGCCACTGCACTCCAGCCTGGCGGTAGAGTGAGACTCTGTCTCAAAAAAAAAAAAAAAAAAATTGAAAAAGAAAAAGAAAAGAAATGAGACGGCATTTCCCTGGGACAGTCTTTGTTATTGCACTAAAAGGAAAAGCAGATGAAGGGATGTCAGGTTGAGAGAATCTACCAGCACCTGATCCATCCTGTAGCTTTGAGCTATTCTCCATCCTCTACCTTTTGTACCTTACCCATTACCCCTTACATTATTTGAGGGCAAAATTCTTTGAGTTGTCCTCAGAATGGAGACCAAATCAAAGGCCCCTCTTCCACCACTTTGGACAGGGAGAAATTAAGCTCTGGTCTCACAACTGGTGGCACAAAACCAGAATGTTTTAGGGTAATTGCCTCACATAAAGTAAAAGTTAATTAATTGATTAGTCAAATATGAGAAGGGCTTCCTGCTCCGTTTGTTCAGAACGCTCCTAGTTGCCATAGCACAATCAGTAAGTCAAGAAGTATTTTTTCAGCTTGTTCTGTATTAAGTGCTCAGAGGCATAGTGGAAAAAAAAAATCGCCTTGCCTGCCAAGAGCCCATAGTTTATTTGGTTTAAATGGTCTGAAATTGTCTCTTCAAAAAGTCAATGTCATAGGGAGAAAAGGTGGAGGAATAAGATTAAAAGAAACAGAACAACCAAACACAATGAGATAAACTTCCTTGGTTCTTGGTTTGAAAAAAGAGGTAAGAAATACATTTTGTGAACAATTGGAGAAAATGGAATATTAGATGATATTTGGGAATTGTTGCAACTTTTCTTACATGTGATGACGATTTTGTGATTCTGCAGGAGAAAGTCATTATTCACAGAAGATGCATGCGAAACCGCCCTTGCAGAATTACGACTGAGACGGTAAAAGAGATCTAACATAGCTGACTCCATCTTGCTTCCAACCTCCAAGCTGTCTTTGTTCATTCCTGGGCGTAGGCTGAACTAACTTTGGGAGAAACTTAGTTTCTAGTTTCTAGTTTAAACAAAGATGGTAACAGCCCTTTTCCCAAAGCAGACCTCCTTCTTGCCTGGGGACTAGACTAACATTAGCCACAGGATTAGAAATTGCAGTTTAGGAGTCATGCAGCTGGAGGCTACAAGATTCTGACCCTCCCTAAAGTGCTCCTAAGATCAGGGCTTGAGATATTTTGCAGACCCTGCACGTGATGCATCAGCTGGCACCACCCAGATGCATAAACTGGCTCATCTGATCTTGTGGCCCCCACCCAGGAACTGACTCAGCACAAGAAGACAGCTTTGACTCTCTATGATTTCATCTCTGACCAATCAGCACTCCTGGCTCACTGGCTTCCCCACACCCACCAAGTTATCCTTAAAAACTCTGCTCCCTGAATGTTTGGATAGAATGATTTGAGTAATAATAAAACTCAGGTCTTCTGCACAGCTGGCTCTGCATGAATTACTCTTTCTCTATTGCAATTCCCCTGTCTTGATGAATCAGCTCTCTAGGCAGCGGGCAAGGTGAACCCCTTGGGCATTCACCTTGCTAAGGAAGTATTTAGGGGTGAAGGCTCATGATGTCTGCAATTTGCTTTCAAGTGATTGGGCAAATAATATATAAACACAGATAGGTAAGGTGGGTGGATAGATAGAGAGATAGAGATAATAGGTCATAAAGCAAATAGGGCAAAATGTTAACAATTGCTAAATCCAGCTGGTAGACATATGGAGCTCACCTTTCTTTATGTTTAAAACTGTTGGCCGGGCACAGTGGCTCACGCCTGTAATCCCAGCACTTTGGGAGGCCGAGGCGGGCGGATCATGAGGTCAGGAGATCGACACCACGGTGAAACCCCGTCTCTACTAAAAACACGCAAAAAAATTAGCCAGGCACGGTGGCGGGTGCCTGTAGTCCCAGCTACTCAGGAGGCCGAGGCAAGAGAATGGCGTGAACCCAGGAGGCAGAGCTTGCAGTGAGCCGAGATCGCATCACTGCACTCCAGCCTGGGCGACAGAGCAAGACTCTGTCTCAGAAAAACAAACAAACAAACAAAACTGTTCATAATAAAAAGTGTTATCTATCAAACTGATTGTTTATAATATTACTTACATGAGATATAATATTGCTAGTATGATACTCTTACTAGGGGATATGTCATCCAAGCTTTTTAAAAATCTACGTGCTCAGATGGCTGGGTGCTGTGGTGCATGCATGTAATACCAGCACTTTAGGAGGCCGAGGCAGGAGGATCACGAGGTCAGGAGTTCGAGACCAGCCCGACTAACATGGTGAAACCCTGTCTCTACTAAAAATACAAAAATTAGCCAGGGGTGGTGGCGCGTGCCTATAATCCCAGCTACTCAGGAGGCTGAGGCAGTAGAATCGCTTGAATCTGGGAAGTGAAGGTTGCAGTGAGCCAAGATCGTGCAACTGCGCTCCAGCCTAGGTATCAGAGTGAGACTCTGTCTCAAAAAAAAAAAAAAAAAAAAATCTACCTGTTCAGATTGGCATTGTGTGAGAAAACCATTCTTTCTTCTCAGAAACAGAAGGTCTGTTATTAAAGATATATAATAACAACTACAATTAATGCTTTACTATTTTCAAACATTTTTATGCATATTATATCATCTAGATCAGGGGTTGGCAAGTTTTTCTATAAAGGTATATCTAGTAAATGGCTTTGTAGGCCAGTCTCTGTCACAAACATTCAACTCTGTCCTTGTGGTGTGGTTATGGCTATGCTCCAATAAATCTTTATTTGCAAAACAGGTGCCAGATTAGATTTAGTCCAAGGACTGTAATTTGCCAACCCCTGATTTAAATCCTCTCAATTATGGGTAGGTACTATTTTCATCACCAGTTCACAGATGAAGAAACCAAAGCTCTGCAAGGTTGGTACTTGTTCAGCCAGTTGAATGATAAAACTGACATTCCAGTCCAATGTTCTTTTTTTTTTTTTTTTGGTTGTGGGGCAGGAACGGAGTTTCACTCTTCTCACCCAGGTTGGAGTGCAATGGCGTGATCTCGGCTCACTGCAACCTGTGCCTTCCAGGTTCAAGTGATTCTCCTGCCTCAGCCTCCTGAGTAGCTGGGATTACAGGCATGCACCACCGCACCTGTCTAATTTTGTATTTTTAGTAGAGACGGGGTTTCTCCATGTTGGTCAGGCTGGTCTCCAACTCCCAACCTCAGGTGATCCGCCCCCCTGGGCCTCCCAAAGTGCTGGGATTACAGGTGTGAGCCACGGCACCCAGCCTCAAGCCAATGTTCTATTTCCACTATATCACATCTAAAACAAACAAAACTGCCACACTGTCCCACAGAATAACTGTGCCGTTTTACACGTCTACCAGAAATATATATTTGATCCAGTCTCTCTGCATCCTTAACAGCATTTGATGTTGCCACTATTTTTTATTTTAGCCATTCTGATAGGTTTGTAATAACATATTGTTGTTATTTTGTGTTTTCCTAATTGCTAATGATGTTGAATATCTTTTCATGTGCTTATTTGTCATCTTTAATCTTCTTCAATAAAATGTCTCTTCACATCTTTTGCCCATGTTCTAGTCAAATTGTTTGCATTTTTACTACTGAGTTTTGAGAGTTCTTTTTTATATTCTAGATATGAGTTCTTCGTCACATATGTGGTTTACAAATATTTTCTCCCACTCTCCAGTTTGTCTTCTCATCCTCTAAAAGGGGTATTTTGCAGGGCAAATTTTTTTCATTTTGATGAATCCCAATTTACCAGTTTTTCACTTTATGATCATGTTTTTGGTGTCAGGTCAAAGAACTGTCTATCACTAGATCCTAAATATTTTTCTCCTGTTTCCTAAGAGTTTAAAAATTTTATGTTTTACATTTAAGCACACAATTCATTATGAGTTAATTTTTGTAAAGGTGTGAGACATAGGTCAAGGCTCATATTTTTGTCCATGGATGAATAATAGCTCCAGCACCAGTTTTACAAGGAGATAACTTTTTTCCATTGAATTTTTTTTGCACTTGGGACAAAACTCAGTTAGGTATGTTTGTGTGTATCTATTTCTGGGTTGTCTAATTGGTCAATTGATCTATGTGTTTGTCAATACTATACAGTCTTTATTACTGTAGCTGTACAATAAGTCTTGAAATTGGATAGATCTTCCCGGGATTTTTTTTTTTTTTTTTGAGATGGAGTCTTGCTCTGTTGCCCAGGCTGGAGTGCAGTGGCATGATCTCAGCTCACTGCAACCTCCACCTCCCAGGTTCAAGCAATTCTCCTGCCTCAGCCTCCCAGGTAGCTGGGGTTACAGGTGCCCACCACCGCACCCAGCTAATTTTTGTATTTTTAGTAGAGATGGGGTTTCACCATCTTGGCCAGGCTAGTCTCAAACTCCTGACCTCGTGATCCACCCACCTCAGCCTCCCAAAGTGCTGGGATTACAGGCGTGAACCACCACACCCAGCCCTTCCTTGGGATTTTGATGGGAATTGTGTTAAATCTGTATAGCAATTTGGGGAGAACTGACATTTTTATTATGTTGACTCTTCCAATCCATGAACATGGTATGCCTCTCCATTCTTCTTCCTGCTCAACAAGAAACCTTCTGAGAACAAATTGGCTTCCTCTGTATGTCTGCCTTAAAGAAGATAATGCACTACTCACCCTGGCATGCATAATCCAGTAAATGTGTAAAACTGGCCATCCCAAAGTTAAAACTATGAGAAACAAGTTTTCAATTAGTAGATTAACAAACTAAAAATAATACTGGTACCCAGTGTTGGCATGGGTTTGGGGAGACAGGCATTCTCGTACACTGTTGGGTGTGAGGGTAAATTGGTACAATTTTTTCCAGAGTACAATTTGACAATATGTATGGAAAAAAATCCTAGAATTTTGTGTACTCTTTGGCCCATGCTTCTACTTTTAGCAATCTACATAGAAGATGCCAATTTATAAGACTCCATCTTGCGCCGGGCATGGTGGCTCATGCCTGTAATCCCAGCACTTTGGGAGGCCGAGGTGGGTGGATCACCTGAGGTCAGGAGTTCAAGACCAGCCTGACCAACATAGTGAAACCTCGTCTCTACTAAATACAAAAAATTAGCCAGGTATGGTGGCACATGCCTGTAATCCTAGTTAAGGCAGGAGAATCACTTGAACCCAGGAGGTGGAGGTTGCAGTGAGCCAAGATCTTGCCATTGCACTCCAGCCTGGGCAACAAGAGCGAACTCTACCTCAAAAAAAAAAAGATTCCATCTTGCTAGGAAACTCATTCTTGCTCTCCTGATGGCCTTGAAGAAGCAAGCTGCCATGTGTGAACTGCTGACAGGTAGCAAAGACCAAAAAAAAATGGAAGCTCTTAGTCCCACAGCCATAAGGAAATGAATTCTTCCAACAGCTGAGTGGACTTGGAAGAAGATTCTTCCCCAGTTGAGCCTCCAGATGAGAACACAGCCCAGTCAACAACTTGACTGCAGCCACATAAGCCCTATGGATCTGGGCTCCTGATCAGCAGAAATTGTGAGGTAACATCTTGTTTTAAGCCACTAAGTTTGTGGTAGTTTGTTATACAGTGATAAAACTAATATACTATGTTAAGCAAATAATGGACTAGTGAAGAAAGATTTATACCAAAAAGCATCAATCAATATTTATACTCACAAAAGTGAAAAATCAAAATGTCCCAAACCAGAAAATTAAATAAATTACAGTGTGTTACAATAAAAGAGTATATAGCCATTAAAAAAGCCGTGTATATTTGTTGATATAGAAGGACATTCATGATTTATTTTTAAGTTGAAAAATAGGCTAAAAATATTATGTAGTGTATCCTATCCTGTTTTCACTAATATATTTATATACTATATATTTATTGTTTGCATGTATGTTTATATGCATATATTTGTATAGGAAAAGGCTTGATATGGCTATGTATGTCTGACTTAAAGAAGATAATGCACTACTCATTATCACATGCATGATCCAACCAGAGTACTTTGTGACACGGCTGGCACCAAAGATATGTAGCAAGGGAGGCAGCCTAGTGTAGTGGTTAAGAGCTCAGCCTATGGAGGCTGGACCACCTGGGTTCAAATCCTGGCCCCACAATTTGTAGGCTGTGAGACCTTGGTAAAGTTACCTAATCTTTCCACATGTAGTTTCCCATGTAAAATAGGATGGTAGTAGTACCCCCTCTATGGTGATGCCATGGGATCCAATGGGCTGGTATTTGCAAAGCACTTAAAAATAGTACCCGGCTTATCAATAACACCTGCTCTTAATGTTTATCTCTCGGTAGTGGAGTTTCTTTTTATTTTACTCAACTTTTACCTATGGTGCACCATTTATGCAATTTAAATCAGTTAGAATTTTGACTTTATGTATCAGTCTCATGAAAGTGCTAGAGATTGGGGATTGGGGAAAAGGTTACAGAGGCACAGAATTTAAACTCGATCTTGAAGGAGGAGAATTTCAACAAGAGGGCAAGGGATGCCACTCTTCCCAGCTGAGGGAGCAGCTTAAGCAACGACACAGCAGAAAGAGGGCAGAGTGTTTTGATGATATGCCCAAAGCAGCTCTTATATTGAACAAGCATGACCCATCATATACAATCAGAAAGCAACTTGCTCTTTGTCTCCCACTGTCCTTCTAAGTGCACCCTGCAGGGACAATTCTCCTTCCCGTAGGTGAAGTATGGAGCAGATCCTTTACCTTTTCTTGTCAGTCTGAGGTAGAATGGTTCTTCAAGCCTTTTGAGTCCTAAAACCCAATTTCAATGCCATCATTAAAATGTCCAGTTCATATAAAAATCAGAACTCCAAACTTGATTTAAAGTTGATTGTTCTCCCTGCCCCCAGTTCAGGCCCCATTTTTTTTCTCTTTCCCTTTCTAGGTGTTGTTCCCCTTTCCTATCTTGATGTCTAACCCCTTTGGGAGGGAGAAAAGGTAATGGGAGCCCCAAAATTGGGACATGGCTGGCATCATGAGGGCCATCTGGCTTCCGGTTCTCTGGTCTTTGTATGTTTAAAGCTGAGCCCTTCTCTCATGGGTACCTTTGTAGGGTCTCACCCAACAGCCCCCTGGGGCAGGCTGATGCCTGGGCCAGGGCCTTTCTTGGCCGTGGGAATCCTGTGGCACCACCCACTTCTATTTACTAAAGGCTGTTCACCCTCTTGGTCAGGTGGCCTCTGTAGCAGGACCTAAGACAACCTCATACTGGCTGCTGCCATGCCATGGCCCACTAGCTGGTCCAGGAGATAATATTCAAGCATGCTTTACCCAGCAAACTCTTGGTGGACAGAACATCCAATACAAACACCTCTCCCTCCCCTTTCCCAAAACACAGCTTACCAGCCCCTCTCTCAGCCTTTAAGGAGCCAGATAACAGACCACTCTGTCCAATCTTAAGAAGACAAAGCTCTCTGAGGGGTCAGAATAAAGCTCCTCTCCCACTGGGTAGAAGAGACAGAAGGGACTCACAGAAAAACTACACCCAAAGAACCCTCTTCCTTTTTTTTTTTTTTTTTTTGAGATGGAGTCTCACTCTGTCACCCAGGCTGGGGTGCTGTGGTGTGATCTTGGCTCACTGCAACCTCCGCCTCCCAGGTTCAAGCAGTTCTCCTGCCTCAGCCTTCAAAGTAGCTGGGACTACAGGCACATGCCGCCACGTCCAGCTAATTTTTTGTGTATTTAAGTAGAGACGGGGTTTCACCTTGTTACCCAGGCTGGTTGCGAACTCCTGAGCTCAGGCAATCCGCCCGCCTCAGCCTCCCAAAGTGCTGGGATTACAGGCGTGAGCCACCGTGCCCGGCCCAAAGAACCCTCTTCTTACTTGCAGTGCTGGACCCTTTTTATATTCCTGATGTGTGGGGGGTTTAGGACCCAAATACTCAAGTTGACAGGCACTTCTTTGGAATATTCTGCCCATGGAGGCAGCCCCTCCTTTGGAATATCATGTCTGTTGTCTCGGTGCTTCTGCCCAAGCCTCCATGAACACACCCTCTCCATCTGCACACTCCCGTGTACCTGGCACTCACCTGTGGCAAAAGGTGAGGCTGGAAAGACAGGGCAGGCCGGACGAGAAAGTCCAGGAGGAGGAGGAAAAAGGGTTAGAAAGACAGAGTGGGCAAGCTAGGGCGGTGTGAAGTTTGGGCCTTTTAGGGAAAAGGCAAAGGTTGGGAAGAGCTGAGCATGGAGGGTGCTGGGGAGCCATGGAAGATAGACTTGGGCTTCCTTTGGACCCAGGTTCCCAGGTGCTTGGCACAGACCTCCCGATTTTGGAGGCTGCATGCAGGGCTGACTTATCCACCAGGCACAGCAGGAACAGCGCCTAGGCCCAAAATACTTGTAGGAGTGCAAGAAATGTTTTTCTTTCTTTTAAAATCAGAGCGAGGAACAAACCCTGAACTTTCGTTGAAGACAATGCTTGAAAACATAATATTAATAGATTTGCCTTTATACCAATGCAGTTGTAAAATGTCATTCTTAAATTTTATTTTTATGGAGGAAGAGACCTTCAAAGGCAAAAATGCCTAGTGTCCACCAAAGTCCAGATGCGGCCCAACTAGCTTCTTGCCTTTCATTTCTGGTTGTTGAACACATGGTTACTCAGGCAATCTCAAAGTCTGACCTGGAATCCCCTGCTCTTTCGACTCCCCCATTTTTTCACTTTCACCCAGGCTGCCCTGGCCCCAGCTTCACTGAGGCGTTCAGTTCTTGGCCTCGATCTTGTTTGGTCAGTCAGCCTACTGGTCTTTTCTCAGCAGCCCTAACCTGGGACTCGATCCTTCTGACCTCACTCCTGTTAGGTACACGGCCACCGCTCCCTTTGAGCACCCCGAACCCTGAGTCAGTCAAGTCTCCTCTTCCTCTGCTCCTAACCCTTATGGTTTCCTCTTGGTGGAGAAGTCCGCCATATTGTGCCAAAGATGCAGCCACAAATATGAGCCCAGGCGTCCATCCGGACCTCAGCGTTGCCTGGCAACCTTCTCATCCTACCTTATCTCACTTCCGGGTCTCCCATGACATTTTCCTCGTCTCCTACAGGAGACTTGGAAACTTGGAGGTCGGTCAGCCTGTTGCTTAAGTCATGGAGACTACCTTGCGAGATGGTCTCATATCAGCGTCTTCCCTGCTAACTTTCTCGGCATCTTATCTCACCTTTTCCTCTTCCCCTACTGTCTAAAAACAACACTGTTCCCTCCTTCTTCCTGCCCTCAGTTCAGACCCCATAGTTGCTTCCCTATTTCCCTTTCTAGGTGTTGCTCTCCTTTCCCATCTTGATGTCCTACCCCTACGGAGGGGGAAAAGGTGATGGGAGACCAAAAGTTGTGACCACCACAGACAGTCCCCTTTCTCTTCTCATCAGCCTAGGAACATCCTTGAATCTTCTGTCTCCGAAAATCACATGTCAAGCTAATAGTCCAGCTTAGAAACCCTCCGGCAAGAAAAGAAAGTGGACGTATTGGTTGCCTCTGCAAGGGCAGTGCAGGCTCAGGAACTTGGGGGCAGAAGAGGGAAGGAGGCGGACTTTGCAGGATTTGCTGTATCACTTTTTGAACAGGACACCTGTTCAAAGGGTAGCATTCCTCCCTCCTTGCCCTTCACTGCTAAGCAGCTCCCTGGGAGATATTTTCTTCAAAAACACCATTTTTTCCTGTGCCATGTACTGATCTATTCTTGAGAATCCCAGGTATTAGGCGTTTTGTGTGTTCCCAAATTTTTGACACTATAAAGCTGTCATAACAACCACCTTTTACCTAAGTCTACGATCATATCTCTGATGATTTCCTTAGAGGAAATAGCTGAAAGCGACCCACCAGACAGATTCCTAAAAGCAAATTACTAGATCAATGAGGTTTCTCATCTACAGTGCCAAACTCTCCCTCTAGAAGGTGGTTGCAAACTCAGATGTCCATAGCAATGCCAAGGAGTGCCGTTCCCCACGCAGTCTCCCACCTTCGAATATTTTTAGTCTTCACTATTTTAATAAGTTAAAATATGTTATCTCGTGGTGTTAATTTGCATTTCTTTTATAATTGCTGAGGTTGAAAATTTGTTCAACTTTCCATTTGCAATTAGTTATTATCCAATTATAGTTCATCTTCAATAAATTGTCTATTCATAGTCTTTGCTCATTTTTCTTTTGGGAGTTTAGTCTTATTAGTACAAGTACTTTGTTCTCTTAAGGATATGACTGATTGATGTATTTTATAAGATATTTATTTTTCCCAGTTCATCTTTCATTTTTCATTTTCTATGAGATTTATATATATATACATGTATGTAGAAATTAAATTTTTTAAGTGGCCAATCTATTTACTTTGAGGATTTTTTTCTATTGCTTTTACACTTGGAAAGAATGAATTTTCTTATCCAGGAACTACATAAATAATATCACATATATTTTTTCTTAATTTATCCACTATTTTATTTAGGTACATATTTCCTTGATGCAACTAAAATTTATTTGGAATTTAGGATGAGACTCTTAACTGCTTTTTTCCTCTAAGAGTCAATTTTCCCCAAACTGTTTATTAACTATGTATTAACCAAGCTTTCCCTTCCACTCTTTAGGGGGTGCTTCCTTTATTGTAATTTCTTTTTTTGAGATGGAGCTTCACTCTGTGGCCCAGGCTGAAGTGCAATGGCATGGTCTTGGCTCACTGCAACCTCTGCCTCCTGGGTTCAAGCAATTCTCCTGCCTCAGCCTCCCAAGTAGCTGGGATTACAGGCATGCGCCACTACGCCCGGCTAATTTTTGTATTTTTAGTAGAGACAGGTTTTCATCATATTGGTCAGGCTGGTCTTGAACTCCTGGCCTCAGGTGATCTGCCCCCCTTGGCCTCCCAAAGTGCTGAGATTACAGGCGTGAGCCACCGTGCCCGGCCTCTCTATTGTAATTAAACATACTATTTTAAGTCATCTGTTTTTGCGCTCTCTGTTCTGTCCCTTGATCTGCCTGAGTATTCTTGACTTAATGCCATTCTCTGTAACTATTATAGCTTTACAATATGTTTACCATCTAGTAGAATAAGTCCCCCTCAATTAGTTTTCTTACACAAAATTCTCACCCTTACCTATTTATTCTTCCTAATAAACGTCAGAATCATTTTGTCAAGTTTCTAAAACTCTAAGAGGTTAGTTCAACTGATTCTACCTCCACATCTTTTTTATCCATCTATTTCTTTTTATTTCCACCATTATTCTTCTAGGTCTTCCCATTGCTTTCCTGGTAAATAATTGATTTTTCTCCTGGTGAACTTATCAGTTGGTTTGCTCAGGGCACCCTGAGACCCCCGTTAAGAACATCAGCTGATACTTACAACACTAGGTTAAACTTAACCCACACAATTAGTACTCTATATGCATCAACTGTAGCAAATAGTATTACTGTTCCAAAATGTCTGTCATCCGTCCCTGAGGGGGGATTATACTTTCTTTTTTTTTTCTTGGAGATGGAGTCTCACTCTGTCACCCAGGCTGGAGTACAGTGGCACAATCTCAGTTCACTGCAACCTTCGCCTCCCAGGTTCAAGTGATTCTCCTGCCTCAGCCTCCTGAGTATCTGGGATTACAGGTGCATGCCACCACACCTGGCTAATTTTTTGTATTTTAGTAAAGATGGGGTTTCACCGTGTTGCCCAGGCTGGTCTTGAACTCCCAAGCTCAGGCAATCTGCCTGCCTCAGCCTCCCAAAGTGCTAGGATTACAGGTATGAGCCACTGTGCCTGGCCAGAGGACTATACTTTCTTGTCCCATTGGTGACAGAGCAGCTCTATCATCCTGGGTTCCAGAGCGAAGAGGACATGGAAAATAGCCATAGAGGAACCAAAATGAACATGCAACACGAGCAAGAAAGGAACCTCTGTTGACATAAGTTGGTAAAATATTGGCAATGTTTGTTACTGCAGCCTAACATAGCCCATCCTGACTGATACACTCAGGAAAATTGTAGAAGACAGTGTGGCAATTCCTCAGAGACATAAAGACAGAAATACCATTTGACCCAGCAATCCTATTACTGGGTATATACCCAAAAGAATATAAATCATCCTATTATAAAGACACATGCACGTGTATGTTCACTGCAGCACTAATCACAATAGCAAAGACATGGAATCAACCCAAATGCCCATCAATAGGCTGGATAAAGAAAATGTACATATACACCATGGAATACTATGCAGACATAAAAAAGAATGAGATCATGTCTTTTGCCGAGACATGGATAGAGCTGGAGGCCATTATCCTTAGCAAACTAATGCAGGAAGAGAAAACTACATACCAGAAGTTCTCATTTATAAGTGGGAGCTAAATGATGAGAACACATAGACACATAGAGGGGAACAACACACACTGGGGCCTATCAGAGGGTGTAGGGTGGGAGGAGGGACAGGATCAGGAAAAATAACTAATGGTTACTAGGTTTAATACCTGGGTGATGAAATAATCTGTACAACAAGCCCTCATGACACAAGTCTACCTATAAAACAAACCTGCACATGTACCCCTCAACAAAAAAAGAGAAAGAAAGAAAGAAAGAAAGAAAGAAAGAAAGAAAGAAGGAAAGAAAGAAAGAAAGAAGAAGAGAAGAGAAGAGAAAAGGAAAGAAAAGAAAAGAAAGGGGCCAGGCACGATGGCTCACGCCTGTAATCCCAGCACTTTGGGAGGCCGAGGCGGGCGGATCACCTGAGGTCAGGAGTTCGAGACCAGCCTGGCCAACATGGTGAAACCTCATCTTTACTAAAAATACAAAAATTAGCTGGGCATGGTGGCGGGCGCCTGTAATCCCAGCTACTTGGGAACCTGAGGCATGAGAATCGCTTGAACCCAGGAGGCAGAGGTTGTAGTGACCGGAGATCATGCCATTGCACTCCAGCCTGGGTGACAAGGGTGAAACTCCATCTCAAAAAATAATAAAAAAAAAATAAAAGAAATGTATGATACATGGATTAACAATTTGAGTATGTCTGTTAAGGGGAAATACAAATTAAGTTTCACTGGTATAGTATTCTATAACCTTATTTGCTTTTTATCCTTGGTATATCATGAATGAAGACACTGATTAGCCTAAAGTTATCCACAAAGTCAAAAGCATAGGTGGCTAAGGCTCAAAGTCCAACTTCTTGGCCCATATATTTCTTTCTCAGTGCCTGAAATTAAGATACCCAAAGGAGTGTCTCTCTGAAAGACAAAAACTTCATAAGCAAAGATTCCTGTAAACTGATAATGAGACTGTCCTCATTATAGGCACTTGAGTATGTAAAACAATGAACACCAGTGAGTCTCTCCGGCCATGATTTATCCCTTCTCCCCTGCCCAAGGTCAGTCTAGCAACTATAGAACGCTTGAAAATACATCAGATTATTCAAACCAGGTCAAGATGATCCTCTTTATCTTCCCCTCCTGTATCTGTTAGTCTCTTTTTTACGCTGCCTTTTGCTTTCTCTGCTGTCACTGAGAGTAAAATGAAACCAGCTCTCACCAAATAAATGAATGCAGGTGGCACATCACTCCAACCCTTCCAACAAGCAGCAAGTATGAGCTTTGGATTTCACCGATAATTGTGAGAAAGATGAAGGGGGAAAAGGTAGAACAATCCAAATGTCCCAGAGAAAAAACTCTATGCCAAACATATTCACTCATTCATTTATTCATTCATTCAGACACTATGTTAAGGGAATGCTATGGGCTGAACTGTACAACACCCCCCAAATTTATATGTTGAAGTCCTAACCCCCAGTACCCCAGAATGCAACTCTATTTGGAGATTAAATCTTTAAAGAGGTGATTACATTAAAATGATATCTTTAGGGTGGGCTCTAATCCAGTATGACTGGTGTCCTTAGCAGAAGAAATTTAGACACACAGAGAGATGCCAGAAACATGAGCAGACAGAAGGGCGGTCACATTAATTCAGCAAGAAGTAGGTTGCTGAACCAGAGCCAAGCAGAGGGGCCGCAGAAGAAACCAAAGCTGCTGGTGCCTTGAGCTTGGATTTTAACCTCTAGAACAGTGAGAAAATAAATCTTTGTTGCTTAAGTCACCCAGTTTGTGGTATTTATTATGGCAGCCCTAGCAAAGTAATATAGGGAACAACATACACATAGGCCCTGGCATCCCAGAATGTATAGATTAATAGTGGCCATAGAGAAACAAACATAAATAGAAGAAGGTGTGATAAGTATTAGGACAGGCAGATGCTAAGAAAGCATGATATGGAAGCACTTTATGTGGAACCAGGGAGAATGGATGTCATTCAAATCAATTAATATTTCCCATATGTCATTATATTTTCAATATCTGTACCATTTACTTCGTATCTATCATGACAGAGATACAATGTTAGCATCTTTTTTTTTTTTTTTTTTTTTTGAGCCAGAGTTTCACTCTTGTTGCCCAGGCTGGAGTGCAGTGGCTTAATCTCTGCTTACTGCAACCTCCGCCTCCTGGATTCAAGTGATTCTCCTGCCTCAGCCTCCTGAGTAGCTGGGATTACAGGCATGTGCCACCATGTCTGGCTAATTTTGTATTTTTAGTAGAGACGGAGTTTCTCCATGTTGGTCAGGCTGGTCTCGAACTCCTAACCTCAGGTGGTCCACCCCCTTCAACTTCCCAAAGTGTTGGGATTACAGGCATGAGCCACCGCACCCAGCCTAGAATCTTATGGAATATTATGATGAGTTCAAGTTGCTGATTTGAATGACAAGATACACATAAATGAATATATAATATAAGTAGCATATAGTAATCACCTGCCTAAAGACAGTAGCTTGGCCCAGATAATTTCTGTATTTTCATATCAGTTCTGTGATTCCATGATGTACTTGTATTTCTATGGCAAACACGATACTGAACTTTAGCATTACAAGTGCTTCTCTGTGACACGAATATATGGGGTTTAACAGTGTTTTAGTAAAGCCATTGTATCATCAGCTATTGCTGTGTAACCAAAGGCCATAAACATCTGAGTGACATTCAGCAATAAGCATGTATTTCTCACCATTCGGATTGGTTAAGTGTTGACCGATCTCGCTCAGCTCAGTGGTTCTACTTAGGGTGCCCAACTGTTCCAGTCTTCCCAGGACAGATGGGGTTTCTGGGATGTGGAACTCCCAGTTTTAAAACCAGGACAGTGCTGGGCAAACTGGGAAAGGTAGTCATAGTCATTCCATCTGCACTTGAAGCTATGGTTCCAGGCTGAGTTTGGCTATTTGCTGAGGTTGGGCTCCAGGTGCTCATACGGGGACTCAGACTGAACGGACAGTAGCCTGCCAGGCAAGCTCTTCTCATGGTGAGAGCACAGATGCATGAGGGCGAGTGGGAACACGCCATGCTTTTTAAAGCCTAAGCTTAGCCAAGAGTGGTGGCTCACGCCTGTAATCCCAGCACCTTGGGAGGCCAAAGCAGGTGGATCATCTGAGGTCAAGAGTTCGAGACCAGCCTGGCCAACATGGTGAAACCCCATCTCTACTAAAAATACAAAAAATTAACTGGGCGTGGTGGCAGGAGCCTGTAATCACAGCTACTTGGGAGGCTGAGGCAGGAGAATCGCTTGAACCTGGGAGGCAGAGATTGCAGTGAGCTGAGATCGTGCCATTGCACTCCAGCCTGGGCATCTCAAAAATAAAAATAAAAATATAAAATATAAATAAAGCCTAAACTTAGAACTGGCATGCCGTCACTTCCAATAAGCAGAAAAATCAGAAATTCTTGACAACACTGTTTGAGAGCCCTGATCTGTCCATGCTTGAAGCAGTTATAACTATCCTGGACTTTTCAGTTATATGAGCCAGTGGTTTTTAACCTAAAGTCAGTTGAGTTAGGTTTTCTAACATCTTTAAACAAGCAGGTTCATATTACAGGGATCACAGGTCTCTCTCTCTCTCTCTCTCTCTATTGTTCTTTTAGGATAAGTAAGGCTGAAAGTTGGACTAGAGATACAGGCAACTAGTAATAAGTTATTGAAGTTTACAAAAGAAAACGCCCATGAAGTATTGCAGCGGATAGGAAAGGAGGGAAGGCTTCAGGATACAGCCCCGCAAAATAAGCGCCAACTCCTGACACCCTGTTAAGGGTCCCCACAGAGGCCCACCTAAATGCCCATCTCCTTTAGATAGAAATATCCTATGCTTTCCTGAAACTAGACTATTGGATGTTCCCCAAACAAAGCCCCCTCTTACCCATTTTGTTTAACAAACCATTTATTAAACACCGACTGTATGTGATGCACTGTGCTAGGTTCTAGGGATGGGAGGGAGGGCAAGATAGATGAGGTCCTTTTCATGGTACAAATAGTGAAGCTTGGATGGCTGGCCTCAAACAAGCGATATCCGTAAATGTGGTGCGTGTCCTAATAACAGCACATTCGGCAGAATGAGACTCAGGGAAGAGGTCCCACATTTTCACTGGTCAAAACCTATTCATCTGTCCTAAGAGACACCACTTGCTATAACAAACCACCCCAGCAGCTCAGTGGCTGAATTCTATCTTCTCTTACATCATAGTGTGATGTGGGTTGGGTAGCTCTCCTGGACAGCTCTTTTCAACAAGCACTCAAGGATACTGGCTTCTACCACTTATCTTAAACATGTGGGCTCTGTGTGGAAGAGAAAGGGAAAGCTTGGATGGCCACACAAGGGGTGTTACAGTCAGACATGGAAGTGGCATATTTCTTTTTTTCTTTTTTCTTTTTTTTTTTGAGACAGAGTTTCACTCTTATTGCCCAGGCTGGAGTGCAATGGCGCAATCTCAGCTCACTGCAACCTCCGCCTCCCAGGTTCAAGCAATTCTCCTGCCTCAGCCTCCCGAGTAGCTGGGATTACAGGCATGTGCCACCACGGCCGGCTAATTTCGTATTTTTAGTAGAGATGCGGTTTCTCCATGTTGATCAGGCTGTTTCGAACTCCCGACATCAGGTGATCCACCTGCCTCAGCCTCCCAAAGTGCTGGGATTACAGGTGTGAGCCACCGCGCCTGGCCGGAAGTGGCATATTTCACTTCCACCACTTCTGACTGGCTCTATCGCATGGCCCAGCCACGTGACTCTAACCTCATTGCAACACAGGCCCGGGAAGAGAAAATGGGATGGGTGGGCATCCGGCCCGTCCCTGCAGTGTCATCTTTCAAGGTCTGCCTCCAGTGCCACCAGCTCCACGGAATGGGAGATATCCCGTCCCCTGAAGGAAGGTCCCTCCCTCTTCTCACTTGCTCTGCACTTTACTGGTGACTGTGATGGGCTTCACTTTCTGTTTTGGCCATTTGTGAGTCTGTCTGTCCCCTCCTAATTAGATGGAACCCTCTTGAGGGCAGAGATCCTGTCTAAGTCGCCTTAGCGTCTCCCATAGTATCTGCCACGCTCACGGATGGTGGGCAGCCCACATGTTTATGTGCTGAATTGAGGATGGCAAACCGCCATCACTGGTTTGAACCGTAGAGTAAAAGTTGAAATGTTCTTTTCCCATTTCTTCTCTCAGGCCACCCTGAGACCAATTCTCATTCTAAAAATAATTGCAGTGTCTTTTAAAGGGGAGATTTCTATGTGCCTATAAAATCCCACCATTGACATTTATACCTATGTTCCGTTTCTTTCTACAATTCATTATATTTTTCCACTCTTTACTTCTAGCGAATGGAAAGTGGGTTTAAAAATAGACCAGTGTATTACAGGAAAATTCTCGATCCTAGAAAAAACAGAGAGGGCCACTTCAAAGGAAGTGAGTGGAGCTGCTCTCCTGCGGGCTTGGAGGTTGAAGGACCTTTGTTTCTCATGCGTTGTGCTTGACTGCCCCCTTGCTGGTACGCAGCAATCACGGCCTGTTCTAGCAGAGAGAGGGGGGTTTTGAAGAAATAAGCTTCCCCGGAACTGCGTCCTGAAGCTGTCTGCACGGAAATATGTACAAAGGGAAAAGGAGGAGAAAGAAATGTGGAACAGATCTAGTTGATTCTCAGTTGGCATATCACAGGGAACGTTTTCTATCCCATTTCCCTGTTCAGCGCGAGAGGTGGGGGTTTTTCCTCTCTCCTTGCTGTCGCCTGCCTTTATTTTTCTGAGAGGCTTTTTCTGTTCACTTTACTCTCGTCCTGTTAAGCTGCCTCCCTCCACTCTCTCCTTGAAGCCAAAGACTCAATTCCACTCTGCCTCCTAGAGTTATGAAGACCTTGATTTTTTTTTTTTTTTTTTTAGACAGGGTCTCACTGTGTTGCCCAGGCTGGAGTGCAGTGGTGCAATCTTGGCTCACTGCAGCCTCAACCTCCCAAGTCCAAGCCAACCTCCCACCTCAACCTCCTGAGTATCTGGGACCACAGGCACGCACCACCACGCCTGGCTAATTTTTGTATTTTTTGTAGAGATGGGCTTTGCCATGTTGCCAGTTCAAGTTCAGGCTGGTGTTGAACTCCTGAGCTCAAGCCTGCCTCAGCCTCTCCCAAAGTGCTGGGATTATAGGAATGAGCTCCCCGCCCGGCCGAGACCTTCCTTGACTTTTAGAGCTGAAAAAAGACTAATCAGCAGCTTGTAGGGCTTTTTCATTTTATGGAGGGGGCATCCTGGTAATTCGTCTCTTCTTTTGTAGTTCAGAGAGCTTCCATTGGGGATTTTCAACTAAAATGCAGGACTGCAGAATCCAATTTGTGAAAAGGCTCTTAACCAGGACCTGGGAGGAGATTTTGGAGCTTGAAGGTTCCTTTCTAAGCTCAGGTTAATATATATAGGACTGAAAGCACCTCCGGAGCAGTGAGGTGTCTGGGGTCCAGACACAGGGAGATGGCGCAGGGGCACCCAGCACACGTTTCCACGTGCCCTTTCCCTTTCATCTTCTCCTCCACTAAAGACAAGGTAGGGCTGATATTTTCTTTCACTTAAAAGAAAACAGAATCCCGGGCGCGGTGGCTCAAGCCTGTAATCCCAGCACTTTGGGAGGCCGAGGCGGGTGGATCACGAGGTCAGGAGATCGAGACCATCCTAGCTAACACGGTGAAACCCCGTCTCTACTAAAAATACAAAAAATTAGCCGGGTGCGGTGGCGGGCGCCTATAGTCCCAGCTACTCAGGAGGCTGAGGCAGGAGAATGGCGTGAACCCGGGAGGCGGAGCTTGCAGTGAGCCGAGATTGCGCCACTGCACTCCAGCCTGGGCGACAGAACGAGACTCCGTCTCAAAAAAAAAAAAAAAAAAAAAGAAAAAGAAAACAGAATCTGTGGCCCTCAATCCATCATGGTAGCGCCGGGCTGGGAGCCGTCCTTTGACACGTTCATCTGGGGTGTTGGGGACTCAGGAGACAAAACGACTTCCCCCGCCTGTTATGGAAATCCCAACAACCCCTGGAGATATGAATGCCTCTTGGGAGGGGAAAATCATACCGAAGGATCAATTTGATTTCTTCATCACCAGAAAATTAGATCCCTGATGACTTGGTGTGAGTGTCCTGGAGACTCTTCGTCTGCACCTCTCCCACAGCCCAAGCTAAAGCCACCTCCCCATCCCTCAAAACCTGTCGTTTCATGGAAGCAAACAGATTTAGCAAGAGTTTTTTCAGTCCTCACTAAATGTTTTTTTCTAAACAGTCACTTTACTAGGAAGTGAAATACTAATGTCTTCACCTAACTCAACCACCTGGACCAAAGAGTAACTGAGTGAAGCCATTTCCCGAGAGATGGGAGGCAGCCTTCCTTCCATCTGCAGCATGTATTCAGACACAGACTTACAGGTCACATTTCCACAACGTCTACAAAAGCCCCAGAGGAAAGAATTAACGGGGAAAACAAGTGTTTAATTCTTCAAGTTAAGAACAACCACACACACACACATACACACACAGGCCTACGGGAAAAAACACGCATTATGCCTAAACCATTAGATAAACACCACTTCCTCTTCCAGTTATTTGAAATCCAAAAGATCTAATTATTGGATTTTCTTGCATTAGCCTGACTCCTTAAAGGAAGGAGCCAAATAAATAAAACTGAATTCACAGACCCCAAATCATTTGCGCTGTATTAAAATCTTCAGAAGTTGAAGGTGAAGGCCAAGTTTATGAATACAAATTGCTCCTATAACGTGAGGAATAAAATAACGTGTTTTAACTGTGGAAACTGAGGCATAAAGCGTAGTACAGACCTAAGAATAAACACAGGGTTGGGCGCGGTGGCTCACACCTGTAATCCCAGCACTTTGGGAGGCCGAGGTAGGTGGATCACTTGAGGCCAGGAGTTCATGACCAGCCTGACCAACATGTCAAAACCCTGTCTCCACTAAAAATACAAAAATTAGCCAGGCGTGATGGCGCACGCCTGTAATCCCAGCTACTTGGGAGGCTGAGGCAGGAGAATGACTTGAACCTGGGAGGCGGAGGTTACAGTGAGCTGAGATCACCCCATTGCACTCCAGCCTGGGCAACAGAGTGAGACTCTGTCTCAAAAAAAAAAAAAAAAAAAAAAAAAAGATAATCACAGGAAAGTCTTACCTTTGGCACTGGTTCTTAACATTCACTTTCCAGCCATAGGACAAAAAGAATTATTTTTCTTCTTTTTGAGACAGGGTCTGGCTCTGTTGCCCGCGCTGGAATGCAGCGCAGCCCCAACCTCCTGGGCTCAAGCAATCCTCCCACTTCAACCTCCCGAGTAGCTGGGACTATAGGCACACCCCACCACGCCCAGCCAATTTTTGTGGGTTTTTTTGTTTTTGTTTTTGTTTTTGAGATGGAGTCTCTCGCTCTGTTGCCCAGGCTGGAGTGCAGTGGTATCGTGCCCAGCCTATTTTTGTGTTTTTTGTAGAGACGGGGTTTTGCCATGTTGCCCAGTCTGGTCTTGAGCTCCTGGGCTCATGTGATTCACCCACCTTGGCCTCTCAAAGTGCTGGGATGACAGGCATGAACTGCCATGCCCAGCCCAAAAATAAATGTTTTTAATGTTAGTGAACCACCCACTTTTTATACACGTATCCAATTTTATGGTGACAATGGGAAAAACCATTTTGTCCAGGAATCTTCTAGACTCCAAGTCAATTCAAAACTGGATAACTTTCCCAAGCCCCAAAATAATACTTGCAAATGTTTTTACTTATTCATTCAGTGAACAAACATTTACTCATGGGGAGAGTTTTCTTTTGTGAGAAGAGACTAAGTAACATGAAGATTTGCTGTCTTTGAGGAACCTTAATTCACCTTGAGAGACAAAAACAAACATCAGTTGGGCAAGTCACAGTGGCTCACGCCTGTAATCCCAGCACTTTGGAAGGCCAGGCAGGCAGATCATGAAGTCAAGAGATCGAGACCATCCTGGCCAACACGGTGAAACTCCGTTTCTACCAAACATACAAAAATTAGCTGGGCATGCTGGTGTGTGCCTGTAGTCCCAGCTACTCAGGAGGCTGAAGCAGGAGAATCGCTTGAACCCAGGAGGCACAGGTTGCAGCGAGCTGAGATTGCACCACTGCACTCCAGCCTGGCAACAGAGTGAGATCCTGCCTCAAAAAAAAAAAAAAAAAAAAAAAAAAAAGTCTTGATGACTTGAGAATGGTAACATTTGATATATCCATAAATGGCAAATATATTTTTGAACTTAATACAATAGCTCTTTGGAAATAAAACGTTGACGAGTGCTCAAAGTGAGGCAAGGTTGATCAGGCAGTTCCCCGTGGAGGAGCAGGCCCTGCTGGGAGCTTGCATGGATGGTCAGGGAAGGGGAGGCAGGGACACAGGGGAGGAGAAACAGAAGGCAGAGCGACCACACAGAGACCCCAGGAGCGGCCTTCCTGTCTCAGTCCAGAAATCACACCTTTTCTCGGCTCTTCCATTCCCACTTCTTACCTCTGGTTGCCTCATACTGCCTTGGAAGCCTAGGATTCCAGGGACCTTCATCAAGAGCACACGGAGGGTGCATGGCCCAGCAGCTGGCTAATGGCAGGAGCTTGACCAAAGGCAGCTGATGCTATCAATGCCATCGTTGTCATTGTCACAGGCCATGAGCCCCATATCTGCTATTTCACCTTCACCTGTACCTTTCAGGAGAATCTTCCAGTCATCCTACCTTTCTAAGAGAGACGAATGAAAAGAACAACAACAGAGGATGGAATTTTTGCTGGAAGCTGGTTGGGCAGCCAGTTAGTATTTATAGTCTGTCTGTCCTGTTTCCCCTCCTTATCTTACTCCTGTGTTAATTTATTAGCTATTGACTCTGTGCCAGGTCAGTGGCTGGCACAGTGAATAAGATGCATGTGGCTCTCACAGAGCTGACATTCTACCACAGTGAATAAGATGCATGGTTAAGGCATGATTAACCCTGCTTTAACCATGCATCTCATTCACTGTGTACTTTGGGAGGCCAAGGCAGGTGGATCGCTTGAGCCCAGGAATTCAAGACCAGCCTGGGTAACATGACAAAACCCCATCTCTACAAAAACACAATGCAGGGAACTATGTCACCTGAGGCCCAGGCTGAGGCTGCAGGATGGGTAGAGGTTGGCCAGGTGAGGAGGTAAAGGGGCTGGTTAGGGGAAGGCCTTCCCAAGCAGAAGTCCCCACATGTGCAAAGCATGCAGAGGAATGAGGGACAGCAGGGTGTGTTGAGGGGTGCCTGGGCCTCAGGAGGTGGGGTGGGGAGGGCGCATGGAAGGAGACCCGGGAGCCTGGCAGTGCCAGGTAAGGAAGAAGTCTGAACATCGTGCTCAAAGAGACTGAAATGATCCTACTGGGAGGTAGGAGAGGCAGAAGAATTATTTTATTGTTTTTATAAAATTGATACCTCATCCATTATTAAAACGCAAGAAATCCAGAAAAGTACAAAAAAGATAAAAATTTCCAACTCCTACTACCCCTAAATAACATTCATGAACATTAGGTGGATGTTATTCTAAATATCTTGCTACTTGTATAAGAGAGATGGAAGATGGGCAGTGGGTGTGTGGGTGGGTAGATAATGGGTGAGCAGATGGGCAGGCATGCAGATAGACCAAGTTTTATAAAAGTGATATCACACTAAACACACTATTTTTAAATAAAAAGTATTATACTTAATTTTACTTGGATTTAAACAAAGAATAAGAAAGTGAAAGTAGAGTTTTAGGAATTGACCAACTTAATAGTGTGGTTTTTTTTGGTTCATTTTATTTCATGAGGAATATTTCCTGCTTGAGAATATGTTTCTGTTGCCTTTATAATATAAGGACAATGTGGCTGGGTATAAAATTCTAGGTGTCAGTTCTTCTCTCTGGAATTTTGTAAATGTTGCTCCACTGTGTTCCTACGCAGATTTTTTTTTTTTTTTTGAGACAGGGTCTCGCTCTGTCACCCAGGCTGGAGTGCAGTGGTCCCATCATAGCTTACTGCTACCTTGAACTCCTGGGCTCATGTAATCCTTCCACCTCAGCCTCCCAAGTAGCTAGGACAACAGGCACATGCAACCATGCCCAGCTGCCTGCACTGATTTTGTATTAATTATTTTGCTACAGCTTTTCCATTCAACTCTGCATTAGCTCGGTCTTATCTTCAAATAACTTTTTCAAAAAAAAACTTAATAAACATTATAGTCCTCCAATATTTGAAAATGAGAGCTTGTTGCCTTTACATTCAAATGCAAGGAGAAATCAATAAACGGAACATGTCATCAAATATACAAAACACACTAGGTAGTGATAAGCCTTCTGGAGAAAAAAGAGGGCAGGGTGGTGGGGAAGGTCTCACAGATAAGGTGACGTTTGACTGGAGATCTAACGTAATGTGGGAACCATGCAGACAGCTAGGAGAAAGACCATTCCAGAACAGCAAGTGCAAGTCACTGAGGTAGGAATGTGCTAAGAGTGTTCAAGGAACAACAAAGATACCAGAGTGGCTGGAGCATAGTGAGAGAGGGGGAGTTGTGACAAGACAGAGTCAGAATATAGTAGTTGGCCTGGTCAAGGAGGGCTTTAGAGACCTTGCTAAATGCTTTGGGTTTTATCCTGCATTATGTGGGAAACCATTGAGCATCCATTCCTCCTAATTTACTCTCCACGTGCCAGCTAGAATTATCCTTTTAAAACTTAAGTCAGTGGTCCCCAACCTTTTTGGCACCAGGGACCAGTTTCGTGGAAGACAGTTTTTCTGCAGATGGGGGCAGGGAATGATCCCAGGATGACTCAAGAACATTACATTTATTGTGTACTTTTTTTCTATTATTATTACATTATAATATATAATGGAATAATTATACAACTCACCATAATGTAGAATCAGTGGGAGCCCTGAGTTTGTTTTCCTGCAACTAGACGGTCCCATCTCGGGGTGATGTGATGGGAGATAGTGACAGATCATCAGGCATTAGATTCTCATAAGGAGCATGTAACGTATATCCCTCGCATGTGCAGTTCACAATAGGGTGTGCATTCCTATGGGAATCTGATGCTGCTGCTGATCTGCCAGGAGGTGGAGCTCAGGTGGTAATGTGAGTGATGGGGAGCAGCTGTAAATACAGATAAAGCTTCACTCACTGCTCACCTCCTGCTGTGCAGCTTGGTTCCTAACAGGCCAAAGACAGGTACCAGTCCATGACCCAGGGGTTGGAGACCCTTGACTTAAGTCACATCATGATGCTTATATGACAACTTGGCTGGGTATAAAAGCCTTGGTTGCACATTCTTTTACTCAGAATTTTATGGATATGGCCTCACTGTTTTCTTGCTCTGAATATTGATGTGGAACGTCTAAAGTCTTATTTATACTTCCTAAATATTACTTACCTTTTCTGCTCAAATACATGAAAAATTATTTCTTTATCCTAAAGCTTATTAACTGACCTAAAGCTCATTGACTAAAACCAAGTAGTTTTAGTGTCCATCAAACTTTCTAAATATTTCCAGCAACATAGTATGCTCTCTTAAGCTGAAATTCAGCAATTCCTTCATTTCCAGGGAAATTTCTTCCAACTCTGAATACCTTTTTGGTTCCATTTGTTGATTTCTCTACTTCTAGGTCACTATTGGTCCTTACATTTGACGCTCACCATTCTTGCATTCTCTTTAATTGCTTTTTTCTCTTTATTCTATTTCTCCTGGGAAAGAGATGTAGTAGGGTGGACTATATGAAACTGTCATATTTTTGTAGGTCAAAAACAGTCAAATATTAGCAATTTCATATGACTTGACCTAGTTTGGGAATTCATTAGAACTTGAGTGGTAGCTGAATTCACAGAAATTGAGCTCTTCTCCCCTTCTGTCCTGAAGGAAAATCTTTCCCAGAAGCTCTCATGAGACTTGTCCTCATGTCTCACAGGTGAAACCTGAATCACAGGCCCACCCCAAAGACCAATCACTATCAAAGGGAACAGAATGGCCTTGCTGATTTAATCATGATTCATCCTAGGGCTGGACATGCAGACACCCAAACAAAATCTGGCCTCTGTATCATCAAGGAAGACAGGAGGATGGTTGCTGGGAAGGTAACTTGGACGGGGGAGTGTGTTTGGGCCTCAGCCTGATATCAGGGATTAGTGCTCACATGGTTTTCTGGGAAGACCCACACAGAGCGGAGTCCCAGGGTCATGGAGTGGTGCTCCACTGACATCTGGCTCTTCAGAGGAGGAGGTTTGTCACTGTCAGAGATGAGACAGATGAGGTCAAGGGCTCTGAAAGCACAGAAGGTTTTGAAATTGCATAAAGGGTCTGTATTGCCAGGCCTGGGGAAGTGCTAGAGAGAAGAGAAGCCTGGCCCTATTGACACTTTAACTGGCCTCATATGAACTTCTTTAAAGAAGACTGAAGAGCAGAGATTTTATGTAAAGGAAAAGAAATTCAGGGGCTGGGCTGGGGAGGACACTTATTTCAAAGAGCTTCTCTCCAGGCAGCTTTTCTCTCTGCCCCACAGGAAAGCTTTGTGAAATAGCGTCCTTCCCTGCTCAGCCCCTGACGTGTTTGCAAACAGAACAGACTGGGTTTGTGCAGTGGCACTGCCACCCCCCACGCCACCCCAGCCACTCATGCAAAGAGCTATTGCCAGTGGGAAATGAAAAAACAAAGAGAGGCCTTTTCCTCTGCCTGCTGACCTCCTTTTAGGACCCTGGTCTACAAAATATCATCATCATCATTTCCATTTTGGAAACAGATGAGCCTAGTCTTGGGTTCAATAAACTCTTCAAGCCTGAATCCCAAGGCACACTCACTGCCTCCCAGCCTATAACATGCCAAGTTAGCAGAATCTGTGGGCTCCCAGTTTTTCCACCTAGAAAGCAGGAGTGAATGTGTCCCTCTCTCACTACACGGGTACATGATAGAAGATCAGTGAGGCCGCAGGAGCCAGGAATTCTCCTCAGCAGCCTCCCTTCCCTCTCAAAGCGTCCCACGGTACCCTCTGCAACAGGATCTTCAAATATTTTTAATCATGCATCCCTACCAGGAAAAAAAAAATGAGCACAGTGATAGTCGAGTCCTGCAGGAAGCAGACACTGAGATGCAGTTAGGAGGCTGAAGTTAATTGCAGGTGACTCCTGTAAAAGATATAAGAGAGAGGCACAGGAGTGGGCAGACGAGCCTCCAACGCCATGCAGATCGGGCAGCCACCGCCGGCCCCACCCAGGCTCCAGAGCAAAGACTGCCCACTGGAGGAATCCCGCATTGAGCAGAAATGGCCAGGCCCAAGGACACCTGCTGTGCTTGGTGTCGGGCCGGGCTGCCCCTGCTCAGAAGCTGAGGGGGAGCCTGAGGCACATTGAATGACTGGAGGCTGCCAGATAACCGCACTTCCTGCCTGAGCAAGCTCCTTCTTAAAAGGAGATCCGAGCAATACACCTCTATAGTTGCTGCATGCCTGTGTGTGTGTGTGTGAGTGAGTGTGTGTGTGTGTGTGTGTGTGTCGCATGGGCTGCTGTATTATATGTTACATGCCCTAAAAATAGATCCAAAAATTAAAATTTCACAATGATGTGGCACGAAACACATAAACAGGCGCTCTCATGTTCTCCCTCTGCTCGCCCCCGACTGCACTGCTGTCACCCGACTCTGCAGACTCTGTTCTGGGAAGGAACACGCCTGTGCATGCAGCTGCTTCTTCTTTTTTTTTTTTTTTTTTTTTTTTTTGAGATGGAGTCTCCCTCTGTCACCCAGGCTGGAGTGCAGTGGCGCGATCTCGGTTCACTGCAACCTCCACCTCCCGGGTTCAAGTGATTTTCCTGCCTCAGTCTCTCGAGTAGCTGGGATTACAGGTGCGCGCCATCATGGCCAGCTAATTTTTGTATTTTTAGTAAAGACGGGGTTTCACCATATTGGCCAGGCTGGTCTAGAACTCCTGACCTCAAGTGATCTGCCCACCTTGGCCTCCCAAAGTGCTGAGATTACAGGAGTGAGCCATGGCGCCCGGCCACATGCAGCTTCATGGACCACTCCCCGCTTGCCTGAAGAGGTGCTGGCTCCCCTCTGTCCAGCAGCAGCTGATTATTCCTTGGGCCTCATGGGCTGCAGGGTCAGAAAGCGATCCCGCAATTCAGGGCACTCACCTAGCCTTTTCATCCCCTGGTTAAAGTCTTAGATCCAGCACCTAAACCACATAACTCCAGTTTTTACCACAGAAACTCCCAAAGACGCATAGCAACTGTCACAACACGCAGCTCTTCTCATCCTTCCCTCAACCCTACAGCAAAGCAGCCACCAGGAGGCAAGACCTTTTGGATGCCGAAAGGGGAGAAATGGATACTTTGCCACAGCGTGTGCAATATTGAGCTGCAACCATTTCCTTTGTCTGCACGTTGAAAATCCCCAAAGCGCAACCCTCTTCAGGAGGACACAGGAAGAGCTGCATAGGGTCTGGGCTTCAAACTGAAGCCCAGACACAACCATTGAGTCCCAGGGATTATGAACAGAAGCCAGCGCTTGGACACCTCAGGGGTTGCCCAAGTCTCACAGTATCTTAACAGTGCTAAGGCCAGCATGATCCAGAGTGCAGCCACGTGGCTTTCTGAGGTGCTGTGTCCCCTGCTCTCTGAGACTGTAAGGTGTGAAGCTAAGGAGAGGAGACCGAAAGGAAACACAGAGATCTAAAGCTTGGGAGGAGAGCTGAATCATTTGACAGCAGCTTCCCCCAGAGCAGCGGTCACGATAATTTTATGATGTTATATCCAGCACCAAGCTCATCATTGCCAGAGGACAGACCCCGCGACAGCAGAGATTTTTGTTTCCAAAGAAAAGTTCATTTCTCTTCTCACAGCAGGGCCTGGCTTTAAATATTTGTTGAGTTAATTTTGCTCTTCTCCTAATACTTAAGTTTCATTAAGGAGCTGAGGTACCTACAATAAAAATATGAAGGAACACAGGAGAGCTGTTCCTTTGTCTTCTCCTTGGGAAGTCTGGGGCTTCTGCTTCTGGTGCGGTGCTGTCATCCCTAGCAGCTCCATCGTGCATTTGGTGGCCTCTCTTTTTCCTCTTTTTTTTTTTTTTTTGAGATGGAGTCTCACTCTGTTGCCCAGGCTGGAGTGCAGTGGCGCAATCTCGGCTCACTGCAAGCTCCGCCTCCCAAGTTCAAGTGATTCTCCTGCCTCCGCGTCCCAAGTACCTGGGATTACAGGTTCCTGCTGCCACACCCAGCTATTTTTTGTATTTTTAGTAGAGACGGGGTTTTGCCATGTTGCCCAGGCTGGTCTCGAACTCCTGACCTCAGGTGATCTGCCTACCTTGGCTTCCCAAAGTGCTGAGATTACAGGCATGAGCCACTGTGCCCGGCCTCGGTGGCCTCTCTTGACCAGTGATAAACAGGTGGCAGCAAAAGACAGGGAGAGGCCAGACTTGTGCAAACGGGCCCAGTGGAAGCACCTCTAGTGCCTAAGGCATGCATGCACTCTGTTCCTCTAATTTGGGGATGGAATCCAAAATCCCGGCCTACCTCAGTGGTTCTCAACCAGGGTAGGGGCTCCCTGACCCACGTCCCAGGAAACAAACAGCATCACTAAGAGACCCTCTGCTCACCCCGAGTGGCTTCCACACGTCACTCTCCTGAGCAGCCACGCAGGGTACTGGGCAGAGGAAGGACAAGCAGGGTAGGGGAGAGGCCCTGGCTCATCCCGCGTTGCTGGAAGGGGGCTCGTCCTTCGCCTGGTGCAGGGGTCCCTGCTTAGGGATGCAGGAACCCCTGCCAGTCTCTAGGCCAGGAGAAATGCTTGTGACAGGGCAAACATTCCGTCTACTGGTGCTCCTGGAACCTATCCTCATATTCAACGCCACAGAGATACAGTTTTCTGCTGAAAGAGTTCCGACTCAGGGTAAGACAGAATTTGGGATTAATAAGGTGACCCTAGAACACCTCCCATAGAAGAGAGATCTGTGTGGGTGGCTTCCGGTCCTCACATGGGAGAAAGACTCCATTCAACTTGAGTCCATCAGATCAACATTTCTCCGCAATCATTCATGATTAAAACAAGATAATAAAAAGAAAGGCAGAAGAAAGAATTAAAGATATTCCCTAGTGATTGTTCAATTTTACTGGTGTGCTGATGGAAATGGTGTAATCTCATTGCTGCAAGAAGCCGTATAGTTGGGGAAAGCCTCTTTTATGAATGTCAAGCATCCCTCCTATCTGGGGGAACCCCCCATTCCGTGGGGCTTGCTGTGAGGCAGGGACCCACCACCCGCTACGGCCAACGAAGGCTGAGGTACAGATAACCCAGCCCCGGGAGCTGTGGCGTAGGCATGTGGCCTCAGCCTGGAACCTGGTACCTGTGAATGTGACCTTATCTGCAAGAAGGACTTTGCAGATGTAATCAAGTTCAGATGAGGTCATACTGGATTAGGGTGTGCCCTAAATCCAGTATGACTGGTGTCCTTCTAAGAAGAGGGAAATCTGGACACAGAGACACACGCAGAAGGAAGATGGCCACATGGAGATGGAGGCAGAGATAGGAGTGAAACATCCACAAGCCCACTGAAGCTGAGGGTTGCCGCGGCCCCCGGAAGCTGAGAGGCACAAAACACATTCCTCCCTAGGGCCTCAGTGGGTACGTGCCCCTGTGGCCTTCTGGCCTCCAGAATTGTGAGGGTGAACTTCTGCTATTATAAGACACCTGGCACGTGGGCTTTGATATGGCAACTACAGGGCGCTAACACAGATGCCCACACTAAGGACCTGACCCTTGAGGCTGTGACACAGAGATCCAGTGATGGGGAGTTTCCCAGCAGCAGGACAGCACCAAAGGCCCATCAGGACAGCAAGTGTCAGAGGCTGCAGGGCCCCAGAGACCAGGACAGATTGCCCAGGGCAGTGGCCAATGTCTGATAATGGCAGGACTTATGGCGGCGTCCACATCAGCCTGTACCTGTGACCCTTGACCTGCCTAGCTGCTCTTGGTCTTACCGGTTTTACAAGCCTGACTCTCAGTCGGGCGCAGTGGCTCACACCTGTAATCCCGGCACTTTGGGAGGCCAAAGGAGGCAGATCACTTGAGGCCAGGAGTTTGAGACCAGCCTGGCCAACATGGTGAAACCCCGTCTCTACTAAAAATACAAAAAAATTAGCTGGGCATGGTGGTGGGCGCCTGTAATTGCAGCTATTTGGGAGGCTGAGGCAGGAGAATCTCTTGAACGCAGGAGGCAGAGGTTGCAGTGAGCCGAGATCATGCCACTGCATGCCAGCATGGGTGACAGAGCGAGACTCCATCTCAAAAACAAATAGAAAAAAAATGATAAAATAAAACCTGATTCTCCATTCCAAACGCTGCCCAATATCCTTCTAGAAAGGTCCTATTCTGCTCAAGTTAGCCAGTTAATTTCTACTGTTTGCAAGCAAAATCCCTGACTGGTATAAAGCCTCATCCAAATAATTCAGAATACATTATCTATGCATACAAAAGGCCCCGGAGCTTTTTTCTGACTCTCAACTGGACATAATCGTTACATGCCTGTGAACACTCAAGCAGTGATCATCACCAGTAATTCATCAATGTTGCAATGACAGGTGATGGGTAGTTAATGACTATTGTGAAAACTGCACTTATCTCTGGGGGTTTACTTAGCTGTAAGAAGTAAGCTTTACTTCTCAAAATCAAGGTTAGAATTTCTGCAACATGGAATTTACAATATGTATCATCTATTTTGACTTTGATGCTATGCATTAAAGTGTTTTTAATAATTGGGTATATATTAAACATTTATCGACTTAACTAAAAGATATAAAGTTTTAAGAAAAATGGGTGTATTATAAAATCCCTTCAAAACACCCCAAAATGCTAATGAAATAAGAGATCAAGTAGGTAGACTGAAATAAAACTCTACAGTGTTAAAAAACAACAAACAAAATTGGAAACGAGAAGAGTGGTGCCTCAGGAGGAAATAACAGCATTGGGACACTCGGCAAGCTATGACGGAGCCAGGCAGCCCCGCACAGGAAATGCACGTTACTGCCGTGAGCACCGCCAAGAATGTGGACATCACGTTCATAGTGTGTGGCCCTCCCGGGCCCTTTGATATCAACATGCCCTCACGTTCAATAGAAGACATTTCCTGTGCATTTCACCTCTTCCCTGATCCCCAGGAAGTCCTAGGCAGGAATTCTGGCTGAATCTGCTTCCATTTCTAAATCCCATATTTGGTCAAATCCAATTATGTTGCCCCTTCAAGATTTCAATCAGAAACACTTGTATTTGAATTGAAAGGCCATAATGTGCTTACAAAGAAATATATCCATAAAAACACATTATACTTCATTAACAGTTATCTATTGACCAGGTGCGGTGGCTCACGCTTGTAATCCCAACACTTTGGGAGGCCAAGGCCGGTGGATTACTTGAGGTCAGGAGTTCGAAACCAGCCTGGCCAACATGGTGAAACCCTGTCTCTACTAAAAATATAAAAATTAGCCAGTTGTGATGGCACGTGCCTATAGTCCCAGCTACTCAGGAGTCTGAGGCAGAAGAATCACTTCAACTCAGGAGGCGGAGGTTGCAGCGAGCCAAGATCGCGCCACTGTACTCCAGCCTGGGCGAGAGAGCAAGACTCCATCTCAAAAAAAAAAAAAAAAGGTATTTATCATGATGTATATTACATTAGACAAGCTAGTTGGGGGGAAAAGAAAACCCTAAAAGTAAGTATCTATAACTTTCTGAAAGATCACTTCTGTTAATCCCTATTAAAGCCATCAAATCTTTTTCTCTAGCTAACTGAAAAAATCATCCAGGCAAAATGATACTAAATTTTTGGTTCTTATTCCCTTTTCCTGTTTCACTAGGAGCAAACAAAATCTATGTGGTTTCATTCATTTTCCTTTTTCATTCTTTCGGAGTTCTGGTCCTCCCAATAAGCTGTCCTGTGGGTGGAAATGTTTTTCAAAGAGAGGATAAGGTTGTTCTCTCCCACTGCAAACTCACCCAGTGCCCAACTGCAGGGTTGCTGAGTCAGTGGTGCAGAAAAGCAAACCACAGCTGATAGTTACCAAAGTTTCCCACAGTGGGTTCCAGGCCAAGTTGTCCAGCCTCTTTCTGAGTTAATTCTACCTCTGCAAGTGCTGTGTTGAAGATGGAATTTGTTTCCTCCGTGAATACATCCTTGTTCTGGTTTTAACATCTGTGGGTTTATATATAAGGGGTGAATGAATTTTAAAGGTTGGACGATCCCATTAAAAAGAAGTATTAACAGGATCTTTTGAGTTCCTGGATCAAGTCACCCTTAACCACATGATACAAGAAAACACGTAGGGACACACCAAAGCTTCCTGGGCAAGTTGGAAAAAGGAAGATTTCCCTTTTAATTTACAAAGCAGAGTTAATCAGCCAGGCTCACATCTTACATAAGCAGACTTGGGTCGAAGACAACGTCAACCAGAAACATCAATCACAGTGAGTGTGCCAGGAGCTGTGCCCACCCCTGCTGGGCACTCCTCTGATCCGGTGAGGAAACCCTCTTATTATCCTCACTTGATAGTGAGGGAAACTAAAGTCACACAGCTAACATGAGAAGGTGCTGGATTTGAATCCAGAGCCTGTGGCTGAACTGCCCTTTAGTGATGAAAAGGAGATTTTTAAGGAAAGTGGGAAAAAAAAATATTAAAAATATAAATATAAAATGTATATTTTTTCCCTGAAAAAAGTTTCAGGGAAATATTTGAACCTGAAACTTAATAAAGTGATTAGGGAAGGATGGATGTTTATATAAATCAGGGTAAATCATGCTTATGTAAATCAGCCTAGTAATTGGGGACCTGGGCGTGACTGTCATATCACCTTATTTCAATGGACCAAAAACACGTTATATTTTCGTTTTTTAAACAAATCTATTTTAAGTTACTAATACCATTTCTTTCAACAAAGGTAAAAACAAAGAATCACTTGAATTGTTTATCTGCCACTGAATTTATTTTTTAAGTCAAACTTTTCCCACTGATTTATAATTTCAGGAATGCTGAAATTTTTGTATAAAAAATTCATATTTGTATAAAAATATTTGTATGAATATTTGTATAAAGGTGATTTAGTGTTTCATCTTGCATAAAACAAATTTATCCCATTTCACTGCCTCATGCTCCCGTTTAATCAGAATACTTCCCACTTAAAAAATACATCCCACTTCACCTGCTGGGATTCGCACTTAACAAAAGATCTGATTAATCCCTGAGGCATGACAAAGACTCTGTCCTTGATCAAATGTTAGGTTCCTCAGAGTCCTCTTCCCCAGGAGGCCTCATCCTCAGGTTCTGTCTCCTCTCAGTAATTTTCCTCCATTACCCACTCTGCCTCTTGACTATAATCTACAGCTGTCTTTGCTGTTTTCGGAGTTGAGCCCTATCTCTCTCCCCTACTGTGACGGTCGTGACCCCTCAAAATGGTCCTGAATAGTGTCTTCCTTACGTGTTTTTTTTTTTTTTTTCCGGAGTCTCGCTCTGTCGCCCAGGCTGGAGGGCAGTGGCGCGATCTCAGCTCACTGCAAGCTCCGCCTCCCGGGTTCACGCCATTCTCCTGCCTCAGCCTCCCGAGTAACTGGGACTACAGGCGCCCGCCACCACGCCCGGCTAATGTTTTGTGTTTTTAGTAGAGACGGGGTTTCACCGTGTTAGCCAGAATGGTCTCGATCTCCTGACCTCGTGATCCGCCCGCCTCGGCCTCCCAAAGTGCTGGGATTACAGGCGTGAGCCACTGCGCCCGGCCGAGAATTTTTTCTTTAACGGGCAGAACAACTCGCCACTGACCCTACTTGGAAGTATCTTAGTGAAAGTTTTCATATAATGCAAAGCTACTTGACTTTGAAAACCAAACTTCAAAATAAGACTGCTCCAAGAACATTCCAGGATATTGTCTTTCTCTCCTCTCCCCAAGTGGTCTGCAGTAATTCTGGAATGATTCTCAGAACATTCCAGAATGTTCTCTCTCTCCTCTCCCCAAGTGGTCTCCTTCATTCCTACAACACTCAGAGATGATTTTCAGTCATTCCAGAAGGATTCCAGAATGTTCTCTCTCTCCTCTCCATTGGTCTCATTCATTCCTACAGCACTCAGAGATGATTCTCAGCCATTCTCCCAGGGTCACCCCAGCATGGGCCCCATCACCCCCAAACTGCCCCCACAGAGAGTTTCCTGCCTCTTCTCTTTCCTCTCCAATTCAATACTACCAGTCACTTCCCCACTGAAAACTCCCCCGTGTCATTCAACATCATGAATAAGTTCCAAATTCCCTAGCTCTGGACCATCGAATCCCTTCCAGCATCCCTAACAGATCCTGGGTTCCAGAACCTTCTGGTCTCTTCACTTGCTCTTGACATCATGGCCTCCCGGAATATCGCGATGCCAGCTCCCACCCACCTGAATCTCCACAGTTTCGCCCCATTCTTCTGACTTCAAACACATGCCGAGCTGTACTGTGGTTCTCTCTCCTCCCTGTGGGTCAGAAGAGTCCCAAGGGTAGGAACTATTTTATTTCTTCACCACCCACAGTGCGTAGCACAATGCATTAGTCATGGTGGGTATTCGGTAAATACGTATTGAACAATTGAACAAAAGTCACCATTGAATTCAATAGACTGGGAAACAGGGAAAGCATCTTAAAATACTGATTTTCTGGGAGAACTTTTTTTAATTGCCAAATGAAAATTTTAAATCATACAAAGCACACAGGTGCCCCCTTGTGGCTGCGAAACAGTGCAGCATCACCAACAAAAATGGCTGACTCCCAGAGTATGAGAAAGAGGGAGAGATTAGGTTAATTAGTTCAATTAGTTTAGTTCTGAGATGTCCAGCCTGGAGTCTTTCTTCCCTGTAACAACCGGCGGGTGTACAACGAAACCATTCCAATCACAAGCCTAAGGTCTACACAAGCAGCTCAGTAGCTGTTGTTACTCTGAGAACTCAGCTCCTTTGTATGCCTGGCAGGTAACCGGAGCTGTGGCTACAACAGGGGGTTTGACTGGGCCCCTTCAACTTAATTAAAGGAAACGTCAGAAGCACAACAATCGGCTGCAGGGTGGGACCTTGATTGCATCATGGTTAAAATAAACCAGCAGTAGGAGACGTTTGCGAGAGTCCACAAAAAAACCTGTACATGAAAATGTTCATAGCAGCTTTACTCATCATCGCCAAATGGAAGATTCAGCCTAAATGTCCCTCAACAAGTGATGGATGAGTAAATGGTGGACACATCATGTGACAGGCTACTCCATAACAATAAAAATCACAGGCTATTGTGACACACACGACATGGGTACATAACAAAAGCATTATGCCATGTGAAAGCAGCCTTACACAAGGGCACCATGCTATTTATATGAACTTCCAGAAGATGCAGTGATAGGAAAAAGTCAAATCAGGGGTTGTGTGGAGTGGGGGGATTGACTGGGAAGGGACATGGGGAACCTTCTGGGGTGATGAAAATGTTTGCTATCTTCACAGGGGTTTGGGTTAGACAGCTAACTATTTGCTCAATTCATCAAATATTATACTGGAAATTTGGGTCTTTTATTTATATGTCAATTTTACCTCAAAAGGAAAGAACCTAATAAATACTGGACTCCAGCAAATGATACTCATGCTGAAGTGTTTAGGGGGAAGGGTGCTGATATCTGCATCTCACTCTGAAATGCACTGAAAAATTAAGATGGATTAATGGGTGACTGGAAAGATGGATAGACGGACAGGTATACAAGAAAGCACACAGCCAAATGGTAATTCCACAACTAGGTGGTGGATATATAGATGCTCACTGTAAGAGTCCTTCAATTCATCTGATGTTTGAAAATATTTTTATGATAAAATCTTGGAGGAAAAGACATTGGGAATAACTGGGGATATCTGAATATCGACTGCGGGTTAGATAATTCAATACTAGGGATGTCTGAATATTGACTTGGTGTTAGATGATTCAGTGAATTGCGTTAATCTTTTATGTGTGATGATGATGGTGCCATGGTTAGTAGGAAGATGTCCCTATTTTTAGAGACACATTCTAAAGTATTTAGAGGTGTTATAACATCTGAAATATGCTTCAAAATACTCCAGGGGGCAGAAAATGAAGCTAATATTGCAAAGTGTTGTAATGATGACACCCACGTGATGAACTTAGGGGTGTCAGTTACACCATTTGCTCTCCCTGTTCATGAGAAGGAGGACATACTCTCCCAAGGAGCCTGGACTGCAACATTTGAAGTTCTGTCTCTTCTGTCTTGTCCAGCTGCCTGCTGACATTTTTCCTTTTAAAATTTACATAGTTAACAATTTGCTAGCCTGATAATGAGCATGAAGACAGAAGAGAAATTCAAAGAGAATGAGTGAGACGAGAAAATAAAAGATAACAAAATTAACCAGTCAGAATGACGAAAGGCTTAGAAAAAGGCTGGGTAACCGGGAAGGAGGGAGCGTGTGGGTCCTCGTGTCCCAGGACGTCTTCATGACGTGCCCCTCCGACCCCTCCTGCCTTTCTCGCTGGCTTCACCAGGTATCTCTCCAAAGTCAAGGCCTCAATGGTACGCACCACAACCTATCAGCCAGCAGGGTCCCAGGTCCTCCCTCCCATCTCTCCTCTCTAATCGGCCTTCTCCAGCTCTGCGGCCACATCACATCTCAAGAGTCTGTCAGTTCAACTTTTGCGGGTCTCCCAAAGGGTCTGGTGTAAGCCCCTTCCGACCTATCCTATAATCTCCTGCCCAAGATATTTCCTGATTATTTTTCTCCCCAATGCCTCTGTTGCGGAGATTTAATTTTAAGTGCTCTAGCATGGAGCCCCTGGCAAGGGAGATAAAAAGGGCTTTAGCGTCTCCCGAGGCCCGGTTTAGAATCCCAGATCCATCACTTACTTAAATGGGGAATTTGGACCAATCAGTGAACCTTGTGTTCCGCAATTTCTTCCTCTGGAAAATGGGCATGTCAATTGGGATTGAAAGTTACAGCAGCACAGCGCCGCCTGCTCCTGGAATGCACAAATGGCGCGTTTCTTTATTTTGCATGCCCACAGCTCGGCATTTGAGACTCCTCCCTAACCCTCTAACCATATTGCTCAGACAATTCAAATTCCAGCAACAACGAGGTAGTTACAGTTCCCCAGACGCAGGCTGTGACTTCATGCTTCAGTTCTTCATGTAAGTTTACAGTTTTCAAAGTGGGGTCCCTAGAACAACAGCGTCAGCATCCCCTGGGAACTCGTTAAAAACAAAAACAAATTCCCAAGCCTTACCCCAGACCCAGTGAATCAGAAACTGGGGGGCAAGGCCCAGAGATTGGTGTTTTCATGAGCCCTCCAGGTGGTTCTGATGTAGGCTTAATGTTGAGAACCACTGGTATATATTCTCTCCTCTGCTTAAAGTGTGCTTTCTCACTGTACCTGTCAAGTGAACTCCTACACATCCCTCAAAGCCCTTCTGTAGAAAGCCTCTCCTGGCTCCCAGGACCCTAGATAGGGTGATTTTCAGCCCCTAGCAAGGTGATCCTCACTTCTTCAGGGCTGTCCCAGAAGTAAAACTACTGGGTCATCTGGTAGATTGGGGCCTGTGGCTTTTTAGTTAGTTTTGTCCTCTCACTTTCGCAAGTCCCTGGACACTCTGTCCACGTCCTGTGCTTGAATGGGGCTGCATGTCTCCTTCCCTTTGAATTGCTGTAAGACAAGATGTCAACCTCTAAAATATAAAGATGGTTTATATTCCACACATCGATGCCTTGAAGGGAAGGAGAGAAGGCAGAGGAGAAGGAATTTTTCTAACCACTGAAGGCTCAAAACTTCCCATCTCTAGACTAAAACCTGCTCTTCCAAGCTGCTGTGCCACCTCGCCATCTTTTAAGTCTCCTTATGTTCTTAGCAGAGCTTTCCTCTGTCAGATCATAGTCATTGATGAACTCCACAGGAAAAAGAGAACGGAAGATCATGTGCACCTGTTCACCCACGTGCTTGGGATTTTTAGAGCCAAAAAGAACCACTTTATCAATAGGCTGCCTTCTCAGAGGTGGTTCTTGGCATGTTTCACCAAACAGTTGTTTAGAGTTTTTAAAACACTCCCATTTGTGGTATGATTGATACACAATGGCCTGAGCTCTCAGAAGGGAATCTGTGTCTTCAGTCCACGGCACAAATGAAGTAATTGTTTCTAATCTGATGTCTCCACTAGACTATCAACTTCCTTTTTTATTTTCCCAAAGAAATTGCCTGAGGAAATCACATCACGCTTTTATTTTGTATATCACATCACCTCCTACAAAAGTCTTATTAGCATTATTATATCTTTTTTTTTTATTTTGCAAGTGAGTGATCATTAAAGAACTAGCCTTGCTATATAGTTCATAGAATTTACAAAGAATTTAAATAGATGAAACAAAGTAAATGTGTTTGGGTCATCAGGTTCAACATTTAAATGAGATAAGAAAGGCTGGGGCTGAGCACAGTAGCTCACACCTTTAATCCCAACATGTTTGGGAGGCTGAGGTGGGAGGACTGCTTGACACCAGGAGTTGGAGACCAGCCTGGGCAACATAGTGAGACCCTGTCTCTACAAAAAATACAAAAATTAGTGAGACGTAGTGGTATATGCCTGAGGTCCCAGCTCCTCAGGAGGCTGAGGCAGGACGATCACTTGAGCCCTGGAGTTCGAAGTTACAGTGAGCTATGATCGCACCACTGCACCACAGCCTGGACAACAGAGCAAGACCCTGTCCCTAAAAAAATGAACTAAATACAAATTTTTACAAAGGCATAAAGAGAGAAGGGGTTGAAACTGGAGACCACGGGGTTCTGTGACTCCTGGAGTGGTTGCTTTTACAGCATTGTGGTGAGTCAGAAAAATGTTTTATGGACAAATTTAAAAACTGTCTTTTAAAAGCAATTCAGAGAACAAAGTGGAGGGTGGCAGTTTTTGTCCTCCTTTAAAGAAAAAAAGTTAAGGAAAAAAGTTTAGAAAGTTGTATGTGGCTGGGGGGTAAAGAATCCAAAGCGTAGCTCCCAACCCCACCTCTTTTGACCACTAGAGGGGGCACATACATCCCTTCATTCCCAGACAGCTCCCTGCATCGTTTCCCAAAGCTGTACTTGAAGTCACCCAGGGCTTAATTTTCAGCCTCTGTTCACGCAGCATAGACTTGTCAGGTCTTTATAATGCTCAGCGTCTCTTATTTCTCTTTGTACGATAACTCTGGCATTTAACTCTTCCATGCTAATCAAATATACCTCCAGGGTTTGGTTTGGTTTTTTGTTGTTTTAAAATAGACCAACGCTAATAAAGGCAATAGCAACTCTAGTCCCAGGAACATGGGAACAACAGAGCAAATCCTTCAATCTTAGACTTGTTTTGTTTTGTAAAAGAAAAACAAACACCTTTCACTATGTTGTGTTCTTTAAAAATACCCACAATAGGCCGGGTGCAGTGGCTCACGCCTGTAATCCCAGCACTTTGGGAGGACGAGGCGGCGGATCACGAGGTCAGGAGATCGAGGCAATCCTGGCTAACACGGTGAAACCCTGTCTCTATTAAAAATACAAAAAATTAGCCAGGCATGGTGGCGGGTGCCTGTAGTCCCAGCTACTCGGGAGGCTGAGGCAGAACTGCTTGAACCCGGGAGGCGGAGCTTGCAGTGAGCCGAGATCGCGCCACTGCACTCCAGCCTGGGCAACAGAGTGAGACTCCGTCTCAAAAAAAAAAAAAAAAACCACAATAGCAAAGACATGGAATCTACCCAAAGGTCCCTCAAAGATAGACTGGATAAAGAAAACGTGGTACATATATACACCATGGAATACTATGCAGCCATAAAATGGAACAAGTTCATGTCCTTTGCAGGGACATGGATGGAGCTAGAAACCATTGTCCTCAGCAAACTAACACAGGAACAGAAAACCAAACACTGCACCTTCTCACTTATAAGTGGGAGCTGAGCAATGAGAACATACGGACACAGGGAGGGGAACAACACACACTGGGGCCTATTGGTGGGGACAGGGCAGGGAGAGCATCAGGAAGAATAGCTAATGCATGCTGTGCTTAATACCTAGGAGACAGGTTGATAGGTGTGGCTAATCACCATGGCACACATTTACCTATGTAACAAACCTGCACATCCTGCACATGTACCCCGGAACTTAAAAAAAATACCCCAAACAAATGATACAAAGAACATAAGCTCTTGAGTATATGAATAACACTCAACCACCCACGAGTGAATCAGCAACTTCTATTCCGCACGAAGGAAAACAAAAATGAACCCCAGGTTGGCTTTTTTCCATTTGATTATTGGTTCTTTCTCAACCACCTATGTAACTTAAATTTACTTAATATAAAGTCAATTATATAATTCAAAACTAAATCATGAAGCCAAATAAAGTATAATTAATTCCAAAGCCACGTGTCTATTTTATTATTCCCTGCTCATGGGGATTATCCAAGTCATCGCATCTACCATCCCTCTGCGTATTAAATTTGTATATTAAAACTGTGTCAATATTCAGAGGCAATTATCAAGAGGGACTAGAGAACTTGGAGGGGCTTGTAAACTGTTCTGTGCATTTTGTCTGAGAGTGTCAGAAAAAGAAAAGAGATCCTGGCCGATACCGAAGTGCTGAAGAAAACCACAAGTCGTTTGACTGCAAGCTCCCTGATGACAAAGGCCTCTGAGCCTGCAGGAATTCCCTGCATGGAGCCTGTGAGGCTGACAACAATTGATATTTCCCAGGCATCTTGCAGCCCGAGGATCTCTCGGGGATCTTGATTAGGACTTTGTTGGGACAGACACACGCTAGAAGGAGATGAGTCACGTGCTTTCCTGTCGCTCTGCCTCGGGGAGGTCAAATGAGCTGGCCAGTGTGAAGCCAGGGCACTGGGGAATTGGATGAAGACCCCAAAATGCTGACTCTCCTACCCGGACTTTTTGTGACATGAGATCAGCTAGTTAACGCCTAAGATTCTGTAACCTGAGATGAGATCGTATGAGTTTTGCTGTCTTTTTTTTCCTTTCCTCAAAATTACTGTTTGATACATATCATTTTTACTTACTCACGAGGGACAGAAATTTCCCCGGGGCTTGTCTAGTTTGATACCTTTGCTAACTAAATCTGTGGAGGTGGACGGTCAGTCTGCGCTCCCTTGAACCTGGATGAGAGGGGTCTCTGTCCTGGGCCCCGTGCTTTAGAGGGCCCCACTCACAGCCTCTCCAGGGTCAAGGGAATGTGCCAAACCGGAATGTTGCTTCTGTATCAGGCTCCAAATTTCCTGGCACTGGAGGTTCCTTCTGAAACAGCGCAGGCGTTCCTTCAGAGCCTGCACAAACCCGTTCTTCAGATGCAGCCTCCGAAGAGCAGGCTGCTGGTACCCACGGCCCTGCCCATGGGCCTGCAAGGGGGCAGCTATGGGGTGGTGTGGAGGGATGGCCAGAGCTCGAATCATGGGCTGGGTGTCCACACGTGTGGACTCCAGGAGGACTCGGGTGGGGCAGGAAGGGATGTGGAGCAAAAAGGGACACAGGCAGGTGGGACACATGCCAGCCCCTACTGCCCACCACAACCCAGGGGGAGCTCAGGAGTCCCCGCATCCCAAAGGCCAAAGCTTGGCCTTCCAGGTGGTTCTGAAGAGTTCATTGTCAGAACCGCTTTGTTAACTTGATTTGCTTTGCTAACTTGATTTATAACTTTTTTTAAAAAAAAGAGACAGGGTCTCACTCTGTCACCTAGGCTAGAGTGTGGTGGCGCAATCATAGCTCACTGCAGCCTTGAACCCCTGGGCTCAAGAGATCCTCCTGCCTCAGCCTCCCAAGTAGCTGGGACTACAGGTGTGTGCCACCATGCTCGGCTAATTTTTAATTTTGTAGAGATGGGGTCTCACTATGTTCCCCAGTCTGGTCTCCAACTCCTGGCCTCAAGCGATCTTCCTGCCTTGGCCTCCCAAAATGCTGAGATGGCAGGCATGAGCCACCATGCCTGCCTTGATTTATGACTTTTAAAGGTGGGTCTCCATTTGTACTCTTGCCCGGCCCCCCAACACATCAAGGGCAGGCCAGTGACACGTTAATGTGAAGTCATTACTTGCACGTCTCTGCGGGGTCTATTCCAAGATACAACCTGCAGATGAATGCACACACAGAAAATGTACAAACAATAAATAAATGAAAGAATAATTAAAAATATTATTTCTCCCTGGTAACCTGCTTCCGACAAATTTCAAAGAAACTGTTACATAGAGGCTGAGTGTGGTGGCTCACGCATGTAATCCCAGAACTTTGGGAGGCTGAGGCAGATGGATCACTTGAGGCCAGGGGTTTGAGACCAGCCTGAATATCGTGAAACCCTGTCTCTACTAATAATACAAAAATTAGCTGGGTGTAGTGGCACACGCCTGTGGTCCCAGCTGCTTGGGGGAGGCTGAGGCAGGAGAATGACTTGAACTGAGGAGGCAGAGGCTGCAGTGAGCCGAGATCATGCTACTGCACTCCAGCCTGGGTAACAGAGTGAGAATCATCTCAAAAAAAGAAAGGAAATTGTTACACAGACGCAGAAGGAGCATATGGAATTTGGCCACGCTGGGTGTTACTGGTTTCAACTAAATTCTCCCAAATCCCAAGGCAAACTTCCAGCAAAGCAAGGTGACTGGCGAGCTGATGGGGTCATTTGTAAAGAAATGCTGATGCTCTCAAATGTGTACAAGCACCAAGATGCCAGCTGAGAGGGCTCCAGGAAGTTGGCTAGCAAGGGCACGCCTCTTTCCCTCTGTTCATCTGATTGTCAAGAACTCACCGGTGCGCAGAAGAGTTGGCGATCCTCACAAGCCCCAGGCTTGTAGCTTGTGACTGTTTGCTTTCAGAGAAAGGGAACTAAAAGATGCTTTTTCCCCCTCCTGCTTTTGCTTGGCCCTGGCTCCCTGCAAAATCTACCTGAGCAGGTCTGGAGTCACCAGGGACCACCTCCCAGTGCCTTCAAACACGGGGCTCTTGGGCAGCACTCTGGGACCTCAGCGCTTCGCCTGCCGGCAAATGACCACCACACCGCTGCCAACCCACTGCTGCCACCACGCTTCCAGCTACAGCCAGGTCTGCCAGACCCTGCTCCCTCTGCCAGATGCAGGCTCAGCTGTTGTCACCTTCACTGGGACAGCCAGCTCTGACGGGCAGTGCCAGCCTTTCTGCAAGATCACAACACTTGGGACCACTGCCACTTCCTGGGGATAGTAATAATAACAGCTAAGATCTACTGAGCCCTTGCTCTGTGCCAGACACCAGCTGAGGACTTCACTTGCTTAAGCTCACTTCAGCCTCGCAGCCATCCGGAGATAAATACTGTCATTCGTCAGTACAATACTTTACAGATGAGGAAACTGAGGCTCAGAGAGGTAAAGACACTTGCTCAAGGTCACACAGCTAGATGTGGTGGAGGGACTTTGAGTCTGGGCTCACCACACTCTGCATCCAACCCTGCAGCACCTTGGGTGCTGCCACGCCCTCGGGCTCAGCTGCTGCTCCCAGTTGCCACCCCCAAGTCTGCCCGGCTCCCCTGGAGTCCCTGGCTCTCCCACACCGTGTGGCTTGGCTGCCTCTGGTGGAGCAGTGTCACTTTGGCCATGTCAATGCCAGCCTCCCCGAGGACCGCGTCTTCTTGGCACTTCTATCTCTAATGGATCTGTGACAGGGGAAGACTTATGACTATGTGATGTCCTTGTCGTCTTCTCCCTCAGACCCCAGCCACTGCCATCCTCCATGACCAGGCCCTTGTGGAGAGAGAGAAAGAGACAGACACAAAGACAGAGAAAGACAAAGAGACAGGGACACAGACAGACAGGGAGAGAGAGGGAGATAAAAAGAGGCAGAGACAGAGAGACAGATGAACAGAGACAATACAAAAACAGAGTGACAGAGACAGGTGGATGGAGGTAAGAGATGGAGAGGCAGACACAGGCCCGCAGGGCAGCAGGGAGGCCCTGACGATGGCTGCAGTCCTGCAAGCAGGAGGTGGTGGTGGCTCGGAAGAGGGTTTTAGCTCAGAAGATGGGAACAGATGCAGGGTGTATTCTGAGGACAGAATTGACAGGGCTTGCTGACAGATGTGAAAGGAAAAGGGAAATGAAGGAGGCTGCTGGGTGTGGGGCCTGGACACTCACTGCAGGGAGGCGTCATTCACTGCGACTGATAAGCAGTGTCACAGCCAGTTTTATGTGTCAGCTTGGCTTGGCATGGTTCTCAGATATTCGGTCAAACACCTGCCTAGATGTTGCTGTGGTATTTTTGGGATGCGATGAACACTGAAGTCAGTAGCCCCTGAGTGAAGCCAAAGACCTGCCAGGCTATGGGTGGGTCTCATCTAATCAGGTGAAGGCCGTGGGAGAAAAAGACTGAGGTTCCCCGGGAAGAGGGGATTCTGCCTTCAGAAAGCCTTCAGGCTGGAGTGGCAACATCCACCCTTCCCTGGGGCTCGGCTGCCAGCCTGCCCTGCAGATTTTAGACTTGCCAGCCTCCACAACTGCATGAGTCAGTTCCTTAAAATAACCTCCTGTCTATATAGAGAGAGACTATGTATATATATAGCCTGCTCACGGATGACACACACATCCAGGACTCTCCTTTGAGATCCACAGTTGCAGATTCTGCCGACTTGAGTGTCTTCTTCGATGTTGGGAAGAAATTCAACTCAAAGTCATTCAAACCTGGTCCTCTCCTGATGCTTCCTCCTTTAAAAAGTGGCACGACTCACCATCCCATGGCATGAGCCAGACACTGGGAATCTTCCTGGACGAGTCCTTCCTGCTTACTCCTTGTGGTGGGCAGACCCATGGTCCCCAAAGGTGTCCACGCCCCAATCCCCAGAATCTGGGAATGTTACCAACATGGCAAAAGGGGCCCTGCGGATGTGATGAAGGACCTTGAGAAGGGAGATGGTCCTAGATGATCTGAGTGGCCCCTGTGTCATCATAAGGGTCCTCCTAAGAGGGAGGCAGGTGGCTTAGAGTCAGAGGAGGAGACGTGGCCACAGAAGCAGAAGTCAGAGTGTTGGGGCCAAGGGACAAAGGAACACGGATGCCTCTGGAAGCTGGAAAAGGCAAGGAAGGAGATGCTCTCTGAAAGCGGCTGGAGGGTGCACAGTCCCAACACCTTGGACCTACTCCAAACTTCTGACCCCCAGAACTACTAGAGAATACATTTACTTTAAGCCTCCAAAATGTGTGGTGATTTGGGACAGTGACGATAGGAAACTAACATGCACTCCAAATCCAATCCAGCAAGTTCTATGGATTGTTCCTCCCAAATCTCCTTCCTGTAGATATGCCTCTGCCCATCTCTGCCACCGCCTGCCCCCAGGGCTGGCCTCCTCACTTCTCAGCTACTGTGCGGCCCTTTCCTTGGTTCATTATCTCTGTGCCTTCCCTCCCACCTCCAAAAAGTGGAGACCCCTCTCCACTGGGCAGCACTGCCCCCACCTAACTGGAACCACTTGGGGGGAGTTGGGGGCTCCCACTGTCCTTGGATGAGACTGAAACCCTAACCAAGGCCCTGAAGGGCCATCCCTTCCCTGCTTCTCCAAGCTCCCTTCCCCGACACTCCGCCTCCTTCCCTGCCCTGTCTCAAGGTCCTTCCTTCCGTCTGTCAAGCAAGCCCCTCCAACCCAGGCCTCTGCGTGTGCTGCTCCCCGTCAAGCGCCTCCCCTTCCTCTCCACCTCATTAGCACCTCTGACCCTTCACTGCTGCCTTCCCTTTGTCAAGGAGGCTTGCTCTGCTCTGTACGAGGGTCAAATCCTGTGGGGATCCCACGATGCATATGTCCTTCAAAACATCACCTTGTACATAAATATATACAATTTTTATCAATCAAAATAAATAAGAGGAAAAATAGGGACTGAATATAGCTTTTAGCACAGCCACGGAGCTAAAATATTTAAAAAGCCAGAGTTGCCCATCAGCATATCACACCCGCAGTGGGCCCCCCGCCATCCCTGTGACAACATGACAAAAGGGGCCCTGCAGATGAGAGTGGTCTCCACCCTGCAGAGCGTGACCTCCACGCAGGCAAGGCTGTGTTTGTTCTCGTCCGTGCCGCCCTTGAAGGGTGCTTGGTGCATGGCAGATGGGTGACCATGTGTGGGGTAAATCAGTAAATCCAGATGAGCTCCGAGCATGAGCAGCTCCTCTCCAACCCACGTTCATCTGCGCAGCCATGGGGAAGGTGGTCCTCTAGCTTCCTCTCAGGGCTGCCACCTCTTCCCCCTCTGAATTATTCCAAAACAACTTGGAAAATTCCAGAAAATGGGTTCCCTGGAGTCTTGCAGGTGGTCTCATGGGTCCACCACTATCTCCGCTCCATTGTCACTGGGGGAGCGCCGCTGACAAGAGGTTCCACCTTGCACAGCTCAGTGACCTAAAGTTGATCTAGTGTCCTCTGTGGTTCCAAGGAGGGCGGGCCACATGGCCCGGGGGCCCTGGCTTGGTGCCCTGGCCCATGCAGCCATTCCCTAAGGCCCAGATACCCAGGACCTGATTCATTCTTGTGAACCTGCAATGTTCTTCCCTTCTGTCCCCCCTGGGAGCATGTCCTCAGGGGCATGCAGCTTCTCTCTTTACTGCAGGAACAAGAAAGGCCTCTCTACGTCCACATCCCAGCCCAAGAGGGGTCTCCACCCAGCCCACACTGTCCTGCACCACCCCTTTCTGGAATACTAGCGCCCCTTGCCAGCCTCCCTGAGGGCAGAGCTGCCAGACTTAGCCAATAAAAACAGGACAGCCAGTTAAATGCATATTTCAGATTCACAAGAAATATTTTTCAATGTATCTAAAATTCAAATTTAACTAGGCAGTCTGCATTTTATCTGGCAACCCCAGCTAAGGGTGACTCCTCGGGCCCAGGGATGCGGGGCCCTCCCACTGCCTGCAGGGCCTAGCAGTGCCGCACCCAGCTAAGGACAACCACAGAGCCTGGCCTCCAGCTGTCCTGAAGAGGAAGAAAGGAAAAACCACACATTGACTCTTCAGCCATGCATCCTGTTACTTACATCTATGTAGTCAGGAGATAAAAGCAGGTTAAACTTCACTAGCAGGCCTCCGAGTCTCTCCCAGGTTCTGTGACGGTTGAGAACCACATTGCAATGTGTGTGGTTATCGGCGTGGGACACAGTGGGTACAGCCAAAGATGGTATGAAGAAGAAAGGGCCATTGCTAGATTGCTCTCTATAAGACACGGCAGGAATTGGGGGATTTAGGGTAAGCAGGCAGGTTAGGAAGGAGAGAGGAGATCAGGAATGGGGAAGGAAGCCAAGTATGGTGGCTCACGCCTGTAATCCCAGCACTTTGGGAGGCCAGGGCAGGAGACTGGCTGGAGGCCGAGAGTTCGAAATCAGACTGAGCAAAAAAGTGAGACCTCCCCTGCTACCTCCATCTCTACAAAAAGTTTAAAAATTAGCTGGGTGTGGTGGCACATGCCTATAGTCCCAGCTACTTGGGAGGCTGAGGCGGGAGGATTGCTTGAACCCAGAGGCTGAGGCTGCAGTGAGCTATGACAGCACCACTGCACTCCAACCTGGGTGACAGGGCAAGATCCTGTCACCACCGTCCCCAAAAAAGATAAAGAGAGGCCCAACAGCATCATGGGAGGTTAAGGCCTGCTGTGAGGGCAGCTGTGGGACTCCTCAGGGACAGGAATGGCCAGAGACTGCAAGAACAGAAGTTCTATCATTCAACATGCAGTTCCTACATGCAGACGGAACCCTCCTGTTGCTATAAACCATCAGTAAAGGACACCCCCCGATACACAGCCTGAGTCCACAGTGTCTATGGAGTAACACACAGGGCGGCAGAGTCATGAGAGTCAAGATGCAAAGCCGAGTCAGAACTCAGAAACAGCGGGATGTATGGACCAGCGGTGACTCTAAGAAATGGAAACACCTTGTCCCCTCCTCCAAAATAAGGTGTACCAATCCCTGAGGAATTGAGGTTTGTACTTATTTTACTTAAATTATAAAAACACAAACATACTTTATTTTTGGTATTTTCAACTGGCAATAGTATAACTCATTCGATTATTAGTATATATTGGCCAGGCGTGGTGGCTCACATCTATAATCCCAGCCGAGGAATTTGGGAGGCCGAGGTGGGTGGATCACCTGAGGTCAGGAATTTGCGACCAGTCTGGCCAACATGGTGAAACCCCGTCTCTACTAAAAACACAAAAATTAGCTGGGCGTGGTGGCGCACACCTGTAATCCCAGCTACGCAGGAGGCTGAAGCAGGAGAATGGCTTGAACCTGGGAGGCGGAGGTTGCAGCGAGCCAAGATAACGCCATTGCACTCCAGCCTGGGCAACAAGAGCAAAGCTCCGTCTCAAAAAAAAAAAAATTAGTACGTATCACCAAAAAAGGATAATGTGTTGAGTGTCCTTATTAAAAAGAGGAATTAACATTCAGTCAAAAAAATTTATCCTGTGTTGTTTACAAAACACATAGCTAAGACAAAATACAATCGAGTTTAAAGGGAAAGGATCAAACATTTCAGAATAAATGGGGGAAATCTGGGGAAAAAAAGTAATAAAGGGCATGGCTGTGCAAATATTAAAGAATAAAAGCCCAGTAACTGGCCAGGCGCGGTGCCTCACACCTGTAATCCCAGCACTTTGGGACACTGAGGCGGACAGATCACGAGGTCAGATCAAGACCATCCTGGCTAACATGGTGAAACCTTGTCTCTATTAAAAACACAAAAAATTAGCCGGGCGTTGGGGCGGGCGCCTGTACTCCCAGCTACTCGGGAGGCTGAGGCAGGAGAATGGTTTGAACTCAGGAGGCACCACTGCACTCCAGTCTGGGCAACAGAGCAAGACTCTGTCTCAAAAAAAAAAAAAAAAAAAAAAAAAAAAAAAAACCCCCAGTAATTAAAAGTTGGGATTTGGCTGGAACAGAAATAGATCCAAATAAGAATTTGACTTGTAATATAGTTGGCATTTCAAATCCGTGGAGAAAAGATTTAGTAAGTAGTCATAGAATAACTAACCAGCCAGGGAAATTTTAAAAATTTGAGTCTACCATATTCCTTACAGAAAAAAATAAAAAGATTGTGGATGGATCAAAGATGTAAATGTAAAAAACAAAAGCCTAAAAGTAGTAGAAGAAAATACAGGGGAACTTCCATCAACAGAGGCCTAGTGATACATACTGAGGCCTTCCATATGGCGGGAAGTAATGGAGCCATCAAAAAAAAAATGCAAGCACTGGTAGCTAACAGTCACTAGGAGCACTGCTCACTGAAAATTGACATTGCTACAGCACAAGCACAGAATGCAATCATGTTCTCGGGAAACAGCAGGATGTGTGTGCACACCTCCATTTGTGTATACAGGAACTATCTCAGGAAAGCCACACTGGAAAGTGGCTGCTCTGGGGCAGGGGATCTGGAAATCAAGAATGAGAGTCAGGCTAGACTATTCTCTGAATTGTCTGATGTGCGCATACTTTTCCCCAAATACAAAATTACTAAAAGATAATTTTAAGAGATAAACATATCTTAGTCAAACCCAACAAAATTAGGAGTGAAGGTAGGTATATCAATGTAGAACTCAAGCAAACACCATTGAACAGGATGAACCTGGTATTTTACACACATAAAAAGCCCAACTGAGGCCGGGTGTGGTGGCTCACGCCTGTAATCCCAGCACTCTGGGAGGCCGAGGGGGGTGGATCACAAGGTCAGGAGATCGAGACCATCCTGGCTAACATGGTGAAACCCCATCTCTACTAAAAATACAAAAAATTAGCCAGGCGCGGTGGCGGGTGCCTGTAGTCCCAGCTACTCAGGAGGCTGAGGCTGGAGAATGGCGTGAACCCTGGAGACGGAGGTTGCAGTGAGCCGAGATAGCACCACTACCGTCTGGCCTGGGCAAAAGAGCGAGACTCCATCTCAAAAAAAAAAAAAAAAAAAAAAAAAACCTAACTGAAACAAAATCATGGATATTTATAAAGTGAACTGCACAGAATTAGAAATACAGAGAAAATTAAACCAGAAGCATAGTGGAAGAGAGTTCCCTTAAACGCTTTCAAGATCAAGTAAGAAAATAGTAAATGCAATACAAAGAATCTGAATAATACAATGAAGTTTAATGGTATCCATCTATTTACAACCTTTAATGCATAAAAAGTCTCATTTATTTGTCTAAATGGAATCAAATCCCGCCCAAGTCTGCTCTCACAGAATGTGCTTCCTGGGTGGTAACAAGACTGTCTAGGAGAGAGGCCTCTGCCCTGCCCTGTGCTGGTGGTGCTCAGCAGCCCGTGTGGAAGCCAGTGTCATCTACACAGATGCTAGCGGCCAGCCAGGAGGGCCCTCCTTCCTCCAGATCAGGCTTGCATGTGGCTATTTGTTCCCAGGGGCACAGCACTGAGTCCTCAGCAGCCAGGACCCATCCTGGCTCTCTCACTTCTGAAGCATCTCATATAAGGGGCTCAGTCCCCAGCATTCATGGAGCCTACCTCTCTTCCCAATCTCAGTAAATCCTTCTTTGCACTTTGTCTAGAAGCACCAGCCTCCCTCCTTTCCTTCTCTGGAAACTTCCAGCCAGTTGGTACAAGTGACTTAGACCAGAGATGGGGAAATTTTTTTGGTAAAAAGCCAGAGAAAGAATATTTTAGGCTCTGGGGGCCATTCAATCTCTGTTGCAACTCTGCAATTCTGCTGTTGCAGCATCAAAGCAGCCACAGACAAGCCAAGAATGGATCAACATGGTTTTGTTCCCATAAAACTGTATTTATGGACACAATGTGAATTTCATTAAGTTTTCGTATTCAGAAAATATCAATGTGTTAAAAACCATTTAGAAACATACACATTTTTAGCTTGGAGGCTATACAAAAACAGGAGATGAGCTAGATTTGGCCCAGGGCCATAGTTTGCTGACCCGGAACTAGATCACTGAAAATAAAGCCTATTGGGATTAATTCATGGGATTCTAGCAACTAAAAAAAAAAGTTTCAGAAAAAAGATAATAAGCTAAATTAAGGAAGGGAAGAGGATATGATTAGTGATAATAAAAGAAAGTAATAAATATGACAGGAAAATACCCCAGCAGAAGTGATCACCAAAGCCAATGTCTGGTTCTTCGGGGGAGTGGAAGTAGAGAGGGTGGCAAGTCCAATAAAGAAAAAAATGGAAAATATAAACATACGATGGGAGATGTAAGATTTTATCAAAATGCCAATGAGATTTAAGAATTTAGAGTTATACACATCTCTAAAATATATTTGAAGGTCCCCAAAAAAGGGAGGTTTTTTCCTAGAAAACTATAAATTATCAAAAATAAGGGGGAAAGATCTAAATTGACCTATTAGTTTTGAAAAGAGTAAAAACACTGTCAAAGCTTCTAAGCTCCACCCTCAAGGATCTGAGCCATTTTGGATGAGTTCTATCACTTTCAAGGATCAGATGGTTGATTTAAACAATATGAGATGTTACCTTAATTTATGCTCCAGGCAAGTGAAGTGGGACACAGATTTTATTACTTTTTCTTGTATGAATACTGCCCATACAGTCCAGGGGCACAGTTATTAACCTGTGCTATTTAATTTATTCCAGAATAAGGAGGATAGAAAGCTTTTAAATCCCTGATTAAATCAATTCATAACTAAAGACTCTCTCTTAAGGTTACACACATGCAAATTTTCAAAAATCCACCAAAGGTGGAAGGATGTAATACTTTATGACCATAAAAGATGTTATCCTTATATTTCAAAATGACTCAGTACATTAACAAATGAAAGGAACAGGAGCATATGATGATCTTGGTGAAGGCCCAAAAGTCATTTGGTAAAATTTAAAAATCCTGCAGTATTTTTTCCAGCTTGTTTGACTGCTTAGTTTCATATTCCTTATCTCATAAATGAATTGAAGGCTATGAAAGTTTTTCATTTCGGCCCCATCCACAAGACGTGCCCCACAGTGCCATCTCTGCCACTCATCTCTACTACACTTGATTTCCTCTTTATTTGTAACTTGGGATGAAATGGACAGGACTTTTGGCTCTTTCTCAGTGACTTCAATTTTTTATTACATTATAGTCAGAGAATATGACCTGTGAGATTTCTACATTTTGGAATCTGGTGAGATTTCCTTTCTGGCACAAAGCATGGCTAATTTCTATGACCATTCCAAGAGGATCTGCTGCACAAAGTTCACACACAGTGGACACATCAAGTTTGGTAACAGTGTTAGTTAAATAGCCAGATCCTTCTTTGTCTAGTTGATTTTCAAATTCTGATGGGTGAGGGTTAACATATCTTGCTGTGACTGGGAATTGCTTAATTTCTTACCATGTTCTATCTTTCAAAGCTATGTTGTGAGCTAATGAAAGTATATAACTATCTTCTTGACAAATTATTCCTTTCATAAACGGACTGACAATACTACCACCAGTTGCTTTCTTTTAGCATTTCCTGATCTTTTTCAACCCCTTCACTGTCAGCCTTTTGGGTCACCCCTTTATTTTAGGTGGTCTCCCATAACCATCATATACACGTTTGTGACGTCATTTACAAATCAACTTGAAAATGTCCCTAAGTAGCTGAATTTAACCAGTTCACATTTACTATGATTAACAATATGCTTCAACTTACTCCTGCCATCTTATCCTTTCCTGTTTTTTTAATTTCTTCTCCTAATGTTTACTGGATCAAGTGAGGCAAGCAAAACACAGAGGATTCAGTTCTTTCCAGACACTGCCTGTTTCAACTATAACAATGTGGCAACAACAGCTCCAGGAAGTAGGGCTTGCTGCTCTACCAGACTCTCCCGTCATCCTCCACAGACTGTAGAAACAGGACTTACCCTTGAGACTAAGTCCCTGTGGGTCTTGACCTTATCTCAGAAAGGGGAGCGGGGGGCACACAAGGATGGAAGAGTATCAGGGGTAAAAAAAAAAAAAAAAAAAAAAGACATTTTGGGGACAGACAGGATGAAGACTAAAGAGGACTGACTTAAACAGTCAGAGATCCCAGGCAAGTGAGGTAGGACATAAAAATTAGACATGAGAGAACATGGCATTGAGCAATATGAATAGGTCTATTTGAGAACCTAAATACAACCCACACCAGTACTGGGGCCCTCACCCATTTTACAGCAAGAACTGCCTCCTCTGTAACCAAGACAGATTCAGTTGAGATCTAGTGTTTTCCATTCAGGTAGCCAATTCCGTCCACGTCCAGCCAGTCCCCTCTGAATACTCAATTGTCCTCACCTATATTCTTTTAATACACTGTTCGCAGAACTGTTGTCTTAAGCGTATGACATCGAAACTGCCACACAGCCTACCTCCTGGGCCCAGCATAACAACACATGCACATGTATCCTTCCATTTTATGCCAACGTCCTTTTCCCTCTTTCCTCACAACACAGCGTTGTGTTTTTTCCTCCGTTTATTATACCCATCATTTCCTATCCATTCCACTAACTGGAACTCTTAGGCACCCCTTTTGCCTCCCAAGATCCCCAAACAACGAGTAACCATATGCCAGCCAGTGTTCTTTATCTCTTAGAGTCACAAACATAAGGAAAGCCCCCTTTCCTAGAAAAATGCATAGACCTACAGGTACACAAAATTCTGCACATAACTTAAAAAGGTTCTAGACCTCCCCAAAAGCCGTCTGCAGGTCTTAGGTTTTAAAATTCTGTAAATACAACACCCCCACCATAATTCATGATGCAGAGAAGACCTGGATCAGGGCCAGCAAAGAATTAAGAGGGGGAGGGAAAGTCGGTCTCTCAGCGAAGCCATATTTAGACACAGTATTTAGGAAGGTACAGAGTCTATAAAATGCATACATCCGCCTAAAAATACACAAAATCTGTATGTGCTACTTTACTCTAGAAATGCAGTTTATTTACATATGCCTAAATCTGAGCAATAAAATTGCTTTGGTATAAAGTGTCATTTTCCACCGATATTTATGACAAGTTCTTACTGGCATAAACACACACACAGCCTTGGGATCTCTGGATTTGTTCATGTGTTTTGTAATATGTTAAAATGAGAATGATAAAAAAAATTCTTAAGTTTCAACTTACTTATGATTATAAAGTTATTCTACTTCATGTACATTGAGAGTGGAAATAAAGATATCCCAGGCCTCCCTGCCCCTTAGGGGTTTGGGTAAACTTGACTCAAAACTCCATTAATTCCATGGCCTGTAGCAGCTTTTAGCTACCCTGAAGATTTCTGCATATTCTGCATATTCCTTGGAGCTTGTTCTCAGGGGCACCCTCTTCTGGCTCCTATATTTATGTGTGGTACTTACGTGTTGCCCCATTTCACCCTGGATACAGCACTCAGCCCTTCCACCAGTTTCCATAAGAAATCCACCATGCCAAACACCCCTAACTTTAGGGAAAGACTTTGTGGTCACGAAGTTTTCCTACACAAGAGCTCAGAACTTCAGACCATCCTACTCCACTGGTTCCCTGGTCCTCTCTCCCACTCCAAGTCTACCCTTTGTTTTCTTACCTCCAACTACCCCAGGAGATTCAAGTTCTCTCTCTTACCATGTGGAGCAATTCAGCCCTCTCCAGGTCCTACCCCAATTTTAGATGTCCAAACCCACCACAGAGCTCAGCAAAACAAAAAGGAATCCAAATAACATGACCTTTCTTCCTTAATAGGCAACTGGGAATAGGAATTCGTTATAGCACTAAATGCTAGGCACTTTACGTTTATTTACTTCTCCCAACATTTCCATGAATTAGATATTTTCAAAACCATTTTAAAGATGAGAAACTTGAGGTTTAGAAAAATTAAGAAAATGAATATGGTTAGAGGAAGTGCTCTATCATCTTCATTTTTCCTCTCTTCCTCTCTAATCCATAGATCTTAACTCAGCTTTGCTATTTATATATGGCTCTTGCCCTGTAGTAGTATCAACCTTTCTCATCTTTTCCTAGATTTTACCACTGAGTATATTTTCCATCTGCTTCTGATATTTGCTTTCCATTCACCTAGTTTTTCAAATTTCTGAGAATATCAGTACATTACAAAGACTGAGAAATAATTCAAAAATTTTAAGAACAGAGCCAAGAGCTAGAAGGTCCCTTGGAAGGAATCATGTCCATGCTCACACAACACAAAGTAATCCCTCTTCAATTTCTGAGATGGCCTGACGAGCTGTGCCCACATTCTCACGCAGTAGACTATCTCAATGTTGGACTCTGATGCAAAGAGTTCTTCCTATCTGCAAGAGGCAATCTGCCGTTTATTCATGCTTCCAAGTTAGAAACCATGCAGTCATTCTGGACTTATCTTGGCTCACACTCTAAATCCTAGCAGATTCACCAAGAGTGAATCCCATCACAGATGACCTACCCTTGCCCCCACCCCCCACCCCCATCAGAAGGGCTAGTTTGGGTTGCTCCCATCCCAATGGTGGAATTGCAATGCAGACTTGTCTCTCAAAGCTGGTAGACGCCACAGCCAGTCAGACTGTTGACTGCGGCACAGAACGTGGGCCCCCTCTGCTTCAGCTGACAGCACTTCACGCCTTCCCAGGCATGGGCTGCAGTCAGCAGGGGCCAGGGCAGGGCTTGGAGGAACTGCCAAGGGGCACCAGGAAGATCACAGAAAGCACCAAAATGGATCACCCAAGGAAAAGGAATTAGCTGCCAACATTTTAAGATTAAACTGTGTGTGAAAATCGAGGTTGGTGTTTTCTTAGAAGAGCTGTGGGCCTGTATTCGCCGTGAACACAGAGCCACAGCCGAGCTGAGGCAGTCCTCTCAGTGGACTGTGCTCTCTCCAGATGGATTATTCCTGACTTGAGTCATTTATTACCTGTGTGGCTGTGACCTCAGACCAAGGTGTCCTCACACCTTAGTGTGCCCGAGAAAGGCCCATTCGAGGCTTGTTGTCCAGATGTGAGTATCAACAGCACCCCCTCCCTTCACTCTCAAGTGCTCAGTTTGGACAATAAATTACATGGTCACCCTGGGCTTAATGTGCAAGCCAATTCTCCACCACACACCCATACCCATACTCCCACACACGACCACTGAATTCACACAACTACATGTCAAGCACAGAACCCTGTTATAAAGCGATTTTATTAAATTGATTTGGACATACTGTAGGTCAAATAATATTTTCTGAAGATAACAATTATGGACTTTAAAGCTCGACATAAAATTAGTAGCTTCAAAAGGGTTAGTCATATTCCCCAGCAACAGCATGATAAAATAATTCAACTATGTAGAAATATAGAACTCTAGGACTAGCTGGAAACTCGGAAATCATTTAGCCTAATGTTCTCATTTTGAGAGAAAACTAGACTCAAAGATTAAGCGATTTGCCCAAGCTCACATACCTAATAGTAATAAAGCTAGAAATCAAACCAATTTTTCCTAAAACTAAAATTCTATCAATGATATTTCAACTGGCTATCAACTAAAAGTCTAGGCTTTTCTCTAATGCTCCACGCTATTGTGACATGAAAGAGTGATAAGACACTACAGTAAATCGTACTTGTGGAATTCAGGCCTGGAAGGGGCTTTGGCAAATAACTAAGCCAGCCCTCTCTTTGTAAAAAGGAGGAAAAGTATCTGAAGTGACTTACCAAAGGCTTGTTAGCAGAGATGTCTGGATTAAAATCCAGATATTGACAAATTCACCCCCAAATCCCATCTCTAGTTTCATGGCCCACCCACTAAATCATGTGCTCCTTTTAAATCTCCTTTATGCGCTGAGGTTTTAGTTATACAAAAACCCCTTCCAGTCAAACAGAAAAAATTAATTCAAATATGGAAAGAAAAATCAAACTTTCAGTATTTTCGTGACTATCTTGAGTAGTTCATTTTCCAACCTCTTAGACAGCTGACAGACACCACTAACCTGATCACCTATTTCAGAGCTTCAAAGATCCTTAATTTCCCCAAAGACTTCCTGAGCAAAAGGACTACATGTGGGAAATCAATGAAAACAGGAATGAGAAGAGAAAGTTAAAAATTGGTTGCTTTTGTTCCTGTCATTGGGGACTTTTGGTCTTCTAAACATTCCTTGAGTTCCTCCACATGAGTTTTTAATATCAATCTAGCAAAAATTAAAACAAACAAAAAAAGGCCTCTGAAAGTCAGGATACTGACCACCTCGGCATCTCTCCCCTTCCCCACTGCTTGCGAATGCCAGTGCTGGCCTGTTCCTTAAACGCACCAGCTCATCCCCCAGAGCAGCCTGTGTGCTCTGCCAGCGACTGCTACTTCTCCTCCGGCCTCAGCTCAACATCCCACCGCGGAAAGGCCTCCCTGACCACTAGCTAATGTCACCCCACCCCCACCCCACCCCACCACTAAAATCATCACCCTAGTTTATTTTCTTCATAGCACTTAATCACTATCTCAAACTACATTATTTATTTGTTTACTTATCATCTGTCTCCTCCACCAGAAGTAAACTCCACAAGAGTAGGGACCTTGTCTGTCTCATCAGTGGTATTCCCAGCACCTAGCACAGTGCCTGGCATATAGGAGGTGTTCAATACATATTTGTTGAATGAAGAAAAGAATGATGGATTAATAAAGACGTTCATGCCTAACAAAGAACTGATACACAGTAATCAATGAAGGGGTATCAAGAACTCCTATGCATTATTGCCCAAGATTACAGAAATAGAGATTGAAACATTAGTGACTCCTCCTACCATCCACTTCTCATAAGGTCTCCCTAGCTAGGAAGGAGCTCCATCTGTTACCAAAGGAGCCCAGAGGGCAATTCTGGATGAAGAAAAGCTCTCACTTTGCTTGCTTCTTCCTCCCTGCTATTTACATTCAGCTATTTCCAAAAAAATTCAAGTGAAAAATATGTGATGCAGCCACTACAAAATAAGTCTAACAGAGACAGTGATGAGCAGAATCCACACAAATAAAAAAGGTTCAAGGACATATATGTCTGCCAATGACTTTTCTGATAGGCTAAGTGAATGGGAATTATGAGTCACCTAAAATCTAAAATGAAAGTTAATGCCATCTAGGAAGGGATGGATATTTATGGGGATTTTGAGGACATATATTCAGAAATAATAGGATATATGGAAAGATATGTAGGGGCTAAATCAAGTGTTAACCTCAGAAATACCAGAACGTGATCTTAGTGGGAGCTGTCTGTTTTCCAATGCATTGCCAGTATGCTCGAATAAAGAGGAAGGAAGGGCATGAGCTCCTCAAGGGGGAGTATCTGGGATAGCTTTTAAGCAAAGTATAGATAGAAGGTGACTCAGGAGGCCGGGCAATGATTGTGGCTTTTTGTGTAGTCTTTCAACTATGGAGGCATCGTGCTGGAATCCCAGGAAGCGACGTCTGTGACTGGGACCTGAGAGCCATCCTGCGTGGATGCTCAGAGGTCCACATTCAAAGTCAACCTGTGGAACACACTTGGCATGAACCAACAAATCAATCTCACATATGCCTCCTCAGAAACAATGTTCTGCTAGGGATTGCGTAAATATTTCTTGGGTCAATGTAGGTATATACAGGGTTTCCTTCCTAGTGGCACTTATGGGTTTTAAGATTTTAAACTCTTAGCAAAACGTTTTATATAACTGATATTTTGAGATGGTTTCTCTCCTTTGTGTGGACTCTCTGGTGGATGCAGAGGCTCGTACTCTGACTGAAGGCCTTTCCGCACTCATCACATTTGAAAGGTTTCTCTCCTGTGTGGACTCTCTGGTGGATGCACAGGCTCGAACTCTGACTGAAGGCCTTCCCACATCCACAACATCTATAGGGTTTCTCTCCAGTGTGGACTCTCTGGTGGATGCAGAGGCTCGAACTCTGACTGAACGCCTTCCCACACTCATAACATTTATAGGGTTTCTCTCCTGTGTGGACTCTTTGATGCATGCAGAGGCTGGAGGTGTGCCTGAAGGCCTTCCCACACTCTTCACATTTAAAGGGCTTCTCTCCGGTGTGGACTCTCTGATGCATGCAAAGGTTTGAACTATTACTAAAGCCCCTTCCACACTCACTACAGACATACGGTTTCTCACCTGTATGAACTCTCATATGAATTTGAAGATGGGAGCTCCAATTGAAGGCTTTGCCACACTCGTAACATTTATAGGGCTTCTCCACTGTGTGGATTTTCTTATGTCTATTAAGTTTTGTTGTAGTGCTAAAATCCTTACCACAATCATCACATTTATAGACCTTCTCTCCTGTATGGTCTCTCCAATGAATATGAAGTTCTGATATATGAAAGAAACCCTTATCACACTTGTCACATTTATGGGGCTTCTCAGCTGTGTGAATTTTCTGATGCATAAAAAGATCTGCTCTCTCAGAGAAAAATTCCCTACACATGGGGCACTTGTAGATCATTTTTCCTATTTGGTATCGTGATTTCAAGGAGAAAATTTCCTTATGATTACTACAGTTACAAGACTGTTATTTCATAGAGTCTCTTATTTGGCCATTTTGGCAGTCTATCTCAGGCTTGCTCTATTAGGTAAGTTTAAGGTCAGCCTAAGCTTTTCCCTGCCTGTCTTTCTACGGAAGGTTTCTTCCTGCATAGTGTTCCTCACTCAGTATTATTATCGATTATAAAGTGACATTGACTTCCACGTGAATTCTGTAACTCATTAACACAGAACTTTGTTTTAGATCCTGAGTTGTCAACATTCCAAGGGGCTCTCAAAGTGCAAACCTTTGCGTTTTTGAGCCCCTGGAATCTTCCTCTTGTAGAGTAATCTTGTATGTCTCACTTCTAGAAAAAGGACTGTACAGTATATCCCCTGTATCGAAGGATGAGATACTGCTGGCTGGTCTCGAGCCCCTGCAGTTGCCCCTTGAAGAGTCAGTTTGGCATTCTGCCTCCTGCACATCAGACAGGAAAGCCTTTCCAGCAAGCAGGCTCCTCGGGGTCCAGGTATGGCAAGCCCTGCTTTGGGGAATTCCCTACATGGGTATCATGCCGTCTCCTGTAATAGAAACATAAATAAATAAATTGAAAATGCTTTTATCTGGAAAACTGCTATTGATTCCAAAATTAATTTTATATAAATGTGACAGCAGTAACACAAACCTTTTTTGGTCTTGAAGAAGCTCTCTTATCTTCCAAAGATGTGTCTCTTGGATTTGCAGGTCTGAAGGAGAGAATTTGTAGATATCATGCTCCTGTTTACAGCTCAAGTATATAATCCAATTACAATAACTCATTGTAATTATCTGAGCAACATCAAGGGGAACATTATTGAAAGAGAAAAGAAATCCTCAAAAAGACCTACATGTGAGTATGAAAACCAGCTGTCCTGTAAAAAGGAACAACAATGAAAACGATCTCCACTTTGAACTTCAGAAGGTACAACATTGCTGCCTTTGGAGATAAAACATCGTATTTGACTTGCCTTCTAATCTATAGAAAGAATAAGTACATGATGTGTTGGTATCAAATGTCATTCTCCTACTTGTCCTCAATGATTTCCTGATGTACTTAAAATAAAATCCCAATCCTTAACTCAAACACCTGACCTGCCCCTCTCCCCACCTCACTCCCTGTGCTTCCTGCCTCTGGCTTTCTTTTTCAGCTCTCAAACACCCTAAGCGTTTCCTGCCTCAGGGCCTTTGTACATGCTGTTCCCAGCACTTAAGCCACTCCCTCCCCTACTTTGTGCAGAGCTTTGTGGGTCAGCTGCCCCTCCCCTACCTAAAGAGGCCCCCCGGCTAGACTCTGTTTTCATCTCCTTTGATTCCTTTAAAGCCCACAGGACTTGTAATTATCGTATTGGTTCCCTGGTTTTTAACCTGTCTCCTGTACTAGGATGTAAGTGCCATGAAGGAGGAACTGTGTGCGTTGCTCTCTGTTATAACCTGGCAATGAGAGGTGTTCAATGAATATTTTCTGAAAATCTATAGAGTACTTCAGGACACCCTCTGGCACCCACACACATATCCTGCTTCATTCTGGTGGAGCAGATAAAGGTACATTTCTTAGTGCCTTATTTCCAGTCTTTGATAGCCTACAGGGGACAAAATACACCACAAATAGAATAAGGAGGAGATAAAAGAAGAAAATAAATCTCAAAATATTCACTCTGAAATCTTTTAAGGTTTAGGACTATGTTTTAGCAATCTTTTCATTTCTTTTACTCTATACGCTATGATACTTTAAAATTAACTAAATGAAATCAATAGGTCTTCTTAAAGTAACACTTTTAATATGTTCCATACAAAGAGAACATGCATGGGTGTTTGAGGAGATGTAATGTTAAAATGTAAAATAAACTGGACTGCTTATAGGTGAAAGTGTTACAATTACAAAATTCAATTAGGTCCCCAAAATTTCGGCAAAAATGGTCATATATCTACAAAAATTATGTTTGCATCTATCCTTTGTCCTAGTAATAATTCTAGAATATATCCTAAAGACACATTGGTAAAAATAGGAAATGACTGATATACCCGGTTATTCACTGAGGCAGTATTTGGCAGCAAAACTGCAAGCAACCGAAGGCCATCGATAGGGAACTAGCCGAGTCGAGTATGGCACCTCCTCACAAGACAAAAAGGAATGAGGACAAGCACTGTGCACTGACATGGAGTGAACCCAGGTCACACTGTTAAGTTAAAAAAAAAAAAAAAGGTACACAATAGTATATGTTCTATGCTACCGTTTCTGCAAAAAAGGAAGGTAATATATAAAATAAACTCTGGCCTGGCACACTGGCTCATGCCTGTAATCCCAGCATGCCAGGAGGCCGAGGTGGGAGGATCACTTGAGGCTAGGAGTCTGAGACCAGCCTGGGCAACATAGGGAGACCCTGTCTCTACAAAAAAAATTAAATTAAATTAAATTAAAAAGTTAGCCAGGCATGGTGGCACACACCCGTAGTCGCAGCTACTCAGGAAGCTGAGGCAGGAAGATGGCTTGAGCCTGGGAGTTCAAGGCTACATTGAGCCAAGATTGCACCACTGTACTCCAGCCTCAGCAACAGAGTGAGACCCTATCTAAAATAAAATATAAAATATAAAATAAATAAATAAAATAAATAAGCATGGTGAAAGATAATCCAGAATTTAATTTAATGATTACTTATGGGGGAGAATACAGTTAAGACTTCTCTGAATATACTGTTACATGACTCTGGAAACATATGTTTCTATAGTTAAAAAATAAAATTAAATGAATGTTAAAACAAAATAAAGAGAATAAACCTATCATATTGGTGACATAGCCACAAATGGCTTTTGAGCATAGTATACTGATTGCACATACCTAGAACATATTCTTTTGACAAATAAGCTGCAAAGAAATCACACTTCTTTCAACAATTTAACTGTTACTGTGGTGTATTTTAAAGTAGGTTAATACAAATAAGTAGTTTATGTTAAAGTTGTTAGGAGCCAAGATTCAATGTAGGAAAAATTAGATTTAAGTATAAAATCAAAGTTAAGAAAAAATTCTGTAATATAAAATTTGACTTAGACATATCAGTCTGAATTCACTTTTTTTTCTTTTTAGTTATCACCAAAAAGACCTGGAAGCAATAAGAAGCGATAGCAATGAGCACACCTACAGCCCCTTCCCTTAAATCCTCTCCCCACCAAGAGGCAAGGGGTCCTTGGAGGAATGGCTGGGTTCAAAGCCAGAGTAGCACTTACAAAATGAGCCTGGGACATCCTGTTATGCCAGAAAGCAAGAGGGCCGTGCCAAAGGAACACAGAGCCAATCATGCAACTGAGCATCAAAAGGAATAAGAAAGGCAATTGAGTGAGACGCATTCAATATACAAACCCCAGGAGCTCATAATGACTGTAGAGAATGGGGAAGAAAGAGACAGACAGGCAGGCAGAGAGATGGAGAGACCCAAGGCACTGAACAAAATTGGAATTAACTAGGGGCCCAACTTTTTACCCTAAAAATTGGTAATTAAATGGAGAGAAGCATCTATCCTATTTCCTCTATGAACTCTCTTTCAAGACAAAGAAACAACCAGCTAATATGTGCATTCTCCTCATCAAACACCTGATTCAAACCATGAAAAGCAATGGGTGAAAAAAGCGGCTGGAAGGCTGATCCAGGACTTGACACTGCCAGGACCAGGCTGTCACCACCTGAAGCCAGGGATCGATCTTAGCATGACTCAAAGAGGAACAACCAGACACGTGTGCCTCCTGCTGTGGTGCAATGGGAAACACCCAGCACCCTCTGAAGACATTCTTGTCAAAAGACTGAAGCAAAACCTAATCAAGCCTCTGGAGCTAATTTTTAATGGAAAGAACTGAAGGGACAGAGGAACTACTAGGAAGCAAGTAGCAAAATATCAAAAGGTGAGCCACTCTACAGCACAACTGCCCCTTTTTTTTTGCAATAAGGACACGAGGGAAAAAAAGCCGGTAAGGTGGGAGGAGTTGCTCTAAATGAAAGCGATTTGAGACATAACAATCAGATGTAATCAGAGGAACTTCTTTGCAATCTGAAGCAAACCAGCTGCTAAAAGAGGACAGTCAAGGAAATGTGATTCGGGGTATGAGATTACACTGTGTGCTGTTAACTATGTGATCATGTCATTGTAGCTATGTAAACCAATGTCTACAGCCTTAGAGATGCACAGTGAAGAACAGGAATGACGGGACATGTCGTCTGACATGTGTGACTTAAAATGCTTCAGCAAACAAACAAAAAAAGGGAAAGTAAAAAAGAGCAGACAAAGCAAATGTGGTAAAATCATTGTAACCATTGCATTTAGGTAAGAGATAATAGTCTACTCTAAAAGATTCTATTGTAAAATATTGTGTATGGTTGAAATTTTCATGGTTAAAAAAAAAAATCTGTGAATGCTAAGATATTCCTTTCCTGCTCTTCTGGCAATGGCAAACTAATCCCAGGACCACCGCATAGAGGGGCAACTGTGACTGAAACGAATATAATCCCCGAAACGGCTCTCATTTCCCCAGTCAATCCTGAGCACAGGAGAATGAACACAGGAAGAGGCCTCTGGACAGCAGGCAAAGGCAGTGGCTGCAGGCGAAGGCAGTGGCTGCAGGGCAGCGACAAGCAAAAGACAAAGGCAGCAGCACTGCGCTCTGCTCTTTTGCCTGGCAAGCTAACCCCAGCAGGGGTGTCTTCCAGAGCCCCCTCCAGGAATCAAGCTGCCAGGGTTAGGGTACTCCGCCAGCCTAGCCTCAGGAGAGTCCAACTCTGCTCAGAAGGGCAACAGTTCAATACCAAGGTCCCTGACAGGGGAGTCCAACATGACCTCCCACTAGAGTTCTTCTTCAGGCATCAGGCACTGCCATTCCTTCCAGATAAAATTCTCAGACCTGTCTGTAAGTCTCACTGCACGGTGGGGGGATGAGAGGGGTTAAGGTGCATTCTGTAGGAAAAAGAAAGATAAAAGAAACTCCGGCAAATTTTCCACGTGACCAACCAAAGAACAGAAAGGCCAACACACAGCAAGGATCTCCAGTACAGACTCGCCTAACACAGCCCCCACCCAACTCTTCCACACAGATAGAGGCAGCTGTAAATCCAGAGGCAGATACAGGTTATGGAACCCCACAGAGCTCACAGATCCTGAACACACCACGTTCCCAAGGCTATCTCTCACTCCAGACTCCCCCTTATGTCTCAAAATCAACGTCCTACTGGGGCTTTCAAGGGGACATCCCACATGACTGCAAGTCCCTCTTTCTGACCTGAGGAGGAAGGCTGCCAAGGACAAACTCAGAGCCTGCACCTGCAAGCTCAGGAACGCCCCCAGCATCCTGTGCACTCGACTCACACTGGAGGAGAACTCAAACAACAAAATGACAGTGCAGTTGAAAACCAAGAAAACGAAAGCTTAAAATTTAGCCCATCTACCTCAAATCCTCACCTTTCATGAAAAGGAGCCTTTCCTCTCTCCCTGTAGTTTGTGATACCACAGAATACTGAATCAGTACTAATATTTCAGTACAATTAAAATTGAGGGCAACTAGCTAATAAAGAACTGATGCTAAGATTCAAGGAAGTCAAAAACTGAGTCTTAAATACAAGAACCATATCCTGAGAGAACACGTGCTCTGGGTCACGGCATAAGAAAGGGGAACCTGAAGACGGGGGTACAGGACTAACAGGCTGGGAGAATGAAGCTGGTTTCCCTTGAAGGCTGTTCAGACCAAAAGTTCCTCACTCTAGCGGCAGAAGAGGCGAACCCGCTGCATGAAGGGGAGACTACCACTCCAGCATAGGGCCGAGGCTGCAGGAGTTGGTTGCAGCAGCCCTAATGGGATGACCAGAGCATCAGAGGAATGCCAACTATTTACATGGAGGTAGAGGTTGGTAAGCTACAATCGATGTTCCACAAAGTGGACTATGAACTGGATTATATTCAACACAGGCTGGATATGAAATAAAGACTAATCACCTTGACTGGGCAGGAGAGAAAAATCCAGTTACACTCCTAAAGGAATTAGCAGCCATTCAGCCTTGACATCAGATTATGTCCACAGTGTTCAGCCAGCAGATGCCGACTACTAAGCAGGAGGCCAAGTGCCTCGTCTGTGTTGCTCTGCGCAAGGCTATGACCTCCGTGCAAGAACTGCAGAGGCACAGGGACCCAGCTGTCACCACCAACTGAGGAAGAGAATAGCGCCGCCCAGCAACTAACATCCCACTGCCAGGCTGGTGAAGAAAAGAGTACGCAGAAGGGCACACTGGTGCAGAGCCCAGTACCAGGGAGGTATAGGACAATGTCTTACTAGCACTTGGGGCTGGCATGGAGACAGCTTGTTGTAGGGATGGGCCAGTGATGCCTTTAGAAAGACGGGGGATGTGAGATGGAGGGCAGATGCTGTATGAATGAAGAACATTCCCAAGAGAAGGGAACAGCAAAGAGGGAACTTTAAAATGTATTCCCACTTAATCTTGGAACTTCAGGCCAACATGTCACCTAACACTACTTTGCATCTGTTTTCTTTTTATATAATGAGGATAATACAGACATGCTGGCCTATCTCTCACACACACACACACACACACACACACACACACACACACACATTCTATAAATTATCATCCAGTCAAAATGTGAAGTAACAAACTTTGGAAACTAAAAGATAGACAACTGTATTATATATTTACATTGTTTTCAAAAATGCTGACTGCATGTTATGGTAAGACTGCCAGCACCGAGTATGTGACCTGTGGTCATTCAACAAAACCCAACTCAAGTAATAAACTGGCTTCTTGTGTGAACAAAAAAGTAGAGAGGGTAGACAAAATAAGAACAGCAAAAAGCTCACGGTTTCTTAACCTGGGTTCAACTCGTGTGGTGACAGGCCCATAGGAGTACATTTTGTTTTTTTCTCTACTTTTGAGTTCATTTGAAATTTTCCATAATAAAATGGAAGCCAGGAAGCCTTTGCTTAGAACAGTGGTCCCCAACCTTTTTGGCAGCAGGGACCAGTTTTGTGGAAGACAATTTTTCCACAGACTGGGGGCAGGGGTGATGGTTTTTGGGATGATTCAAGTGCATTACACTTAAATTGTGCACTTTATTTCTATTATTATTACATTGTAATATATAATGAAATAATTATACAACTTACCATAATGTAGAATCAGTGGGAGCCCTGAGCTTGTTTTCCTGCAACTAGGTGGTCCCATCTGGAGGTGTTGGGAGACAGTAACAGATCATCAGGCATTAGATTCGCATAAGGAGCGTGCAACCTAGATCCCTTGCGTGTACAGTTTACAACAGGGTTCACGCCCCTACGAGAATCTAATGCCGCCGCTGATCTGAAAGGAGGTGGAGCTCAGGAGGTAATGCAAGCAATGGGGAGCAGCTATAAATAGATGAAGCTTCACTGGCTTTCTTCCCACCACTCACCTCATGCTGTGTGGCCTTGGTTCCTAACAGGCCATGGACTGGTACCCATCTGTGGCCCACAGGTTGGGGACCCCTGGCTTAGAAAATCCCTGTATGACAATCTAAAGCCGTAAGAAAGAATACAACAGTGTTCTAAATTACAAAGCTAAATAAACATTGCCTCCGCCTCCACTGACAACACCAACCTATGCAAGTCCAGAAGTCTGTAAGCAATCTGTCCATCTTGAGTGAAACTCTAGCCTTTAACCAAAACATCCTGTTCCAGCTTTCTGCTCTGTTAATCCTATGGAACCTTTTCTTTGCTCCCTCAGGACCTCCAGTCCTCTTTCAATCTTTGTCCTACTAATGTGGCCCTGTTTGTCTTTACTTCCTGGCTTCCATGCTGGCTTGGGTTCCTTATGCCCTCCCTCCACCCAGGTTCACCTCTCTCTTCTGTCATCATCACTGTTTCCATGGCCACACTCTAGCTCTATCACCCCCAGAAACTGTGCTCCCTCCCAAATCTGTGTTAAGCAACCCATTCTTGGACACCGGGTGCTCCCTCCCCTTCCAGTTAACTGGCTCCAGGAACTTCATGCAGTAGGCTTGCACCCAGTGGCCTGACCCTTTGTTCCCTGTCTGTTGTCCACAGCTTCTCTCTGCGCTCACCAGAACTCTCTGGCCCCACCTACTCTCAGTGACACCGCACCTTATTCAAACCCAACTCTCCATCTATCCATACACGCACCCAAGTGGCTGAATAATGCCAGGTTTATTTAACTCACGACCACACATCTCAAATGGGCACTGGAGTGCCCCTAAATTCCTCCAAAAGTCTTCAGTACACACATTTTCCCAATACTTTAAATTGCTACTTCATCATTCTCCTTTCTCTTCAAATCTCCCATCTTCCCTCTGACTCCCTCACTCGTGGCTGATAACCTGCCAAGAGCCTGTTTCTGATTAAGAAAATAGAAGCAGGCTGGGCGCATTGGCTCACGCTTGTAATCCCGTCACTTTGGGAGGCCAAGGCAGGTGGATCATGACATCAGGTGTTCGAGACCAGCCTGACCAACATGGTGAAACCCCGTCTCTACTAAAAATACAAAAATTAGCTGGGCATGGTGGCACGCACCTGTAATCCCAGCTACTCCAGAGGCTGAGGCAGGAGAATCGCTTGAACCTGGGAGACAGAGGTTGCAATGAGCTGAGATCGTGCCACTGCACTCCAGCCTGGGCGACAGAGCAAGACTCTGTCTCAAAAAAAAAAAAAAAAAGATGCAATTAGATGGCAAGCCCTTCATTTTCCTACTGCAAATCCACTAGGCCACCTGCATTCACACCTTCTACTCCAACAGGGGGTGCCCTGTTCCTAGGAAAGACCAGCCCTTCCACTTGTGCCCATGAGTGCACTTCCTGGGCCTTCTCCAAATGGAATCCTGTAAGTACTCCCTCTCATTGCCACTGTCAATTCCATCCTAGCTATAGGTCCATTCTCATACAAACATGTTCTAGTATCTTCCTTCTTAAAATTGTTTTGGATACCACAGCCCCACCCCTGCAGGCGGGTTTCTTTCCCAACATGCCACTGAAAACATGTTTCTTTCCCAACATGTCCTGCCTCTGTCAGGACAGGGCCCCAAGACAGGGCTGGAAACACCTGCTTTCTTAGCTGGCCCGTCCCTGCCCCTCACTAGCCACTCCTTGTTCCTTTTACTGCTGACCTCTCTTCTGTTCAACTTCTAAATCCTGGGGTGCTTCAGGGCTCCTGCTTGGGACCATTTCTTTTCTGAATCTATACCCTCTAAGTAATCTCACCAGTCACGTGATCTAAAATACTCTTTAGATGTTGGCTCCCATTTTTATCTCTAGCCCTGGACTGCTCCATAATCTCTGCTGAAAGGCACTACAACCACATTTCCAAACCAAATCTCCCCTCAAACTGTTCCTTCCTCATTCTTCCCCATCTCTGTCAAGCACACCAACATCCATCCAGATGCATTGTCCTTAATTCTGCTTTCCTCCAGCCCCACCAGTGCAAATCACTGCACACTCTACCTCCTCTCCACAACATAACCCAGCCCTGCCCTTGCATCTCTCCATGGCCACTACAAGCTCCACCCTATCCAGGCCACGGTCACCTCCTGCCTGCACTATTTCAACAGCCTCTCAACCACAGGTCTCTCTGGCTTTCATTCTTGCTCCTCCACAACTGGACCTCTACCAGTAGTCACCCTTATCTTTTAAAAATGTAAGTTAGAGAACGTCACTGCCCTGCTTAATCCTTCCATTGCTCTTTAGAACACACATCCTCTCACTGGCTCACAAGCTGGAGGTGGCCCAGCCACCGCCTCCTTCCAACCTCACCTCCTGCACTCTCTGCAAACCACACACCAGCCTCCCTCATCTCCTTTCTAGTCTTCAAGCTTGCCAGCCTCATGTGCCCTCAGTACCTTCACATGAGCCCCCTGCCCAGTTTCTTCCTGGTCCTCAGGGAGCTGGCATCTGCTCAACACCCAGGCCTCAGCACATGCGTTGTCTTCCTAGAAAGCGGCTCCCGGGCTTGTCAGTTTCAGCTGACTTACCTCTCTGCCCTCACACCTTTCTGACCACCTCTTTCTGCTTAATTTAACTTTTGTACAGAACATTACCACTTACTGCCTGGAATTATTGTGCTCATTTTTGCACATGCTTCCTTTGTTGTGCTCCTCTCCCTGCTCTCTTGAATGCAAGCTCCTTGATCAGCAGAAACTGCAGAGAATTTATGAAATTTGTGAATCTCTAAAACTCCTTCATCTCTTTGTCTTCCAAAGTCATTCAAGCACCAAATGTTTACTGAGTGTCTAACCTATGTCAGCTTCTGTGCCTTCAGCAGTGCAGAATCATAGCCAGTCCCTTTCCGAGTGCAAGCTGCAGTCTAGTGGGGAGACAATGTTCATCAAGGTGTCCACAAAGAAATGTCAAATAAATCTATGTGAAATGCTCCAAAGCAGCCCTGCACAGTGCTCTGAGCACCTCAGGCTGGGCTGGAAGTGAGGCTGACCTGGTCAGGGGTCAGAGGTCAGGGGAGACCACTTTGAACTGATGGCTGACCTCAGATCTAGAGGAGGCCTCTGCAGGGTGAAGAGAAGATACATGACCCGAGGGAAAGGCATGCGTGGAGGACCATGGTGAGGGGCAGGAGGCAAGCACGGGACAGAACAGGGCCAGCGGGGCTGGAGACGCTCAGTGCCAGATGAGAGGGTAGAAGCTAGGCATCGTGATCTTTATCTTAGTAGCAGTGGAAGCCTCCAGAGCGGTTAGCTTTTGTTTTAAAATTTGGTAGTAACATCAGATTTCCATTTTAAATAGAAAACTGTAGCTAAAGTACAGAAATTAAAGGATGGGTAGAAAGCAAGAGCATTTAGGGGTAAACATGGTAGGGGATCATCTTAGTCATTTGGGTTGGAAACAATGATCATAATCTGGACTAAAGCAATGGTGGAGATGAGAGAAAAATGTATCAGACTTGGTGACAGATTCAATACAATGGGTGAGGGACAAGGAAATGCCAAGGATGACCCCCAGGTCTTTTATTTGAATAACTGGATGGAGATGGAGCCATTCAGTAAGACAGAAAACTTTAGAAAGACCAAGGTTTGAAGACAAAGATTGTGATTTCCATTTTAGACATGCTCATGATATCCAAAAGTCGATGTCAAGGACAGCAGCTAGATGGATGGAACTGGCACTGAGATAAGAGATCAGGACTTTATAAGGTATACATGTGTGAGCCGTTAACATTTAGATGGTAACTTAAACAGGGGGAGGGAATAAGACTGCCTACCAACAAAGGGTGAAAAGGGAAGAGGGCCCTGGGACTAAGCTACAGGAGACCAACATTTAATGACTGAGTTTGAAAGAAGCCAAGTAGAAGAGCACATACTGAATGATTCCACTTACATAAAGTTGAAAAACAAGCAAATCAACTGATGCTGTTACACAACAGAGCAGACAGAGGGGCTAATGACTAGAAAGATGCACGAGGGAATTTCTAGGGATCGTTGTCATGTGCTGTCTTTATCTGGGCACTGGGGCACACAGGTGTGCTCAACTCATAGCTGTGAAAATTCATTACACTACAGCCCTATTTATAATCTGCATGTTAGACTTCAAGGAAAAGTTCAGGGAAGAAATAAAAATGAGAGGAATTCCACTAAACTATGGGAGAGAAAAGAAATAACAGAAAGGGCCAATGGAGACAGGATCCAAAGCTCCACGAGAGGAATGAGCTCTGGAGAGGAGAAGGACGGGCCTCTATGAACAGGCGAAGGTAGGAAGTGGTGTGTGTGTTTAAGTAGAAACTGACAGTCCCTGGCTGCTGGGAAGCAGGAAGCAAGGCCATCTGCTGAGAAGGAGAGGGCAATGGGGAGCCTGGAGGTTTGAGGAGAACAGAGGTGGTGTGAGATGGTTGTCTGGAGGGTGGGAGAGTGGCATGACCCAAGAAACGTAGGGAGACTGCCAGCAGCATCGAGGGTGGGCATGGATTTGGCCCAGGGCTCAGTTCCTCAGGGGCTGCATGGGGAAGGCAGATAGCTAAGTTTCTGCAAAACTGAGTTTTTGCCAAATGAGAATCGTCAAAGGACAAACGGGCCTTCCTTCTAAAGGAAATCATCCCCTATCCCAATCCAAATCTCTACCTTCACATGCTAACAGAATCATAGACCACCAAGGTCTTCACAGTGATACCCTCAGCTGGGTCTTCCAAGCCTCAGGAATGCTTGTGTGACCTCACCCCAACTTGCTATGTGGCTATTGCCCCCTTCCCCATGTTCAATCTATGTCTGACCTGCAGCTAGCTCTGCTCTTCAAACCAAATGCCACACAGAAAAGGGAGAACCCATCAGAGAACTCCCTCCAATTCCAGCCAAACTATCAAGGTACATGTACTGCCCGACTCTAGCCCTTTCTTCCTTTTATAAATGGAAGAAGTGTCCATGTCCTACTTAAGATTCAGCCCAACACCGCTCCTCTCTGGATGTCTGGACTGAGCTTTTCTTTTTTTATCTTGAATACATTATCTGAAATTCGGACTGCTGGCTCAGAAAAATCTAAAGTCGTTTTTAAATAACTATACAATTACTTTGTCATAAAAGTCAAGTGAAAATTACCTATTTTCTTATTTTTGAGACAACTGTTCTGATTTTAAGAAACCTGTAAGTATCACAGATCTTTCAGCAGTATTATGAGTACAGGTCTTCCTATGAAGCACTAACTATATATAATCCCCCTCTTCAATAGCAGACTCTGACAGTAAAATCAATTTCAACAGAGATCAAATTAATTTCCTACCCAGAACCAGATCTATCAGAATGTGTGGTATATAATTTTGCCACTCAAAGCATAAGGGCACACTTTCTGGGAAAGATAAAAGTGAAAAAGAACTGGGAAGATGACATGTCGGCCTCCAATCCCTACCAAAAATAACCACTACCAACTGCAATGAGTTGAGATGACCATGTGATTCATCTCCCCACATGCATACAGCAGGCAATTGTGTCATAGGGGCTGGATAAGATTCTCTAAGAAAGATAATCAAAGGGCCCTGGCTCAGGAGACGATGCACTAAGCCAGTAATCATAACATATAAAGGATCCACATTAACTTCTTGGTCCCTTAATTAATGGGAAGGGTTTTATAGAAAGATCCCTATATCCCTAGTCCTCTAACACATGTTGATTATTTGACATAGATAAGTGACAATGAGAGAAGCCAGCCCACCCTGACACAGACTTGGAAGAGAGGTGTTATTGAGGCAACAGTCCTGGAAGCTGACCTCTGAGGCACAGGGTCAGAGCTGCACACACACAGGCACATATTCCACATTTATTTACCACCCAGCATCTGTTGGGCAGTAAGCTATGCTCCGGAGGATCTGATGAACAAAACAGACAGGGCCTCTGCATTTCTGTGGTTTACAGTTGAGGAGGGGAAGGCGATGGTTCTAGCATGTTTGAGTGGAGCTTTGACAGAGGCATTACAGCTGATGAGCCAGGGGCATCCTAACTAGTCTCAGCATGGTAATGAAGATTTCTAGTTGACTCTACTTTTAAGCTGAAACCCAAAGGACAAAGTGAAGTGGCCACATAAAGAACAGGAGGCACAGCATGTATACAGAGGTCATCAGATGCCAAGCCCCAGAAAGTGAAGTCCAGCAGGCAGAAACAGGAGTCATACAGTGGGGCCTCTCAGCCACAGAAACTCTTATCTGGAGTGACCAAGGCATCTCTGTAGGGTTTTCTGAAAAAATATAAACATTACAGTTACAAGACACCCAGGAGATAGTAGTCCACCTATAAAGACCAACAGAGACTTACAGGTCTTCCTATGAAGTCCTGTAAGCTCAGGACTCTATCTTTTAGGAAAAACAGAAGGCATTTAAAGTGTTGGAAGCCTGTGGAGCCTGTCACAGGTGCCGAAGAGTGGGAAGGACCTGATCCATAAACATACAAAGGGATAAAGTATAAGAAAGGCTCCCGGGGGTATTAGAAAAAGTTGCACAGGAAATCAGCTCCTGAGATGGCTGATACACCCTGCACTTCTAGGAGGAACTTCTGACCTCAGAAGCCCTCCTGCAAATGTTACCTCCCTTTCTGGAACAGGGAACACTCTTTGGCTCCAGCATTCCCTATCCAATGCAGTTTCCCAAAACTGTATGATTTCGTTTGAAGTCCTCACTTCACTTAACACGTATTTTTTCCTTCAGACACCCACACCGTCTCTGAGCCTCCCTCCCAGTGTAGCCCAAAAAATAAATCAACAGCCAAATCCCCGTGTTCTAATTGCAGTACCAAGTGCTGATACTCATTCCGGCACTAATTCGTCAATGTTGCATCTGGATTAGCTGGAGCTCTAAGGAAGAAAGGCAAAAAGTATACTGGGTTGAATAGTGTCTCCCCAGAATTCATATCCATCCAGAACCTCAGGATGTGACCTTATTTGGAAACAGGGTCTTTGCAGATGTAATTAAGATGACATCATAATGTGTTAGTGTGAGCCCTAAATCCAATGCCTGCTATCCTTATAAAAGAGAGGACATGGAGAGTCAGACACACACACAGACAGGGAAAAAGGCCACGTGGGGATGACTGCAGAGAGTGAAGTGATATGTCTACAAGCCAAGGAACGCCAAAGACTACTAGCAACCACCACAAGCTAGGAAGAGGCAAAGGATTCTCCTGTAAAGCCTTCAAAGGGAGCACGGCCCTGCTGCCACCTTAATCCAGAATTCCAGCCTCCAGAACTGTGAGACAATAAATTTCTATTGTTTTAAGCCTCCCAGCTTGTGGTACTTTGTTACAGCAGCCCAAGGAAACTACAAGGAGGATGTGGCATGCTCTCAGTGAAATTTTGCCATCACAGTCCTTACCTCCATCTGGGCTCTATGTACACAAGGGGCATTGTTTATTCTTTGGTGATGCTGAATGGATGGTGCTTATTTCACACTTCACCCAAGCCCTTTTAGCTCTAAAAACCCGGAGTCATTTCACCTTTAATCACGTCCAAAAAAAGAAGTTGCAGATTTCACTTAAATATTTTTACTTAAGAGATTACATTTCATAGAAAATCTTTATTTTTCCTTTCCTTTACAAGAGTTTTATTCTTTGCTTCTGTCTCCCAAGGAAACAAAAAAACCACAAACAGTATCTACAGTCTTCACCTCTGACACCAAAAAGTCAACGACACATACATACTTCTGTGGCTGGCAGCCTGGGGAAGGGGTGAGCAGTGGCTTCACAATTAGACTAGCCAGAGTGAATGGGGGTTTTGTATATAATACATATAACATGGGGCACCCAGCCTACTTCCGTCCATCACACACAAGTGGGCTTTGTCCTGGTAATGCAGGAATGAGCTTCATTCCCTCCCTGGCCAGGCAATGAGGACAGAGCCCTGCAATCTAATTGGCCACTGCAAAAGCTACCCATCAATTATAAAGCCCGCCCCCAACGACATTCTGTCCACTCTGTCTGATTTCCAGATGAACACTTTTCCCCATTCCTGCCTGCTCTCCTTGGGTTTCGCACCTTAAATTTCCATTCCGTGGAAGTATCCTTTCCCATCACAGGCAAAGCCATAATCTGGTAGAGCTAAGAGACTGAAAGCCCTTCCTGAGGCCATGAAGCTCTTAACAGACACAGCTAAATTTGAGCTTGTTTTACAGAGCATTCTATCTCCAAAATCTTGAATTGTTATGCATCTCCAGCTCTGTGTGTCCATACACATTCTCCCCAACTTCCACCACTTATGCTCACACTCAGCCCACTTGAAGCAACCTTTTACCCCAAGCAGCAGCAGTTTCTGCCAACAAATGATACTGCAGCAGAAACTTTGTAATTCAAGTTGCAGCTCTCCCACTTACTAAGTGTGACCTCAAGCAAGTTGTTCAACCCCAAGACTCATTTCCTCAATAATACCTATACTTGCATCTCTTAAGGTTGCTTTGAAAATTGCATAAAACAATGCATATTTATTATAGTACTTAAGCTCAATACATACTTTCTTTCTTCAATGTACCTGCCTGGTAAGTACAGGGAATGCACACTGTTAACTGAAAGATGGCTTAGGAGCCTGGCAACAGGTCAGCCTTCCTGCTGAGCTTTCCTTTCCCTTTCCTAACTGCACTCTAACTTCCTGTTCAGGGATTACCTCTCCCTCTCTATGCGGCAATAATGGGCTGATAAATCAGGGTGCTCTTCTATCCTCCCTTGTGAAGGACAAGATCCCCAGATCTTCCCTCTCACTACAGTGCCTGGTCCAGTCAGGGGGTACAAAACAGACCTCTGTTGAGCCAGCCAGTCTTCTCTCCACGTACTCTGAATTGTGAAGAGTCAAAGATGACATTAAAAATTAGAGTTCATTCACATGTGCTAGTGACAGCACCCAGGACAGACATCTAAGCAGTTCCTACAACTATGAACCTCCAGCGCTACTGGGTTCCTCCACGTCCCCTTCCATTCTAAAATTCATTTTTACCTTAAATTAGCTAGAGTCCATTTCTGTTGCTGATTACCAGGCAGCCCTAACTGACAAAGAATTTTACATAGTTACCACCCATCTCCGCCCACCTCCATTCTCCTTCTCCAAAGCCTGAGTGACTGGGATTAACATTCATATCATGTATTAAGGAACAAATGGTAAACTGGCTCTGGAAATTTGATTCCCAAAACTGAGCCATGGAGCAGCGTTATCAGCCTCACCTGGGAGCTTGTCAGACATGCAAAACCTCAGCCCCACCTTAGACCTACCAAATCAGAATTGCATTTTAGCAGGATCCCCAGGTCACACAATAGTCTGTGAAGCATTGACTCAGAGGCTAAATGTGGTTCTTGGCAAGTGCCTGATCGGCCTCACACTTAATATGAAAATGTTCTTTGTCTGTAAACTATTTTTTTTAAAGCCTACTTGACTCATAGCTCTACTCAGCAGAGGATGGGGCTTAGCTGCACAACACCGTGATGAAACACACAATGGGCCACGGCTCTATGCTCAACACCTCTCCCTACCACCCTCAGATCATGCTCTCAACTGTCTGAGCACCAGCTTCCTGTCTGTAAAATGGGCTTGTAATCCCAACCTCCTCAGATTACTGAGTATGCAAATAGTACATTTTCATCATTGCCTTTACTGTAACAGATGTTCTTTGCCCCCTAGTTATGCCCCAGCTGAAACCCTTCCTGAATAAACTAGCTAAGCACCCACTGATCTAGATCCTCCTTCTCAACATGTTCTCACAATTTATAGTACAATTCCCGCTAATTAATGTTCATCTAGGTAGGCACTCCATGAAGGCTCCAAATGACCAACATGTGGTCACACAGTTTGTAAAAGATCTATTCAGAGTGTAAGAGAGACCAAGGGATTTTAACATACCAGAGTACGAAAAGTTCATGAATACAGTTTCAGATTGTACGTTGCAACTAACCCGTAGGCATCTACCACTTGTCAAGTTTTGGTGTCATGTCACAGATAAAGCCACAATTATCTGAAAAGGCTACTAAAATCCCTTTTCCAACTACATTATCTATGCAAGGCCGGATTTCTTCATCTACTTCAACCAAAACAACATATTGCAAGAGACTGAATATAGAAGCAGATGTCTTTTATTTAAACTCCATACATTTAAAGAGTTGCCAAAATGTAAATATTGCCACTCTTCCTACTAAATGTTTTGTTTCAGAAAATAGCTATTTTTCATAAAAATGTCATTTATGTTAGCATGTAATGAGTTTATCATTTTTAAATAAATGAGTTAGTAAGTATCTTCATAAAACTTTAGTCTTCATTTCTATTACAATAAGTACCAAAGCCTGCAACCCACATAAACTTAAAGTTCTCTGGAGTCCTTAAAAATGGTTTTTAAAGTGTAAGGAAGGCCAGACACAAAAAGGGGTTGAGAATCCATCTTAAACCCACTTTTTTTGAAGACTGAAAGTATGCAAACAAACTGTAAGATGACCACTTATGTGTAGTGAGTAATTTCCATCACCAAACATTCCTCTTCTAGATATAAGAAAAACGCCCCCCAAAGTCCTCCAAAATAATTCTGAAGTTTCGTGCATGAGAGGATTGAGACCTAAACACTACAAGAAAGAACTCTCCCAAAGAGATGCTTTATAAAGGATTCAGAATTTATTCCATCTGGCACAATTCACTAAGGTATTCTTACAAGACCTTAGTTTCTGGGTGATGGGCTGTGCATCTATCTGACACTGTCCTCGCTGACATCATGGGTGCCCCACTCATGTGGAGAAAGTATGTGCCCTCCAGCTTAGTTAGGAACTCCTCCTCCTCAAAAATGATCAGGAAGTCCCAGAAATCAAAGCCATCAAATTCTAATTTGGCAAGTCTCAGCAGATAAAACAACTCCAAGAGAACCTCTGCTCAGCCTTTTTCTACAGGCCTTGGCACACACCCAAAAAATAAATTAAAGGAAACGTTGTTTAGGTATCAGGACGTACATACCGCCAAAGGAACCGGGTTAAGAGGGCATTTGTTCTGTTCAAGGCCACCACTCTCCATGAGCCTCAGGTATATGGGAACACAGCAGATGTTGTATCTACCTCCTCACTAGTCTCTACTACACCTTTAGAAAAGTGTAGTCTAAAATACATATAACTTGGTATAGGAAGACTTAGATACTCAAGTTACAGAGGTCTCGTCCACTTAATCTTTGCTTAACTATTTGCCTTAGAATAACTTAATTATGGCAGTCACTGGCAACTCACTGATTAGGACTGTGGAATGTCAGATCCCTTCTATTTTGCTTCCACCATCATCAATAGTTCTGAAATTGAAGATTCTGGCTGCCCAAGGCAGATTCATGTCCCAAAGAGGCCCTTCACATTCCCCACTCTTGAAGAAGCCAGGGCCCTTTTCCCCATTACAGTGCCTGCATGTGCCCTTGGCCACCTCAATGATAACAGGTCACAGTGAAGCTCCACCTTGTAGGGTCCTAGACCTCTCTCCTTGACAATGGACTTTCAGAGTCTCTGAAAGAGGGTCCTTCTCTGACTTCGCCAAACCCTCTTAAGTGGCCACTAAGGCCTGTAGCTACTCAACTTCTCACACTTCATCTCCTCCAGCCGACAGCACCTCGGAAGGTCCAACTGCCAGGCCTTTTTTCTCAGATGTGCTTATCACTCACAGAAGTGAATCTGGGTTTCTTTGTCTTTCTGGGCCGAGTTCAGTTACTAGAGGTTGGAGGTGGTCAGAACTGAGAGGAGAAGAGTTTCACTCAGAGTAGCCCAAGCACAGCCATAATTCCCAGGTCTAAATCTCTGTGGTCAAATCCTCCACACCACAAAGCCCAGCCTCGGAGATATTCCAGGTTCTGTTGACTCAAAGGCCTGTCAGTTCAGGCACCAATGCATTCTGCTGTAGTCACTGGAGTACATGCACTTCTGAAAAGTAGAATGACCTCTAAAAGTGGGCTCCTCAAAAGAACATCAGTCTCTGCCCCATTGGCTGTCATTCATGCAGCATCCTGGAAACACGCCCTGACAGGAATCCAAACGCTCCCTTACCTGTGGCTCAAGTAGCAGCCAGCATTTCCCGAACATGCTGTTAATAACTACAGCCTCTGTGATACTAGGAACAACTTCCCCAAGGGTTCTGAAGTCAGCTTTTGAGTTTGGTCAAAAGAAGTTCTGACTCTGAGCAGGATTCTCCAACTAAATTTAGGATATCAGCCCGGTTATACTCCTCTCCTTTCCAGAATGAGGGCAAACTTAAAAATCTGCTCCAGACTGAAAAGAGAGGATTTTACATCACTTCTGATGCCCTCCTGTGCACAGCCCTGCCACCAGCTGGCTAGAAAAGCCTGTGACTCAGCTTGACTCCTGAGCACTAGGAGAGAAACTGACAACAGTCCTTCCAGACACTCCTAGGACCTCGTCTCCACCCTCAGACCACTTTCCTACTTGGTCCCCAGGTGTTTGGGCCCCTCGCCTCCTTCTCCCCTTTCCTTACTGCCCCGCATACTTCCTTATACCCTACACACCAAAGTTCTATGTTCCCTGATTTCTCTCACAACAGACAAAGTTCAATGGCTTAACGATTTGGGCTCTGGGTTTTAATGAGCTATAGGGAAGATATGCTTCATTTTGTCCTGCGGAAATTCGTCTTTGCATGACTTAGCCTAATGACTCCTAATGGAGAAAAGATAAAAGACAAAAGAAGCTGTGTCTGATTTTTCTTTAACAAGAAATTACCACAAAGACTATGAAATTAGGTCCAGAGAAGGGCAACAAAAGTTATCAAGGGAATGATGCCAAGTTTTCTGCTGAGTCTGAGAAGAAAGTCTGAGAAGGATAAGTGCATGTGTTATCAGGGTGATCAAGGATGACACAGGCATCCATTCTGTAGCTTTCCTTCAGCCAAGTCCTCTCACAAAATGACCTCTGGAATGACATCACTGGGTATAGGCCTCTGCTCTGCCACCTGCTATGTGACTGTGGCTGATCTGATCGAGCTGCAAATGTATGGATAATAATGTCTACAATACTTTGCTGCGGTAATTAAAGATAATAAACATGAAAGTACCTATCAGAGTGCCCACAGCATAGCTGAGGCTAAATGAATGTTAGTTTCCTTATTTCCTTTATTTTAATTAGTGCATGACACATTCATTCATTTGCCAAGAATGTCATTTCACAGGCAGAGGCTTCCAAACACCTGATGATGTAATCTCCCTGTAATTAGGGTTCTTCCTCCATTCAAGGTGAAACCCTGCCTTTATACCTATGTGTCTGCTGCTCCCTGTTCCCACCCATAACTTTTCCCTTCTTGACTATCTAGTCACAGGATTGCTTTTTAAAAAATATTACTTTAGTGAGATTTTCCCCTGGTTTGCACCCCACTACTTTTTTTTCCTGCTGTTCAACCCCATATACAGAAACACCTGAGTAATGGGACACAATGATTAGCTTCAGTGATAGCCCCTACGTGAACCCCACATACAAGGCCTAAGTTTATCTTATCTAACTAGTAAATGTGTAACATACACATGCACTAAGAATCATAATAATTTGGTGGGTAGAACACTGGACTTGCAGCCCAAAAGGCCTAAGTTCAAAATCTTCACCTAATACTAAATAGCTGTCTGACTGTAGTCACTGATTCTCACCAGCCTCAGTTTACTCGGCTATGAAACAGAAGTTCCACTGTGAGTCATGGAGATGCTCACTCTCACCCTCTACTCATGCCTCCTCAGGAACAAGGAACACCGATGAGGTAACAGAAAAAAATACGATTTCCTCAGGATACAATTAGGATACCTAGAGAGAGTCAACGCACAGAAAGAACAACAGAACATAAGAAAACCCACTTTCCTGCACTCTGCCTCTTCCTTATCCTTCCCTTTGGCTGACTACTGGATTTGTCTCCCTCAAGGGACCAGTCTTTCACAACTGGCCAGGGGATTCTTTCTGATCTGAGGTCAGGCAGGAACTAGCTGGGGGAGGGAACACAAAAGGAAGCACAGAGGTTTAGTTCAGGTTAGCTCTAGTGCTCATTTACTAAACTTGTTTCCTCCTTCCACTGTGGTAGTAAGACCTAAAGAGACAAAATTCATGCTCAGGCCCAGAAGAAAAGAAGAACAGACCGGAAAGCTCAAGCCACCCTCAGGAAGAGGTATAAGGAACACCTGAAGGTCACAGGGGCCCCAGCCTAGCCAACTAAAAGAAGGAAGACAGGTTGGGCCCTGGAGAACAGGTAAAATGAAAAGTGGGTAATTAGCAAGACTGCCCTCAATGATGCTGGCAGTAGGAGTAGCAACAGTAGTTAGGGGGTCAAAAGTTATGGATTTGTGATTCTGACATTTGTATGCATTTTTAAAAATTGTGGTAAAAAAACACATAACATAAAATCTACCATCTTAACCATTTTAAGTGCACAGTTCAGTAGTGTTACATATATACACACTGTTGTGAAACAGATCTCCAGAGCTTTTTCATCTTGCAACACAAACTCTGTCCCCATTCAATAACAACTCCCCTTTTACCTCTCCCCCAGCCCCAGTAACCACCATTCTACTTTCTTGACTCCATGAATGTGACTATTCTTAAGTACATCAAGAGTCTGGCTATTTTTATACCTGGGTCACAATTCGTAACATGTATTGTCTGGCAAACCAAAGCAAGCAAGGGAGAGAGATTTTTGAGTAGGCTCATTCAGGAAGCACAAAGTGCAAGAGCAGGTGACCTCTTACAGCCAAAAATCAACAGAGATGATGAGAATCCTAAGAATAGAATTCAGTATCTGCATGGATGGACAGAAATTTATTGCCACTATACTCTCAGAGAGGGCCAGGGAATGGTCACAACAAATTATGCAGAACTCTGGCCTTCAGGCTTTTGATCTTGTAGGACTGGCACTGGAGGTTGATCCAGTACTGTTCTGAAAATGTATGTTATTAATGGCTAATAGCAAATCTGGCCAGTGGGCTCAGCAAACACCCCTAACTTCTAGGTACCCTAGATGGACATGTACACAGGACTGAACTGAAAATACAGAACACTTCATTATTAGCTGGGCCTGTGAATCCAATTTCCAATGCAGCATTCCATAAGGTAGGCTGGATCACATGGAGAACTCCTTTTCCCTACATTAGTGGCAATCTTAAACTGGGACCAAAGCGCATACGGGAATGAAAAGGAATTCATAAAATATTAGACATGACTCTTTGGTCTTACCACTCACGATAAAGACTGGCCGAGGTTACCCAAATCAGCACAGGAGATAATGCAGCCAGAAAGAGAGAGAGAAGAGAGAACATTTGCCCTTGTGCCAGGGTCCACTTGCCCCCACTTCTAAATAGGTCAGTCACCTGGAAACCAATCCAGCACATGGGAAAAGAGAGAAAAGGAAGAGAGGTGGTCAAGACCTTTCCGTTCAGGGGCAGCCCCAGCCTTACCACTCTAGCCACATACAGCCAGGAAAAAGAAAAGACATCACACATCTACATAGGCTTAGCCTTCTAACAACGCACAGTCACTAGACCCACTAGGACAGAGGCCAACACAATATCCTTTACCTCCCACAGCCAATCCTCCTTGTTGCATGGGAAAGTGAAGTCTGGGAAGGCAGAAGCCCAGGGCCTGAGAAACCAGCCTCTGGCAGCAGGGGAAATGACAAGAAGCTCATGCCCCCAGAAGCCAGCAGCTATCAAGACAAGGGCTTTCCTTTCTCTTCCTGCCCAGCTATGCATGGAAATAACATACAATTTCATGATGTCTGTGAATCACAGAGATCTAGACTGTATGCTCAACTGGAGTATTCTGGATTTCAGCAATGACCAAATAAAGATAAACAAATACCTGTCCTATATATGTTGCCTTCTTGAGTTGAGCCAAAGAAGGGAAAAAAAAATCTTTAAAAAAGAACAAATCCAAAGAGAAAACAAAGTAAAAAAATAGTTGTGCTGGGAACACAATGACACTCAGAATCAAGTCTGCACAGATCAATGTGAAACCATAATCCTCAGGTAAGAAGATTTTCAGGAACTCATATTTAAGGAAAAAGCTATTATTCAGACGTTGGGGAAAAAAAAAACACCAGAAATTTACAAAGCAACCGAGCTTTTAAAAAGTTTTGATAGCTCGGTGAGGATAGGAACAACAGAAGAAAAAGACAAAGGGTGGCATGAGATCTAGAATCCATGTAAGGCCTCCAAGATGGCAGAAGAAAATGGGACAACTGAAACAAAGTTTTAATAACCAATGGTTCACATGGAAAGAAGAAAATGAAGATCCCAGGGAACAAAAAGAGTTGGACAAAAATGTTTCTGACATCTTTAGAGTAAGGAAGGTGGTCCAAGATCTGGGGAATCCAATGCCAGATAAAGGCGAGAGGTCAGGAAGAGCGTGCACGGAGAGCTGCTTCCTCACTGAGCCCAAAGGGCACATGCTCAGAAAAAATTCTAGAGACAGCTTTGGCTTAAAATACTCAAGGGGGATTCTCCATCTAGGACAAATGGTGAAACAAGGGGAAAACTTACCACAGTGACAGGATCAAAACCCCCAAGACATTCCAGAAGAACAGGCAGAGGCAGGGCCCACAGTGGCTGAAGGACTACAAAGGCCTTAGGATCCTGCTGGATGGGAGAAATGCAAAGAGAAAAATGGGTTTATTTATAGAGAATTTAGGATCACAAAATGTTTTCATGAACTAGCTACTATAAACGTGGGGTCCCAGCTCAGAAGATAGGACAGACCTATTTACATCTGGGATTTATATAAATATATGGGATTCAAGGCATGGAGGTCCAAAGAAGGGATGAGCAAATCTGAGAAACCACAGAAAGGAAAATCCAGGCACTCTGCACAACTTCCCTCCAAGATATAGGTATCCCATTATCACAATTAGCCTCGTGATGGGAACCAGATCCAAAATGAGTTTAAGGTTCATAGGTATAAGATAACTGACTCAGACTGGCTAAAATGCCAGGGAATAAACAATCAATAGTGTTTTTTCACGGATTTTCCAGTCTCTCAGGGTACTGAAGAAGCACAAACTGGAGTCAGACTGGGTGAGTTCATGTCCTGGCCCTACTGCATACCTGCTGTGTAACCTTCACCTAGGAGGTTAAGAATGAGTTAATGGAGATAATAAAGGCAGCTGATCTGATAAGGTAATTTAAGGATTAAATCAATTAATCCATGAGAAGTACTTAAAACACTGCCTGGCAAATTTCAAGGGCTCAACAAAGCTATCATTATCATTATTTTATTTATTCCATCTACTACCTCCCCGCCTCTGCTATATTCTATAATTGTTCAGAGAAGTTTAGGTATAGATCTCAAGATCTAGCTTTAAGTTTGGGGAACTTCACTTTCCCCTGGGAGTTATGATATATTAAGGAACTTAGGTTCACACTGCTGCCGTATCTACATGTGGATGGGACATTTACATGTTTTTCTAGCTGTTGTCAATCTGGGGACAGTGCTGGATTACAGTATGCCTCTACAGCTCCCCAGAGCTTTGGGGGAAAGGATTATGTGAAAGGCATGTGGTTAGAATGATCCATCTTGCTAATAGCTATCTGAAGTTGCTATATCATTTTCAGCAGAAATCACTAACATTAGAAATAGAGTCCTGTAGACTATGCTGAGTGGCCCTGCACTGTCAGAGACTGAATAAAACAGGAAGAAAATGGAAAAGTGAAAATGCTTTCAACACATTTAGCTATTTTAGTTTCTCTGTGGGAATAAAGGTTCAACTTAGAATGAAAGCTGTTAGCAGGATAATATTTTAAAGGGCAGGAATACATTTGGAGGAATTTCAAGTGGTCTTGATATTGGGCCAGGTTTTTTCCTCCCTTACTGAACTATACATGCCAATCATGGTGCCTGCTAGCCTACAAATCCTACTAATGGGAACTGCTTCAGCTTTAAGGGTAGGCCCAGGCAGCCATCGGCCACATGACCACTTCTGAGACCAAGTGCAGACATCTGACCCAAGAGCTTAACTCTGACATATGATGTGGCTTGGAACAACAATAAAAGCAAAACAAAATCAGATTCCCTCTCTCTCAGGAATCTAAGCAATACTGAGAGAATGAGGTTATCAGCTGTGAGAGATGAAGCTGAGAGGTTATGATCCGCAAAATGACTGCGGAGGTCATCAAATCACAGCAAACCAAACTCATGAGGAAGTAGAATCTATAAGCAAGGAGGAGCTAAAAGGTTAGAAAAGACATACAGAGGAGGGAAAAACAAGCCAGATGGCAGCAAGAGGAGAAAGACACAAAGAAATGAGTGATGCCGTGAGAGACCTCACTGTCCATGGGAAGACTGTGGCTTGTCTCTGGACAGCCTGAGTTCCTCATGGGTCTGATCCACATGCATCCTCCAATATAGCCCCTTGTACAGAAAGTGGTCTGAATGAAACTCTGTTCTTTGCAACAAAAAATCCCTAACTAAAACACTTCCTTCAACTCCCCCTTAAGATGAAGTTTTCCCAGGAGGTGCCTCAGTGCCACAAACAAACAGATTCTGGGCAAGCCCACCCCCTCCAGCCCCCCGCCAGACATGCCTAGACATACCCAATGTCCACTTCCCAGCAGAACTGGGATGTCTTATCTCTAGGTATATAGGCACAGTCCCTAAGGCTCATGAGCATCTCGAAGACCTATGTAAATGTTTCAGATCTGAAAAAAAACATTACTGGATGCAAAACATGAAAAGAAAATTGCAAAATTAAAGTTAATAAATGTTAAATGTCTATAGCCAATCAAAGCTTAACTCATATGGTTTTGTACAAGCTAATTTTATGTGGGACATGGGTGATTTAATGTTTGATATGACATAGTAAAGGCCTCCAAAAGTTTAATGGCTTAAGGCCTTCACAGATCTTCGCACCAGTCCCACAGCAGCGGACGTGTTTGGGCCTAAGCTGGAACCTGCCATTCCACCCCTTGGATAAGTGTATGCTTAAACTGTACGCCTGGCCGCTCAAACTGGGCACTCAGTCTAAAGTGAGAGGTCAAATCCCACCTCCCAGATTTAAACACAGTTATTTTACCACTTCTGATATTAGGAATCTGTTATCTTTTCTTAACGAAATATTTTAAATAAGTGAAGCCAAATAACTTCTATTAGCCATACTATTAGTTTTACCAAGAAGTTTTTTAAAATGTCATTTATGATAGCAAATGGTCTCATAGATTTAAAGGATTTAACATTTGACGTGTGTCAGAATAGTAAATCAAAAATCAGTCACATTTACTCTCTCCTGCAAGAACTCCCTCAAATGTCATGAATAGACCTAGACATTTTCTTCCTTCTGGTCAGATTCTCAATCTGAGAAGAGTAGGAAGTGGCACAAAAGTTACATGAAACTTAGATCTTATATTCTGAGATGATGGTGTTAAAAACAAAAAAGCAAAAATAATCCTTTCTAGAGTCATTGTTGATTACAGCTCTAATTTCATATGCACAGATAAGTGACATGTGTTCTCTGGAGCCATCCCCCGACTAAGACCAATTCACTCTTCTCACTTTCACTACTGAGCTCCTCCACAGCATCTATAATACCTTCTGTGTGCACCTCCCACACACCATTCTGTACCCCCACCCCCACTACAAAACTGCTCTCAGAGTCAAATCTTGGGGCCGTTCCTCCTGCCTCACCCTGAATCCTAGTCTACGGTCTCCTCGGCTCCCAGTTCCCTGCACATTCTCACTTTTCCTCTGGCCTTGCTGATTGTGTCTGCCATCTCACATGCCTATGCCTAAATATAGGAGTCCTCCATACAGTATGTCCTGTCTCCATTTTTTAGCTCAACTACCTGCTTGGCTGGAATGATGACCATTTCCATGATGATGATGCCACAGTTTCTTAACACAGTCTTTTCTTCTTACCTGTATCTCCAACTGCCTACTAGAATTATTTCCCCATCATCCCACGATAAACTGAAAATCACTACTTTGACAAACTCAAAGTCCCTATAAAAGGCAACTTCTTCCCTCAACAGATCTCCCAGGCAAAGAACTTTGAAACCAACTCTCTCCTCCTCCCCGGCCCCCACACCCCTTTCAACTGTTTTCTTTCTGTGCTTGTTTCTTCCCTTCAGCATTTAAACACAATGCAGAAGTCTCCCCCAACCTTAAGGAAAAACAGCATTTAATCCCAGGCCTTCTCTAGCTACCCTGTCTCCCTGGCCCCACCCTCCATTTCCCCATCCAGACCTCTTAAAGACTGATTTTTCCAGATTTCTATTGCTTCACTTCCCACTCATGCCTCAATCCAACACCACACCACCGAGGTTCCTCTCTCATTGTCGGCCTTCTCTTGGCCAATCCAAGGGCACTTTTTGTTCTTTATCCCACTGGACATTACTGGCCACACTCCCTTGGCTCCTTCTGTGACCCTACGGCCTCTGTGTTCTACACTCACTGCATAAACCCAGTATTATCAGTTGGCCGGGCAAGCTCTTGTAAACACTAGTTCATTCCCATGAGTTCCATCTCCCCTCTCCTCTGCTCCTAACATCCACACCAGTTTCAACCATCTCGCCCACTGGTTCTCAACTCTGGCTGTGAAAGAAAGCTTTGCTAGGAGTCCACATTTCAACTGTTCACAAGGCCTCCAGAGGGCACTCAAACACCTGCTCAGAAACCTCGGCTCTTCACACTAAGGAGTTAGGACTTGAAATCAATGTCACAATGGGTTACTACCTCTAGTTGCCAAGCATCATGAAAATGCATGCAACCCGCTTTGTGCAGGTTCTCTGATTCTAACTGTGAGTCTGGAGGCTTACCACAAGGTCCTAGTCCTATCACAATGTAAAGTTATAGTATTAAAAGTAATTTATTGAACATCGGTTAACTGAGAAACTTGACATGTTTTCTAGCCAACACCGAGTACTTTGAATCAATGAAATATTCTTAAACCCCCATCAGGCTCAATCCTAAACATATTTGAACTACACATCCAAAAGTGATATTTTGAAAGCCAGAGGGACATACAGGATTTACTCTGCAGAAGAAAAATGGTTCCAATTATTTCTATGAACTGTTGTATTGTTAACCTAAGTGGCAGAGTTCATCATCTTTGGGACAGGGGTCTGCTCTGGCTATAAAGGCTTCCTCACAAGCTCTGTCACAATATCATAGAACACACTGCAAAATAAGATATGGAAATAACCTATGATTATTTTATGAACTTTCAGGGGTATGAAAAATAAATGAGTTCTAGAATAGCTTTACTGAATTTCTTATAATGTATCAAGTGACACAAGAGACACTGTGTATTTCAGAATCAGAATAAAGGTGTAGAAATGTTTTAGCGTTAAAAAGCAATACGAATTATATTTTTAAAATTACATTTTGAATGCTTCTGCTACATCTTCAAAATTAAATTGTATTTTAAAAATTCTCTTCTTTCAGTGTCTTACAAATGAGTAATCATAGCCATTGGTTCCACCTTGTGACTCTCCCACATGGATTAGCTGTAGCACAACTTGCTTGCTTTCTTTTTTTATTTTTTTGAGACAGGGTCTCGCTCTGTCACCCAGGCTGGAGTACAGTGGCGTGATCATGGCTCACTACAGCCCTGCCTTCCAGTGATGCTCCCACCTCAGCCTCTTAAGTAGCTGGAACCACAGGTGTGTGCCACCATGCCTGGCTAATTTTTGTATTTTTGGTAGAGACGGGGTTTTGCCATGTTGCCCAGGCTGGTCTCAAACTCCCAGCCTCAAGCCATCTGCCTGCCTTGGCCCCTCAAAGTGCTGGGATTACAGGCATGAGCCACCATGCCCAGTAGACACAACTTTCAACCTGGGCTGAAAGACTTCAATTTGCTAAATCTAAGATTCACTCCTGATCCCTTTATTACATCTCTAGGCCGTTTGAAACTACTGCTCCTGTCCATTCTTGAAACTTTCTAACTTCCAGGACGTCTCTCCTGAGTGTCCTCGTCTGCACTCCCTTCTAGCCAGTCCACCAGGCTCACACTAAATGAATCTGCTCCTGTAAGCGCTGCAACAGTAAAACCGATACGGTGAGCGTGGAACCCAAGCTAAGCCAATCAGATTGTCCTTCTAGAGAATTTGGAATTGGGAAGTGGGAAGTGGAAAGACTGGGTCTGTGATGTGAGCTGGCAGAAGTTAGAGTTTCAGAATGGCCTTCCAGAGTGACCACCTGGGGTCACGTGTTATTTACTGCCAAGCGAGAGAAGAGATTAGGGGGAGGGCAGGCACACATAGAAGCATAGGGCAGACACACAGTGAGCAGGAGAAGCCTGGGAGATGAAGGCAAAGAGCACAGCCACACTGACTGCCACCAACTTCCCAGCGACTGGGCCCCAACCTCTGATGAAGACATCTACCTTCCTCTCTAATGACTTCTGTTACCTTGGCAGGCACTTTCTCCGCTACCTTTTCTCCACTTGTCCTTCAAGGTACCCATGCTCCAGCCATACTATTAACAGCCAGGTGGGCACTCACACATGGATGAAAGGGCACCACTCTGCCTATTTCCTGGCCTGCCCCTACGTGGAAGGGACCAGTTTACCAAGATGAAGAGAAATCACTCCCAGAAGTCAGGTGTACTCTGACAACAGGATGACTGACAAAAGGACCACTAATGCCCAGAGGAACCTCCACCACCCACTCAGAGAGGCAAGAGTCTACCCAATGAACCCCAAAGACAATCATGGTATTATCTGAAGTCGAGGTCATGCAGTCTCAAATAATTCTATGTGAAAAATATCAATGGTCCAGTCTATCTAGACAGATATGCCCCAATTTACAGAAGTACAACTATATTGCAAGAAAAATTTACCATGTAGAAATATTGATTTTAATACCATAGCTATGTATAGTATCTAGTCATTCTTACAGCAAAACATGTGTACTGTAAAATTATTCTTTGTAAATCCTCTTCGTGACACACCTATGTGTCCTATAAGACCTTCAAACTCAAGTACATCCAAAACTGAATCAGTCACTTCCTCACCAAAGCCTACTATATTCCTGTCTTAATCTGTTTTCTATTGCTTACAAGAGAATACCTGAAACTGGATAATTTATGAAGAAATTTATCTCTTACAGTTATGGAGGCTGAAAAAGCCCAGGACCACATCTGGTGACAGCTCTCCTGCTGGTGGGGACTCTCCAAAGAGCCCTGAGCCGGCACAGGGCATCACACGATGAGAGGGGGCTGAGCATGTTAACATGCTGTCTCAGATCTCTTTTCTTTTTATAAAGCCCCCAGGTCCCCTCCCATGACAACCCATTAATCTATGAATGGCTCTGCCCTCATGAGCCAAACCTCTGAAAGGCCCCACCTCTCAACACTGTCACATTGGGGATTAAGTTTCAACATGAGTTTTGGAGGGGACAAATATTCAAACCATAGCCAATTCCCAACTATAGTAAATGAGTCCACTCTCCCCTCAATTGCCCAAGTCAATATCATTGACTTCCCCCCATCACAAAGGTCTAGCCACTCTCTTCCAAATACCTCTGGAAACTCTCCACTGTGTACCTGCATTGTCTCAACTTAACTCAAGCCACCATCATCTTCCCTGGAATTCTACAAAAGCCTCCAGTCTTGCTTCCCTCTAATCCATTATCTACTCTAATGTAACCTTCTAAAATGCAAAATGGATTGTTCTTACCCTACTCACAAGTTTTCAATGGGTCCCAATCATTTTCAGTGTAAATTCCAAATTTATTCATTGGCTTTAACCAAAAAAAAAAGTGCTCATGTCTATTTGCCATGTAGCTATCATGTCCCAGATATACTTTGTTAAATCAAATGTTCCATCATACATGTAATACAGGTACATGTAATCTTGGCAAATACAAAAAAGATTATTTAAATCACCCGACATCCTACCGAATTCCACAATTCTTAAGATTTCCATCTAATTTCTTCTACATATTTTTGCCATTCATAGGTTTTACTGGAAGGCTGCTGGGACTTTTTTTGGGGCGTTTTCATCATATCAGGTATACAATTGTGTATCCTGATTTCCTTCCACTTAACACTATCATAAGCATTTTAATATATTTTCTTCATAAACGTTTTTAATGGCAATGTTATTTGCCACTAAATATATGATATAGGGGATGTATCATAACCATTCTGCAAACTGTGCCCATAAATATAATTCTACAATATACATATTTTGTGCAGAAAGCTTTTCTCTGTATTTAAAAATATTCTTTTGATGGTTCCTAGACCATCAAGAAATGTAAATAATTTTAAGACTCTTGACACATATGGCCAATGTAACATAAGAGTGTGTCATTTTTACCACATCCTTTTAGGTACTAGGCACTGTATATTTTTGTCTAAATCTAGACCTTCATGAAATTGGTGAGAAATTGTAACATCTTCCTTACAAAAGTAAATGCCCATTGTAAAAAAAACTGAAGCAATGCAAACACATGTGATATGAAAAACCAGTCTCCCCTAGGCTTTTCCCATGAAGTAATCAGAATTAAATGTTTTCAGGTATTCTAGTCTTTTTCTAATTCTTATTCAGAATATATATATATACACACACTCACCCTTCATTATTTTGTTTTGTATCTTACAAAAAATGAGATTAAGCTTGCTTTTTTGGCTCAACAGTATATTCTAGACATCCATACAGGCTATGTCAGTACATACAAATCTACCTCTCTATATAAAAAACTAATAGGCTAGACATGGTGGCTCATGCCTGTAATCCCAACACTTTGGGAGGCCAAGGCGGGAGGATCACTTGAGGCCAGGAGTTCAAGACTGGCCTGGGTAACGTGGTGAGACTCCGTCTCTACAAAAAAAATTTAAAAATCAGCCAGGTGTAGTGGTGTGTGTGTGTGTGTGTGGTCCCAGCTACTTGAGAGGCTGAGGCAGATCACTTGAGCCCAGGAGGCTGAGGCTACACTGAACCACATTCCGTACCACTGCACTCCAGCCTAGGCAACAGAGCAAGACCCTGTCTCAAAACAAAACAAACAAAAAATCCCACAAAAAACAAAACGCTACTTGATATTCCACAGTATATGGGTACCAAAATTTATTGTGATTATCTTCAATTTTTCATTATAAATGACGCTGCAATAGACATTGTTTATATTAACGTATGTTCTCCTATGAAAATAGCACAGATTCCTTGAAGTGTAGCTGCTAAATCAACGTGTACTTTTATTTTGATAAAATTCTGCCAAAATTGCCATCTAAAAACTTGGAAAAATTTTATGTCCCAACAATGTATTAGGTGCCTCTTTTACATCGCTGGATAGTTTTTAATTTTTGCCTGATGCCCTCCTCCCAACAAAAAAATCTAGTTTTTAAATTTCCATTCTCTTAATCACAATGAGGTTGAATTTCTCTTCACTGTTTGAACACATTTATCTAAGAACTATTCATATCCTCAATTCATTACCTAATTTGTTAATTCTATTTATTCTTTATACATGCTACAGGTTGTTTTCCCAGTCTGTCACTCTGTAACGCTTTTTGTCACAGAATTATCAACTGTGATTATAGTCAAATTTATCAATCCTTTCATTTATGATTTTAGGTCTTGGTCTTACCTAAATGGCCTACCTAAAACACATCATTTCCAGTGTATCCTTCTACATAACAAATTCTCTTATATTTCCTTCTAATGCTTTTATAGGTTTTTTTAGTTAGTTCCTTAATCCATCTAAGTTATTTTGAATGTGAAGTAGGATCTTTCTTTCTAAATAAAGAGCCACTTATCCCTATACAACACACTGAATTATAATTTCCCAACTGTTGCAAAACACCAACTTTATCATATACTAAATTCTGATATAAAAATGGGTCTGTTACTGGATTCTACTTTGCTCCAGGCGTCAATCTGTCTATTCTTGTGTTCACCATTTATATTACTGCAGCATTTCAGTATGCTTTGACTTCTCATATAGCAAATCCCCCAACACTACTTTTCCATTAAAAACGTTTGTCATTTTTTGGCCATTCTAGGACATTTACTCCTATAAAAGAGTTTTAGAAGCAATTTATCTAGTGTCCAGAAGAATTCCCACTGGGATTTCAATTGTAATTACATTGAAATCATAGTTTAATTTGGAGGTACTGCAATCTACAATGATGCCTTCCCCTCCAGGAACAAGTCTGCCCATTTATTTAGGTTAGCTTTTAAATCATTTAGGTAAAAGTTTTTACTTCTCTTCATAAAGCTTTGGTACATTTATGTCTTACTTGTAAATGTTTTCTAGTTTTGCTGCTATTCAGAACAGAATCTAACTTTTCTATACGGTAATTAGTGATTTGATTATTAATGAATTACACAGCTTTTCCAATGTTTCACAAGTTATATTTCTATCCAGCGAACTGTCTATTCACATCCTATAACCACCTGTGTGTGGATCTTCATTATTTTCTTCACCAATTTGGATGAGTTCTTTGCATATTGAAAATACTAACTCTTAGCTTATCATTTGCCACAAATATTTTCCACTTTATGATTCGGGTTTTTTTTTTCCCTTCTCTTCCTAAAGAATAAATTTTTATGTAGTCTAATACACTAATTTTTAATTATTATTTTCTCTATTGTTTCTAATAGCAGCAGCTACTTACAGATTTGAGTGCCCTGTAGGTGCCTGGCCCTTTATCTCTTACTCTCATAACACCTGCAAAGTGGGGATAATTTTCCTCACTTAAAAGATTCCAGTTTAGACACATCTGAGTCTAAAGCATGTGCTCCATCCACCTTAGCATGTAAAACTCCTCTTTCCAGATGTTTAATATTTACTTACATTTTCTTTAGACTCAGGGGGCATTTGTGATGATTTCATTATTATTTATGACATTTCCATATAAAAAAGTTTATTTCTGGGGTGCTGAATAAGTTCCATTGACCTGTATGGATATTTTACAGCCAGAACGATACTGTTTTAATGAATGTGGCTCTATAATATGTTTAAATATATTTGTCTCACCTCATTACTCATAAGTATTCTACCACGTTCACCCCAAAATGAGCATCTCCATAACATGCAGACATCACAGCCCGGAAGATGGCCTCTCTTTCCGTTCAAGGTACCCCTTCAGACCTTTCAGGATACTTTATGGTCTCCTCCACAGAGTGCACACTTGACTCTATAAGGTTGTGCCTACACGGTTCACTTGTTTTGCTGCAACCTGGTCAGAGCCAGTTTCTTGTTTAGGGTTTTTTTTTTTTTTTTTTGGCCATTTTAGGTTCTAGTAGGTTATTTCTGGTATTCAGAAAGCTATTAATTTTATACATATACTAATACATGGTCACTCCATCAATTTTTTTGTCTAATAATTTTTGTTATTGTTTTCATAGTCAATAGCATCTACAAATATTTCCCTTCATTTTAGAGCCTCACTTCACTCCTATCTCACATATTACCGCTTTGTCAAAACATACAAACCTTGTTAAATAATGTCCCAATTTTTAATTTGACTCTCTGATACTTTTAAGTATAGACAACTAGTTTAACATTTATGTGTACTTTTTGCATACCAAGTACCTTTTTATTGCTTTTATTTATCCCCACTTCTTAAAAATTAGAAACAAGGATTTGTGGGGGTTTTGTTTGTTTTGTGAGACAGTCTCCCTCTGTTGCCCAGGCTGGAGTGCAGTGGCATGATCTCCGCTCACTGCAAGCTCCACCTCCCGGGTTCACGCCATTCTCCTGCCTCAGCCTCCCGAGTAGCTGGGAATACGGGTGCCTGCCACCACGCCCAGCTAATTTTTTGTATTTTTAGTAGAGACAGGGTTTCACCGTGTTAGCCAGGATGGTCTCGGTCTCCTGACCTCATGATCCACCTGCCTCCCAAAGTGCTGGGATTACAGGTGTGAGCCACTGTGCATGGCCAGGATCTTTTTTTTTTTTAATCAAACATTGATTTGACCTTAGTGTAGCTGGTAACGTGAGGTCAATGTGAATTCCAAGGGAAAGCTCACGTCTCTTCCAGGCAGCCCTCTGAGATGGCCAACCTGGTCTCCCCACTTCTACTCTCCACCCCCAACACGCCCCCACATCTTGCATGCAACGACTAGAGTGGCTGTTTAAAGATACAAATCTGATTATGTCACTCCTCTTCGTAAATCCCAACCCATATCATGGTTTCCCATTTCACTCGGGATAAAATACAACCACTTTAACCTGCCCTACATGACCCTACTTGATCTGGCCCCTGGCCTAGCCACTCTTCCCCTTCACCTCCATAGTCTATCCACATTCATTCTTTCAGTTCCTGGAATGGGCAAAGCTTTTTCCCCACTTTGAGGCCTTCCCACATGCTGTTCCTCTGCCTGGAAAATTATCCCCCACTTTCCTCCACACTAACACCTACGCACTCTTCAAATCTCAGCTTAAATCTTATTTATACAGAAAAGTCTTTCCTAGGCCCCTTCTCTCCACTCTAAAATTTGGTCTCCCCTTTTTTATACTCCCTCATAGCAGGTGCTTCTTAACTTTCACAGCAGATACCAGTTTGTGATCATACGTGTAGTTGTGATTGTGTTTAAATTCCAATCCCCCTCACAAATCATAAGCTTCAAGAGAACAAAATAAGTTGATTTTGCTGGCCACACTACAGGCACTCATATATATCTGAAAGAAAGAAAAATACATAAAAAGCCCCTAATCGTATCTCATACATCTTAAAATGTTACCCATCACATCATTCAATCATTATTCAAATGATTAAAATATTAAATCTCAATATTAAAACTCTGATGCAGCCTGCAAATTTAGTAACAATCCCTTTTCCCTGAAGGACATAAAAGCTAATCTGAATCTGCTGCTGCCACAGAAAAATACATGTACAACTTACAACTCTAAGGAAATAAGCTTAAATATTATAGTGCGAGTATTGTCTAGTGTTCAGTTTGCTAATATGTTTATTCACAGTCAACTAATTTATATGCCTTATTTTTTAAGGTATGTAAAACCACTAGGGGCTGGGCACAGTGGCTCACACCTGTAATCCCAACACTTTGGGAGGACTGCTTTAGGCCAGGAGTTTGAGACCAGTTGGGGCAAGATAGTAAGAGCCTGTCATTACAAAAATAAAATAAATCAGCCAGGTGTGGTGGCACATGGTTGTAGTCATTCCTAACTACTGGGGAGGCTGAGGCACAAGGATCACTTGAGCCCAGGAGTCCCAGGCTGCAGTGAACTAGAATCATGCCACTACACTCCAGCCACGGCAACAGAAAGAGACCCTATCTCTCTCTCTTTTTTTTTTTTTTTAATGAAGAGGAAGAAAAGAAAGCCCTAGGAAAAAATGCTTTGCAAAATATTGTTAAGAAGACTAATGTATTGTCAGTACTTGATAAAAATTAATTTAAAAAGTCACAAATTAAAAAGCATTCAAAGTTGACTATCTGTAGTGCTCTGTGATATGATACACACACATCTGGTCAAAAAATATAAATGATATTGCAAATAATTTTTGGATCACAAAGGCTAATAAAACCAACCTTTATATATACTACTTTACATTCCACAACACATACGCACTGTATCACTGAACTCTATGGAGCAGACAGAGCAGGCCATTTACAGAAAAGAAAACCGAGGTTTGGTGTGATTCAATGTCCTCCCCAAGGTCACACAACTTCTAACTGCTAGAGTCAGAACTACCATAGGGGAGGGGTGGCTGCTTCCACATATCAATTTCTTAACCAAAAGAGAACTTCATCATAAATGCCGAATCTCGATAATTAGCGTAGATCTGTGCTCCTATCACCGAAATTTCATCTCATCAGAGAACCACCACCAGCAAAAAAGCTGTTTTAAAGTTAAAACTTAAACTGCTATCAATTTGGGAAATGGCTAAACCATGATATACTGAAACTATGGAACATGGTGCAGCAGTTGTTAAAAAATGACTTGAAGCATTACATGCTAACATTGAAAGTTACGGTGCAACAGTCCTTGTTAAAGCAGTCAAAAATGATGTTAAGTGCACACACGTAAAAGTACTCCAAAAGATCTAGAAGGATAAACACCACACACATAATAGTCGGCATCCCTGAAGACAGAGGTTGATAGTCAAAGACAAAATGCCATCTCTGTGATATGCTGTTTTTACAAAGAAAATGTACTACTCTGCTAATTTAGAATTAATTTTTAAATTTTTAATTAACCTGCGGGTTGAACAAGGTCAATTTCCTGCTCTAAAAAACTATGCGTCTATGAAGGAAATAGGAGCCCTCTCTAAATAAGAAGCCAAAATGCCTAAAAACCGTTCCAGCCTGTGAAAACAATAAACTGTAAATATCAGAAAACGTTCCTTGAAGAAGGCAATAGCTCAGAAATCTTTTTTCGGTATCTGGTCTCCTTTGTTGCAATAAGACAGCCCGTAAGCAATCTAGCAACCAGAACAGTTCAGTTCGGAGCAGGCTCCCGGGGAGATTTAGTTGTTAGAGTTCGGCAAGAAAGGTTTCACAAAGGAGCTGAGTTCTGGGGGAAATGAGAGGTGATGTGGCGGAGAGATGGATCCGGACGGGAAAATGTCTGGGAGGGGGTATACGGAGTTCATGAGAAGCCGGGGACAGTGAGAAAACTGCAGTCGAGTCCTGGAAGGGGTGAGAACGCCTGCGGAGGCGGGAGTCAGAGGGAAGTGGACAGCGCCGGCAGCCGGTTTACCTGGGTGAGAATCCGGCCCTTGTTGTGGTCAAACAATGGAGGCGTCCGGCGGCAGCAGCCTTCTGCGCTGGGTGCGCGAGGGGTTCCTCATCACCTGAGCGGGATGCTCGCCTCCTCTGCCGGACGCAGGGCGCCCTGAAAAACACACAGCACCCCATGCAGCCGGCTCCTCCGCAGCCGCCCGGCTCCCCGGTCCCCTGGCGCGGCCATGACCGCCTCTCCCGGGACCCGCCTGGAAGGGCTCCAAGACGCGGCTCCACGGGCGACGAGGGCGGCAGCGCTCCCCCTTCCCTCGGCTCCAACAACAATGGAGCCTGGCTCGGGAGTCCGGCTCCCGAGGGGCCTCGCCCGGCCTCGCCCTGCCCGCTGCCCAGCCCTCGCTCGCACCGGCCGCCATCTGCGCCCCCCGGCCCCGCTCCCCCGCACTGCGGGCCCGCGGCCGACCGCCCGAGGCCCGAGGGGCGGCTTCTCAGCCCGGGACCCGCCAGGCTGCGCGGAGCCGCTCTGACCTTCCCCGCCATCCCGAGGCCCATCCTCCGGGATGGGTTGTTTTTCTTTTCTTTAAGCCACTCCACCTCCTTCCCACCCCCAGCCCGCTCCCTGGCCCCCGGCCCCCGCCTCCCTCCGGGAAAGAAAGAAAGACTGCAGCCCGGCCGCCGAGAACTCACTCCAAGTGAGGGGAGTCAGCGCCCCAGGCCGCGGGCGCCGCGCACCCACCTCCCTCTCCTCAGGGACACCTCACAGGTGCGCCTCCGAGCCGCGCGCGCGCGCGCTCCGCACACCCAGACGCCTCCGGGGGACAGCGCGCGTGCGCACGCACGAGGCCGGGGAAGCCCCGGGGGAGCGGGGGCCGCACGCATGCGCGGCCACCCGGCCCGCGCCCCCACCGCCCGCCTCCGCCCCCGCCCCCCAGCCCCGGCCCGGTCGGGCCCGGCCATCCCCCACCCCAGCGCCCGGCGCGCGCGCTCCCGCTCGCCTCCCTCGCTCCTCCCCGCGCCCCCCCCTCCCTCGGGCCGCGTTACCCAGGGCAACCGCAGTGCGGCCGCACCTGAGCTGTGCGCCTGCGTCCCGCGGGCCCGACCCTCCCTTCCCCTCGGCCTTCGCCCCTGCCCCGCCACAGCCGGGCGGAAGGGGGCGTAGCCCCGCCTCGCCAAGTGAATATCGGCCCGCCGCCCCCGCCCAGCCCGGCAGACACAGGCCCGCCGCCGCGCCGGCGCCTAGCCCGCCGGGTCAGCGCGGCCAGGCCTCGCCGCCGGCCCCGCTCCCAGGGTGCACCGCGGCTAGCGCTGGGGTGGGAGCGGGCGAGATGCGCCGGGCGGGCGGTGCCCACTGACCTCCCTCGGCGGCCCGGCCCGGGCAGCGCCCGAGCCCAGGCAGCCCCGCCCGCCGCGCCCCGCCCAGCCCATGGGCCACGGGCCCCCACCGCCGCCCGCCGGGAGGACCGAGCCTAAGAGGGCAGCCGCCTGAAGGAACGCGACGGCGGCGCCCGCAGGTGAGGCGGGGCCCGGGGTGTGTCGAGTCCGGCCCCGCTCACCTGGCAGCGCCGGCGGGGGCGGAGGGGCCGGGCAGGGGCGGAGGGGCCGGGCAGGGACGGGAGTTCGTGGCGAAGACTTTAAAAACCCTCCCCGCCGGGAGACGGGGGACGGGGTCCTCCTGCCCCACCTCCGGGGCTTGGGAGCCACGTTAGCTCCCCCAGGGGCAGGGGTGGCCCCGGGCGAAGGCAACTCGGGAGACGGCGGAGTCGGGGAAAGAGGGTCCCTGAGGCTCGGCGACCCCCGCGCCCGCCCCCGCGGGGTCTGCCGGCCCTTTCTGGGGAGGGGGCTCCCCGGCCCGGGCTCCAGTCCAGGGTGCGGACCGGCCGCGGCGCGCGCCCACCCCAGTGCCAAGGGGGAGGAGAGGCCGGTCCCGGGGCGCTCCTGTCTGCCCCGGGGTGGGATCGCAGGGCGAGGGATCCGCATTGCAGGTGCACCAGGAGCGCCCCGGGGCCTAGCCCGGCTTTGTCTGGGATGCTGTGGGGAGGAGGCCGTCTGAATCCACATCGCCTTTTTAAATGCTTGTTACCACCCGGGGAACCTTAGAGACCCTCCCTGACAAGTTGTATCGCCTCCCGTCCTGGTAGCCTTTCCGTAAGTACACTACCTTGCCAGCCCCTTCCTGAAGCTTTGATGCGGCTTTAGTTTACTCTGAGTAACGATTTGCCTGTGATTCGTGAAACGGAGCAGAATGCACAAACGCAGCAGAGCTCCAGGCTTGGCTACTGGGCTGCCGTCTGCTACGGCGAGTGAGTTTCTCTAACTTAGGTTTTCATGCTGACCTGTATTGTTTCATTTCAAGTTTTGGTATTTAGCAGTACGATCTAGTCCACTAAGGAAAATTAGGCTGCCAGAGAGAAAATATAACCGCGCTCTGTAGCTTAGGTTGCAGTAGTCGGTTTTATAACAAAATGCAAGCTACCACGCTGTAATACTTTAACATATTACGCAGTTCCAGAAACCTGTAAGAGTATTAAAACTAGGATTGCCATTTTAAAACTTTTACGTTTGAAATTTATTTAAAGAGCATTGGTATTGATAAAACGACTTTTCTTTTTTTTTTTTTTTGCTCATCAAGAATTCCCATGCATTTTCTCGCTATTGCATTGTAAGGAAAAAGATGCTAACGTTTAAAGTGGCTTTTACCTCCAAAGATGTTTTGAAATGTATGTAATTCTTTTGGCTAACTGTTCATCTTATGTGAAATATGCTTGGAAGAAGGCTTTAAAACTCGTGATTATATATACGGGTATGCGTACATATCCATACACACCACTGAAAAATCTTAAAATAGTTTTGTTACTCCTCTGCGTATTATAATTACTCAGTAAATTTAGTTTAGGTACATTTAAGATCTAAAGTACAGGACAATTATTTGTGTGAGATTTTTACTGTGACACATTTTAAATACATCGGTCTAACAAATAGGGTTTTTTTGAAATTAGATATTTTTATTAACTCTTTAAAAAACGAATCATTCATCTTGGGTTTATAACTCTTTCATCTGCCATGTTGGATAAATTGCAAAATTGGATAAATTGATCTCAACTTATCCAATTATCTTTGGATAAATTGATCTCAACATAATTACCTAATTGGTAGGATGCCTTTGCAACGATACTAACGTTAATAAAATGTTGATGCTTTTAAAAAATACTTATGTTAAAAAAGCATTTTCTCGTATTTCTGGCAAGAAAAGTCATGGAACTTTTTTCCTTCTATCTGGAACAAGGTCAGCCATAAATAGTTTCTAATACATAGTGGGCACACATTTGGTAACTAAGATTAATTATATCTACTGAATTTACTGAATTCCATGTCCTTCAAGGGCAGTGACTAGGTGACTTTGTATCTTCACACACCAATGTTGCAGTAAATGTTTGAGTCAGATTGAAGTTTCATCCCGGCTAGGTAGGTGCTAACTTAATGACACCAGTTTCCACATCTTCAGCTTTGATGTTTCAACCTGCAGAAGGATTTGGGCACGGAAGTGGCTGTGTCCTAATTGTCTTCAAATATTTGAAGGTCTGTCATGCAGCAAGGGATTTCATTTATTTTGAGTAATTATTGAGTACAGAAAAACAGATTTCACTTCTATATGAAGGCAAAAGTTGTTTATGGTGAGAACTAGCGGTGGAAAGAAGGGGCTGCTCCTTCCCTAGGGGCTTTTGGGATCAGCTGGTTCCCCACTTGGCGTGAATGGCTATTAGGAGGTATCACAGAGGTATAGGAGGGTCTTTCTGAGAGGGACTCCTGGGTATTCCGATGGCAACTATATTCGAGGACTTCTGTACTTCCCTTTTAGCACTGTGGCTTTTGTTTTTTGTTTTCTTATGCTGGCTTCTAGAGTTGTGGACGTAGCAACATCCGCAGACACCTACATGAACCCTAGGAAGATTTTTTAGTAGATTAAAGACCCACCTGCTATCGAAGATGATTCTTAGTCGTGCTTTGCATTTGTATGGCACATTACAGGGAATAAAGCACTCTCGAATTCAATGTGTTTTAAAAGACTCTTTTTAATTATACATGATTTGTATTTCTTTCTTTAACTTTATTTTCTACAATAAACATTGAATCAAGAGGAAAATTACCCTTTTCTAGGAAGGCAAGCAGAAAAGACTTTTTTTAAAGCTGTTTTTAAAAAATGGGATGGTGCCAGTCATCCTTTGGAGAGCCAGCAAATTATGAAGGTGAATCGTTCTTTTACTTGGCTGAAAACATGTTTTAAAAGATACTGAATAAGGCCGGGGGCAGTGGCTCACTCCTGAGGCCGAGGCGGGCAGATCACGAGGTCAAGAGATCAAGACCATCCTGAGCAACATGGTGAAACCCCATCTCTACTAAAAATACAAAAATTAGCTGGTCGTGGTGGCGCAGTAGTCCCAGCTACTCGGGAGGCTGAGGCAGGAGAATCGCTTGAACCCAGGAGGCAGAGGTTGCAGTGAGCCCAGATCACGCCACTGCACTCCAGCCTGGCAACAGATGGAGACTCCGTCTCAAAAAAAAAAAAAAAAAAAAAAAAAACTGAATAAGAGATGATATAAGAGATGATTCTTGTGCTTGCTCCGCATTTTAGTTTGTTTATTTCATTACTCAAACATGACTCAAGTTTCACAGCAAAAAGTCCAGTCATATCCACCTACATTAAGTTGCATTGGATGTTTTTTCAGTATGTCTGCATGGTTTTTAAAATATGCTGGCAGCTGAAGGTAAAACAAAGCCAAGAAGTAGAATTACAGCAAGCCGAAAAGCTTAGGGGAATTGGAGCTTTGTGTTTGAAGAAGAAAGACATGTGCCCTATTTGTATGAAACCAATCTTGAGAATGATGGTTTTATCAGCAATGGGAATAAGGATTTATCTATTATAATAAAGATTCGGCTACTGAGTGTCAATCTAATACATGTATTAAGTGGGTCAATGAGGTGGGGACTCCAGTCTGTGGCTAAGAAGCAGAGCAGAGTTGCCTGTGAACACCAGAGTGCCCAATACACAAGGATTGAAGTGCAGCAAGTCAGTAATGAGGCCGATTGAGTTAAACCAAGATCTGACCTCTCCATTTTAGGAAGAAGAGGAAAAAACAATTCTGAATTAATGTTTGCATGGACTTAACTTTTTAAATGTCTTTTAAAGTAGTTACTCTCTCGTTCTCTAGCAGATGAGTTTGTTTCATGCTTTTAACTTTTTAAACGTCTTTTAAAATAGTTACTCTGTCTTGTTCTCTAGCAGATGAGTTTGTCTCATGCTTTTCACTTTTTAAATGTCTTTTAAAATAGTTACTCTCTCTCATTCTGTAGCAGATGAGTTTGTGTCATGCTTTTGTGTCTCTTACCCATTAGCTGACTTTGGGTGTGATAAGTGACTAAGACTCCTCAAACTTTGAACAAGGAATATACCATTTATTTATGCTGTATGCATGAAGGGAAAAGAGACGAATATCAAGTTTTTCTGGCCAACCAAGAAATAAAACTTTAAAAGTGTTTATTTTTTCAGGAAAAAAAATCACAGATACTACTTAAATATTATTACCAGGACAACAAATTAGCAAATAAGGCAAGTTAGAAAGCAGCATTTTCAAGGTTAAAGGTTGCACTTTAAAGCTTTAACCATGACTTCTGAAGGGATCACACAAACATCTTTAAAGACTTCTTTGTTAATCAGAAAACAGTTTACATGCAAATTTCCACACTGGAGAGCCGACCGAGATCAATACTTTCATGATTATTCCCAATTTACTGCTTTATCAGAAAGAACTTTACTACGAAGCAAGAAGTGTCTACTCTTCTGTGAAGGAGTAAGTTTTCTCCTTGTTTCTGAAATTCTTTATTCTAGCTGAATTCTCAAGACTGAGCAGTGAACTTCCATTGGTTAGCACCAAATAGAGCAAGCCTGAGTAAGCTGCTTATAAAAAGGGGAAAAAAACGACAGAAGAAAACTTTTAATAAATGGAATATGAGGCACATAATACTCTGCTTCTACAAATTTTCTTTTTGTTGCCTCTTTGGCAACACTTAAGATACTAAATTTAGGTCTGCATAAAATCCATTATCCTTTGCTCTTCAGATTTCCTCCCCAGTCCATTTCTAAATGCATCCTGTGCCCTTCTCATTTACTATGCAGGTAAGAGAGTTTATGAGAAGTCATTAAAGCCCATGTTCTTAGGTAACATTGTTTAAGCATTAAACACTACATGTAAATTGTCATTCTCAATATTATTACAATACTGTCTTTCTTAAAGTTGCACATTTTACCTAGAAATCCGTGGCATCATACTCTGAAAAGATCATCTTCGATATAATGCAGAGGACACGTAAAAACACTGGGTTCCCAAGAGAAAGTTCCATCTCTGTCATACATAGCATAATTATCTTAGGCTCTCCATATTTTTCTAATGATAAGTGAACGTAAGAGGTTAGGCTCGTGCCATACCTTAAACATTGAAGGAGGCTTTTTGTAACTCCTTTCTCTTCGGCTGTCACACACATCAACCCAGATGAAAGGCACTGCTAGTGTTTCTGCCTCGGTGGCTAGTAGCGTGGGAGAGCAGATACACTTTTTAAAAATAGCCAAATCTTGCACATTGATAAGAAAGATGGAGAAAGGTTGGAGTTTTTCGCTCAGTTTTGTGTTCCCATAGATAAGAACATAGCAGAAGTTATTAGGTTTGGCCTGTCATTTTCAAGGAAGGTCAGTATCTGATACTGAGTCATCTTTATCTTCTGGTTGAGTCCCTATGACAAGACCAGAACGTTCTAGTAGAATAGAGCAGCAGCTTTCTGGCATTAAGGTACTTGCTCATTGACATGCCCTATTGCTCTCGGGGGAGGAAGGATGTGTAATCCTCCTCAGCCTCTGCAATGTGATTTCAAGTGAGGAATTGCTTTCCATCAATAAAGCGGTCAAGTCAGTTTTTGACAAGTTTATTAGTACAGTAAGACTGTGGTATCAGGACCCAGTTCAGAGGTGAACAAAGCCAAACCATATTGTTTGAGGGCAAAGGCAGGTTTTTAGGGGAGAGACAAAATAAATATCCAAGTAGAAACAAAGCTAGACTTGAGACCTTGGAGATAGGTTGACAGCTGTCTATTTGGAGGTTCTTGTGTCTCATCCCTTTTTGCAGGATGGAACTCAGAGCTTTGGATGACGACTGGCTAATTCTAGAACACTGCACTGAATGTTACTCATTAGCAGGCTGTGGTTAGAGCAGAGTGCCTTTCCAAGTAGTCTCAGGATGCCAGCGGGACCTGCCTGTGCAGTGACCATCTTGAGTCTGAAATTTAAGTGGAAAGCAGCAAATTAGCCATTCCTGTGTTTAGAGGAAAACTGAGTTTAGTTAGAAGGTGTGAAGTCGTTGGGGCCAGCATGTTCCTACTGAAGAAACTGGGAATCCTCGGCAGGTTAGTAGCAAGCAGAACTTTAGAGTCCCTTGAAGGAAGGTTGAAGTGATGTTTGGACTGCTGAACTGCAGAGTGAACCTGGGAATGAGATGCACTGACACCCTCATCAGTGCTTTCCATCAGTGTGCAAGACTTAGCTATTTCTCAAAAGAACACAGCTTCCTCTCACATGGAATGTCCTACCATTGGGGATGTAACCAGAAGCCTCTGAAGCCTACTCAGTTTTTTAGGTGAAGATCCCAGATTTTTGTTTGTCACAACTCTCATGGTTACATTTATAGGTAGGGAATCCAGCCACTTCAGTCCAGTTTCTGAAAATTCCTGGCTAGGTTATTTTTCAGAGTTCCATTTGGACATTTTACCACCTCTTCTGATTGTGGACAAGACAGTGAAGGCATTGATGAATGTGTAGGGCTTTACAGCTTTATTTACAATCCAATCTGGAAATGATGGACTCCTGTTACAAATAGACACACTTAATGTACCAAATCTGGAAATAAAATATTTCAGAAGTCTTTTTGACAGTCATTGTGTTAGCCTTTGCATGCATCTTCTATACCCAGTGAAATTACTAAAGCATTCACATGAAAACCCATTTTTTCTCATTTGAATAAAACTAATGTGAATATGCTTATAAATGCCTGCCTCCCACCCTACAGCCCCATCCGTAGATAAGCTGCTCTCGTTGTCTTTATGGCTACTTCCCACAACATGAATGGACGGGTCAAACAACTCACACAGTGCTGATGAGCTACACTGGTAAATTTGGAGCATGCCACCCACATATGATTTTCCCTGGCATCCCTTCTTGTTGGTGTGTACCAGGCCATGGGACACTGGAGCAAGATGAAGGCACTTTGGAGCTACCAAGAGGCTCTCTGAAACCCTGACAGTCTTTAGAGTCCCTTCTACGATGTGGGGCCTGATCTAGGACAGGGACAGTGTGGGAAAGAGCCACCATAAGGGACTGTTCAGTCTGAGAAAGATGACTGACCATAGATAACCTTGACCGTGTTATTCACCAAAGGAAGTATATTTCCAAAACAGCCCAACATGGGTTACATGAGGGCCGTGAGAAATGTAAGCTCCTCCAAGAGCGTGCAGCCCTCACTGTTTTCACAATTGTCCATAGTCAAGACAGGAAAAAGTGAGAAAGAAAAGCAGGACTTCATACTCCAGTGAGAGCGATAAACTTTGACTTCTGGACAGAATATACAGAGGTCAAGATGAATCAAGATTCCTCTTTATTGAGAAGAGATTGCATCCCAAAGATCAATTTGCTTTTCTGTGAGTGGTTAGTCTTGTCTCCTCAGTTATACACAAGTGTTTATTGATAGACCTCACTATATCTCGATGCACACGTACAAGCACACACGTCATTCCAAACAGTATATTTAACTGGCAATATATTTAGCGATTTAAAATTGTAGTTTTCAAATGTTATCAAACATATCAGGTGTCCTAATACGTCAATTGATTTTACCATCATAATTTGAGCTTTAAGAACAAGTATTTAAAAAAAAGACCCAGTATTCAAAAAAAGACCCAGCAGCTCATCCGTGGGGATTGTCAGGTGACGAGATGTTTTTTCCATTTGAATTTTAATTTCTTTATCAGTTTTTAGGTAAATATAAATTATTAACTAATTGCCTCACTATTCTGCTGGTACAAAGGGAATTAGGAACTTTAGAAAACAAAATTTACATTAAAAAATAATGCAATTGTTATTTAAAATTGGCAGAAATGTGATATCTTGAAACATTATTCAGCTAATGGAAGTAGAGTGACTCTTGGTTGTCATAATATTGTCTGGAATTTTTAAAAAGCAATTTATAAAGATACTAGTTTCTTAAATTACAGCTCCCTGTAATTTGTATACTCAGGTTTAGATTCACCTACTCTGAAATCATGGTGGTAGGTAGTCATTGAGCTGTTCTGTAAGGCAAGTGTCAAGAATTTAGGAAGTTCCATTTAATTTAGCCTTTGTGAAAAAATTCTACTTTTTGTATGAATTGTGTGCCCCACCCCCACTCCCAAATATTAGCTCCACAAAGGCAGAATTTTTATCTCTTCTATTTGTTGGTGTGTTCTGAGTGTCCTCCACAGTGTCTGGCTCAAAGCTGCTTAAAGATGCTTCCTTTATGGAAAGAATGAACTGTAATAATTTATATCACCCCCCCATATAGAAGACATAACCTTCTCTTATACCCCCAAATTCACAAAAATAGATATGAAAGGATTTTCTTTAAAAGTACTAAGAACTTGAATAATTTATGTAGTCTTCTGTGTTATATTGGAATAGCCTCCTTGTTGTTAATACAGACACTTTTTTTAAAAAAAAGATAAATAACTTTTCAGTTTGTACCTGTTACGTTTAAACTTTATTTTTAAACTGCTTTTATAACCTGAGCAATTGTTTTTATTTTGGGAGAGACCTTTTCCAAGTAGAAAACCATTTTAAGATTTACCAGCGCAGCACTAATTACTTCAATTTCTGTAGTATATTTCTGCAAATTACAAAGTTCAAATTATGGCTCTTGTAAACAGGGTTTCCTGGTGACCATGGAACCTGTACTTTCATTTCTCCCGCCTGGAAAGCTTTCTTAAAGTGCTAGTATATATAAAATATTAGGAGTTTTGACATGATTTCATAAATTTATTGGGAGTCTAAAATTCTTGTAAAGTTTACGTATTTAGTGAAGTCCTTAAAAACAAAGCTCTTTGCATTGAAGAAATATTAAAGCCTTTAAACATCAAAGTTTCCTGGAGATTTCCTGCCTGCATTAGATAGAGTACTCCTGTGGAAACTGCACACCTAGCTCAGCTGCAATGTGTCCACTTAATTTCTGTGGAAATACGCAGCTTTATAACCATAACACTGGAGTCCCTATTGCATTCCAGATTTATCTTGCACTCACCCTCTTCACTTCTCAGGTCACTTTAGCGTTCATAGAAGAAAAGCAAAATCTCACATTATCAAGAAACAGGAAGAAAATTACTACATTCTTAGGCAATTTGGAGTTTATTTGCAATCCTTTTTCTTCCAAGCAAAAGAAAGCAAGGAAATGCTGATCCAGTGTTCCAGTCATTTTAGCTAAACAGGTTAAGTAGTCCCTTTCTGCACTCCTGCCTCGCTGAGCGTGTAAGATACAAGGAAGAAACTCACTCAGATAGGCTCCTATTGTCCCCTCACCTGCTGGTTGCCTTTTTCTCCAGAGTTAGCAGCTGTCTGGTACGGGAGGGATGCTGCATGTGGTGAGAGTTTGCCCTCCCAAAAGTGCCATACGCTGCGTTTACTAGCCATCCCAGAAACCCAGAGAGAGCAGGATAAACCTCAAGTCCAAAGAGGAGAAAAGGCCTGCCTTAAATTAGATTGACCCTAACCCTGGGGGTTTCTCAGCCAAAACTCTCTTGACCTTTGGGGCCAGATTGCCCTTGTTGTGGGGCTGTCCTGTGCGTTATGGTCTGTTTAGCAGCACCCCTGGCCCTGCCCACTAGATGCTGGTGGCACCCACCCACACGCTCATGACAGCCCAAAGCATCTCCAGACATCGCCAGATGCCCCCTGGGGGCACAGCTGTCCCAGCTGAGAACCACTGCTCCAACTTGATCAAACTCAAGATTCATCAGGAGAATGAGAACCCCGTGTTCTTTCATTAATTCCGACTGCTTACAGTTTGCCTCATATCAGAAAACTTACACGCTAATTCCATCTGTTCTTTAGATTTTTTAAAAAAAAACCTATATCTTGCATCAGCCATAAAACAATGACTGTAGATTCTCTGAGGGAAAAAAAAAACACCGTGTAGATGGTGTTCTCAGCAGGTGAGAGTCAGACTGCAGAAGCAGGCCAGCTCCTCTGTAAGACCCACATGAAGATTACTGTTGCCACTGCCAGATTATGTTATGTCTCACACAGAGTCGCCACCTTCCTCTCTCTACTCCCCATCCTGTTCCGCCTTCTGAATCGCAGCATCAATTGTTGACTTAAGCAGGCAAAAACTCAAACTACATTTGAATAAAGAATTTGTCAGTATCTGCATTTGTTTTAGTCTTCTGTATCAAGAGAGGAACCCCAAGCCCCTTATCCAGCTAACCAGAACACCTTAAAAGTGTTTGTCTTCAAAAAAGATATCACATGAAATTGTATTATTAATAAATTAGTAAATAAGGCAACCAATTTAAAAAGCAAACATTTAGAAGTTCAAAGCTGTATTTTAAAGGATTCAGCAACAATCTATAAAGCCCAGGTGTCTTAAAATACTTGTTTGGTAATAAAAACACAATTGTACATTTTTACATGTTTCCACACAGAATAGCAGAGTAAGCTTGTAGCTCTTTAAGAGAACTAGCTTTTTAACCCAGAATAGTATCTGTTTTTCTGCAGCTTTAGGAGAGAGGAAGCATTTTCTCTTATTCTGATTTTTTTTTTCCACAAGCAGCAGCATCAAGAATAAGCACTGGAATTATATTAGCATCTGGCACGAAAGAGTAGACCTGAGAAGCTTACAGCTTAAAATACGGGGAAAGAAAAGGGCAAAAGAGAATGTTTAGCAAATGGAATATTGGCCAAACGGTGTTCAGGCTGTGCGGGATATGCACTTTTATATTTTAGAGGGCTGCAGCATTTCGTCTTCTTTTAGGGACAGTATATTATCTAGTTGAGAGCATAGGCTTTGGAGTCAGACTGGTTTGGGATGACCCCACCTCTGCCACTTACTAGGTGTGACTTTAAGGAAGTCATTTAACCCTCCAAGCTTATTTGCCAACGTGTGAACTGAGGATAAGAATATCTGCTCCTTAGAGTGTTGATCAAGTACGTAGCATGGCGCCTGGCACTGAGCCCTCAGTAAAAGGTGATTCCATGTTGATTCTTCTCCTCTGAAGCTAAAGGCTGTGTCGCTACTGCAGTTTCTGTCTGCTTCACCCTGCATCGTCCCTGCCGGACTAAACTCCCTTAAGTGGCGATTTTGCCTCTATTGAGTAAAAACTTAGCTTTTCCCCATTGCTTATCTTTTCCATCTCGACTTTTCTGAGCAACTTTTAATATACAACTTAAATCTGACACTAGCTTTTCTATCTAACCTTATTTTCCACCATTCCCCAGAATCATCTTTCCATATCAGATAGTTTAATGGTCTCATGTTCCTTCTAAAACTTAATTCATATTTACTTCACCAGAAATGCTTCCTCCTGTCCCAACTCTGCCCATCCTTTGAGGCTCAGTTTAATTCCAACCTCTTCAGAGTAAAACCTTTTTCACTCCAGTCCTTATTCACTCATTTATTAGGTACCTCCATGTGTCTGGCAACAGATAGGTACCAGGAATGCTACAATAATTGAGGCCGGCCCCTGTCTTCCAGGATTTATGCAGCCTGATGCAGGAGAGACAGGTAGATAAGAGAAGAGCTGCCAGTGCTAGGATGGGCAGCCCTTCACCCTTCATGGACAGCCTTCCCCTGGCTCCTGTACTTGGCGGATGCCTCATGAGGATTTAATTATACATTGTTTTCTTTGTACTTTAGTTGCTGAGTCTCATATCCCCAAGTAAATTGTAAGCATAGGACTGAGTACACAGTGAGCACTTTAGAAACATATGCTGGCTTGATCTTTCACCTCCAGATGCATATTTAAAAGGAGAATCGATTGCCTGGCCTATTGTAAAGGCCTTGTAAACTTTAAAAAGCAAATTAAAAAACAAAATCAATGATGACGTTAAGCTCTTGGGGATCCCCATAACGTCCTGGTGATTAGAGTGGCTAGGCGACTAGGCTTTGGAATTCATGGGACAGTGCACTTTTAAATTTGGCAGTTCTAAAATGAAAATAAAGAATTGTCCTTTGACTCTAATAAAGTTAGCTTAATGGAAAACTCACTGCATTGTCCTCGTTTTTCTCACTGTGTCACAGACCAAGAAAAGCGTCATCCAAGCTCATGACAGGTGTTCCCTGAATTTCTGAGCTGCTGAGTGCCACTGAGGAGCTCAGAAAGCATGATCTGAATCGTGAGCTTACATGCGACACGGCCACATCTCAGCTTCAATGCCATGTCACAGGCTCAGCATTGACAGTTCACATACTTGGCTCATAAGATAAATTTCCAGGTGTCAGTAAGCTGCACCAGAGAAGATACTGTATGTCACAAACTCCAGGAAGTCCTGAGCAAGCCCACATTTTCCTTTCCACAGAAATGAACATTTTTAGGTGGCTTGATAATTTTTTACTCTTTTTATTTGCGAGCTTTCCCATTACGGCAATCAGAGACATTTTTCCAAGCCCTCTGATGCTCACTAATACAAGATACAGCATAGTACCTAATGATGGGGTTGGGGAGGGTGCTGAGTGAGATCACCACTAATGTGCAACTCCTAGAAAGAAGCCTTTCTTAAAGGGCCAGCCCAGGTTTCCAGAAGCACCATTATTGTAGGTGGCTGGGAAATAGCAGGGAACAAGACAGAAAAGTCCTTGTTCTCCTGGAGTTTACATGCTAGTAAGGTAAGAAAGATAAATAAGCGACCTACCTTTAGATAGTGATAAATGCTACGAAGACATAAAATGGCATGATGATGATGGCAGTTGAAAAAAATTGTTAAATTATTCCAGCAGTACAAGGTGAGCACTGGCCACGGCAGGTCCCATGACAGTTTATCTGGGAGCAAATGAAACCTGTTTGGATGACTCTCCATATTGAAGCAATGATAGTAAACACATAGCTCTAGCCATGGTTCTAAATGCTTTAGATCTGTGCTGCCCAACATGGTAGACACTAGCCTCATGGGGACAGTACATTTTAATTCCAACAAAAAATGAAAAATTTCTCAGACACATGAGCCACATTTCAGGTGTTCAATAGCTACATGTGGCCGCAACAGCTACAGAAGAGTGTGGTCACATCTCTGAGCCTCAGTTCTTTAAAAACAGCATAATCATACCTATCTTGCTGATTGTTTCAAGAATTAAGTGATCATCTATAAGCCTGGCACCTAAGGCCGCATGCGGTGGCTCACACCTGTAATCCCAGCACTTTGAGAGGCCAAGGCGGGCAGATCAGTTGAGGTCAGGAGTTTGAAACCAGCCTGGCCAACATGGTGAAACCTTGTCTCTACTAAAAATACAAAAATGAGCCGGGCGTGGTGGTGCACACTGGTAGTCCCAGCTACTCAGGAGACTGAGGCAGGAGAATCGCTTAAACCCAGGAGGTCGAGGTTGCGATTGCACCACTGCACTCCAGCCTGGTCAACAAAGTGAGACTCCATCTCAAAAAAAAAAGCAAGCCTGGCAGTCAGACATTTGGTGTGGCTGCTTTATTGGACAACAGAGAATAGAATATTTACATCATCACAGAAAGTTCCATTGGACAGCATCTGTTCAGATAAACTCAATCTTCCCCCACATCCTAATGAGGTGTAGATACTGCTTTTCCATTTTGCAGATGAGGAAGTAAGGCACGGGAGTTACGTGTGACTTGCCCAAGGCTGCATCCTTAACGAAGGGCAGAACTGGAATGCAAACCGTGGAGGTCTGGATCCAGAGCCTGGGGGTTAATCCTACCCTGCTATGCCGCTATAGCTCGCGGATCCAGTACAGCTCATCTGTGTGATCCACTTTCAACCAGAGTGCAACCGAGGGAGAGAACATTACCTCTTCAGAAAATCTTGTCATTGAATGCTTTTAAAGTCAGCTAACATGAATTCTGACGAGAGGATCAGGAAAAATGTAGGCCTGTCATAGGCACAATTTCCCCCTCCTTGAAAAGGGCAGAGGAAACTACAAAGCACCAAAAAAATACCAAGTTTATGTATGATCTCAATAAGGCAGATTAAGCTCTCTACGCCTCAGTTCCCCTATCCTAGAGCGGTGTGAGGATGTAATGAGGCAAGGCCTGGAAAGCCTCAGCGGGACCTGCCACAGTCAGTGACGCCAGGGAGGTCAGCAGCAGCATTACCACTGCACTCAAGCGGCCACACTTGGGCCAAACGTTCCAGAATGCACAGGACACAGCAGAACAGACCACTTATGTGAGGAGGCAGCTCGTCCTTCTCTCCCAGAGCTGCCATGAGAGTCTGTGGTTCCAAACAGCCTGAGTTTGAAATTGGAGAGCACTTCAGGAAGGCACGAGGCAGAGGAGGTGGCAGCCTTTGGAAAGAATCTGCATTTGGCTCATGCATTTAGGATTTGCAAGTTTAGTTAAGTGTCTTCACTCATCTGAGCCTCCATTCTTTAAAAAATGGGTTTAATTGGCCGGGCGTGGTGGCTCATGCCTGTAATCCCAGCACTTTGGGAGGCCGAGGCAGGAGGATCACCTGAGGTCGGGAGTTTGAAACCAGCCTGACCAACATGGAGAAACCCCGTCTCTACTAAAAATACAAAATTAGCCGGGCATGGTATTGCATGCCTGTCATCCCTGCTACTCTGGAGGCTGAAGCAGGAGAATCGCTTGAACTCGAGAGGCAGAGGTTGTGGTGAGCTGAGATCACGCCGTTGCACTCCAGCCTGGGCAACAAGAGTGAAACTCTGTCTCTAAAATAAAATAAAATAAAAAATGAGTATAATCATACCTACCTTGCATGATTGTTTTCAGAATTAAGTAATAGGCCGAGAGTGGTGGTTCACATCTGTAATCCCAGCACTTTCAGAGGCCGAGGTGGGCAGATCACTTGAGGTCAGGAATTCGAGACCAGCCATGGCGAAACTCCGTGTCTACTAAAAATACAAAAATTAGCCAGGTGTGGTGGTGCATGCCTGTAATCCCAGCTACTCGGGGCTGAGGCACAAGAATCACTTGAACGTGGGAGGTGGAGGTTGCAGTGAGCCAAGATCACACCATTGCACTCCAGCCTGGGCGACAAAGCGAGACCCCCCCATCTCAAAAAAAAAAAAAAAAAAAAAAAAGAAGGAAAAAAAAAGAATTAAGTGATCATCCGTAAGCCTGGTGCATAGAAATTTGGTAAATAATGGTCATAATTACTATTTTGATTAATGATTTTCAGCTTCTCATTAACAAATGTCCTTGAGTATTTTCTTGCCCAGATGCCTTAGACCCAGGGAATGTGTTAGGACAGTTATCCTCAAACATGATTGCTGTTACCACCCTTTACAGTGCAGTGATCACACCCTTGAGAAGCCAGGCAGAACCAACTGAAAGGCATCGTGGGGCGTGCACATAGCAGCTGCTTGCAAAGATGGAAGCTGCCTCACACTCCCCCACAACCAGCAAGGGCAGTGGCTGCCAGGTATGACCTCAGGTGACCATCCTGTGCATTCTGAAAACTGGGAAGTCAAACTCTCCAGGCTCCTGACTGGCCAGTAGGCTTCACCAGAGCTGGATCAACCAGAAGAAGCTGAAACATCCAACCTAAGAATTTCGAACTTCAAATGGAAAATCTGGGCACTCTAAACCAAAATTGCTAAGTTCCAAAAATGTTGGATACATCGGGTGCTTATTTGTAAAAGTATCTAAATGAAAGTGGGCCCTTAAAGAGTGTGTCATGAACCAAGGATTATAATTAACCCCATTATGGGGGCACAAGGTCAAATATAAGAGGAAAAAACAAAGTCAGTTGTACAAATGGAAAAAGTGCAAATGAAAAATGATGACCTTTAACAAGGCAAGGACAGTAAGAATAAGAAAATACTGGATTGCCTCTCATTCTCTGAAAAATCCTAATGAATATCAGATGTAGTGATTTTCTACCTTCCCCAATTTATTTCACTCTCCTCCCACAGCTGATAAATAATCTATGAAATACAGTTGTCCTGCCCCTTATTTTACTTGTCATTATTTGTTTTCATTTATTTTGACTGGGTTAATGCACTAATGGCTCATTTATCTACGATGATCAAAATTTGGTTGCAAAGACAGCCCTAAAGTAACACCTATTTGCCTTCTACCGTTCTCTCACTGGTCTCTGGATGTTAGAATTGCTGGTGCATTTTAAACAACAGACATTCTTAATGGATAGCTGTTTTGTGGGAAGCTTTTCCCTTCCCCTGGAACTTAATGCGTGATTTCCCAGAGAGCTGAAACATACGATTCTGGGAATTCTCTTGTTCCCTGACATAATAAAGAGTGATTGTGAGTGGGAAGAACTTTATGGGGGTCAGTCATAAATGCCGTCAGTAAGCGTGCCTCACCTATTCTACGCAGCACAGGAAGTTTGCGGAGAGGACGCTTGAACTGAATAATCCACGCTGGAGCTCTCAGATCACTAGATGGAAAGTCAGAGGTCAAACACCCTTACATGGACGTGCTGAAGCCATCAAAAAACAAAACAGAAAAAAACCTCTAGGAAATGATCTAGGAAAATGGTAAATGCCCTCTTAAAAATATAAGTTTATCTTTTAAAAATATTGGTACTTAGGCTGTGTTATTCCAAATAAATAAATGTTCAATAACAACAAATATCTGATTATTGATCACCAGAAGGTATGTAAGTACTAAAATTAAATGCCTGGTCATGGTGACTTTATTTACTGAAGTGACTGTTGTTGGACTATTTTAATAATTTCAAAGATCTCTAATGTCCTCCCTGTCTCAACTCATTGGAAGGAATCAGTGTGGGCCCCTTTCATAGACGGGCAAGTTGGAAGAGTTGGCTTGCTTTTGCTTGATGCATAGCTAAATTCTTACACTGTCCAAGATGACATGGCTGGGACTGGGCAGAGCTCTTTCTACCACATCACAAGGATAACGTCTCTTTATAAGTGGCAGTCATCTTCTCTGATGCCTGTTATAGGTAATGAAACCATGGACTCTTTTACTTTTTGTAAGTAATAAAGGAAAAATATGGCTAAATTAAAGTGGATAGAGCCAGGTAAGGGGTCTGGCATTTATAATCCCAGCTACATAGGAGGCTGAAGCAGGAGGATCACTTGAGGCCAGGAGTTTGAGTCAAGCCTGGGCAACATAGAGAAACCCTGTCTCCCCCCCACCAAAAAAAAAGGTGTATAGAGCTTCAATTACTAAATACCTTTCTTTCCTTAAAACCTGTACTATAATTAGGCAGACCCACAAATGGATAAAAGAAGGCCTATCAGTTAAGTCAGGTGAATTGGTCCATCTGTTTGGCAAACCATAGAGACTGAGATTTTTAAAGCAAGGGAACACATCTCCTTGGCCTAGGACCTTGGTTTAGATTGTGGTCATCAAGCGCTAAGATTAAGTATTTCCTATTTCATTAGGATGAATGATGATTTGGCATTTGGGATCACTGTATCTTTTAGTTATCAACTAGTAGACAATTAAAATTGGCAGTAATCTCAATCTGAGGTGGAAATGGAAAGACCAGTTGGATATGAACTGCTTACTTCCCCTTCCATTAAAGGAAAGTATCACTAGCTAGAACTGTTTGTGTAGTAACTTAGGAGATATTTGTGTCCTTAAATTGTTGGCTCAGGATCATCTTGGTAAATGACAAGCTTGTTAGAAGTGTACCAGTGACATTTCTACTAAGTTGAAAATGATACTAGCTCTAGCTCTTGAAACAAGGCTATTTGGGTGATCCCCAGAGGGCAGTCATACTGGGGGCTGCTGAGAAAGGGCAGGAGGAGGATGCACGGAGGGCAGGAAGGGCCTGAGCAGCACCTCCATGGCCCCATCGGTCACCTCCTCCCCCAGAAGCAACTTCTCCCTGAGCCTGTGTCTTTGGAATAGAAAGTGCAGAGTTGACACTGTATGGGCATCGCCCCTCCAGCTCTGAGGGTCCGGAGATGGAATGCTGGTGCTCCCTCCTCCTGGGGTGGGGTCTGCCGCCCGCTGGCCTCCTGGCGGTTAGGAACCCAAACTTCCATGAGGCCCAGGACACTCCCAGAAGGCACCACACGACACAGATGGTAGGAGCACATGTATTTGCCTATCTTGGCCTGCACAGGCCAGTTAAAAGACACCCGTGGGCAACCGGAAATATAGACTTGCTTTCTTCATGAGGCATTTTCACACAGAAAAGCCAAGCCCTCATCAGTGTACAGACCCGTGACATGGTTTTTAAATAGAAGCCAAATAGAAACTCTTAAAGTATGAGATAATCGGAGTGCAGAGAAACCCAGTTAATAAGTCCATCATGTAGGCCTCCAGTGACTGCAGCCTTCCCAGACAGGCTGCGTACCCTCTTTCCATGTGTAATTGTCAGGCTCTCTAATCACATCCATTACGACTTTAATGTTAGGCTGCACGTTCTTTCAGAAGGAAATGGCTGTCAATGTCTAAAGAATTGTCGATGAGCCTTAATAAAATAAAATACATATGAAGGATAATGTCAGAGAATGACAGGAATGTATAATGCATGGTGGGAGGCACCTAAGTTCTCATCATTGTCATTTTCTGCATATCTTTGGGACACGAAATTGTTACATTTGTAACAACTACCTTCCCATTAATTATTCTTGGTGATGGTAAACCAATCACAATTTTAGCAATCCAAGATTACCCTGGAACAATATTATTAAAACATATGATACTACTTTGTTAGTGGATATTTAGTGATTATCTTTTTTAAGAGAAAACTTTATTTTTTCTGACTATATGTTCATCATTAAAGAAGCTTTAGATAGTACTAAAATAGAACTTTTAAAAGGTAAAAATCACCGAGTCCACCATCTAGAGACAAATGTTTATTTGTTTGTTTGTTTGTTTATTTGAGATGGAGTTTCCCTCTTGTTGCCCAGGCTGGAGTGCAGTGGCGAGATCTCGGCTCACTGCAACCTCCGCCTCCTGGGTTCAAGCGATTCTCTTGCCTCAGTCACCCTAGTAGCTGGGATTACAGGCGGATGCCACGACACCTGGCTAATTTTTGTTTTTGTTTTTGTTTTTGTTTTTGAGACGGAGTCTTGCTCTGTCGCCCAGGCCGGAGTGCAGTGGCATGATCTCAGCTCACTGCAACCTCCTCCTCTCAGGTTCAAGCAAGTCTCCTGCCTCAGCCTCCCGAGTAGCTAGGACCGCAGGCGTGTGCCACCACGCCCAGCTAATTTTTTGTATTTTTAGTATAGACAGAGTTTCACCATGTTAGCCAGGATGGTTTCCATCTCCTGACCTCGTGATCTACCAGCCTTGGCCTCCCAAAGTGCTGGGATTACAGGCATGAGCCACTGTGCCTGGCTGAGACAAATGTTTTAACACTTTGGTGTATATCCTTCTACACATATCAAAAATGTGATAATATACATACAATTTTTAACATACTGTTTACAAACTTAACCTATCATAGACATATTACCTTGTCGGTAAATATAGATCTACACTATTTTAAATTATTGCATACTTTAGATGTGCCATGCTAGCCCCTTGACAGACGTTGAGATTATTTTGTGTGGTGATTATCTTGCAAAAAATGACTTTTTTTTTTTTTTTTGGTTGCTACTGGAGTTTTCTTTCCTCTTCTAGCTTTTAGAGATGTGCCTATTAAAAGATGTCTGCTGCTTAGCCAGGAATAGGGGAACCCACAAAACATCCCCATCCAAAGTTTCCGCATTTGGATGAGTCCAAATTTAGTTCAGTTACCACTTTATCACAATAAGCCAGACACACTGCAAAATGTTTTATACAAAAAATCTCATTTTACCCTCCCAGTCACTGTATCATGTAGGTTTGATTATTTCTCATGTTGTAGAAGAGAAAGGTGAGGACTCAGAGAGGTTGCAACTCGGATATGGCAGGGTCAGAATTGGAACCCACGATTCTGACTCTTGTGCTAAGCTCTCAACCTCACCTGTTTTTGCTAGATTAAAAAAGCCTAATTCTTTAAGAATGACTAACCAACAAGATGTTTTATCTTTTTAAAACATAATTGCACCTTTGCCTTCTACTTTTTGCTTCCACTTTGTAATCGTGTTTACTCTTTTTACCAAAATATTCCTGGAGTCATTGTTGAGTACTTACCTTTCCTTGAAATGTTGTCCGTTTTTATTGCTACTTTAACTTTTAGAGATTTTCAGCTCACTTACTAATTGAATTTCTTAGATACATGTACAAGTAGGAATAATAGGGTCCTACCATGCAAAACTATTTATCCAGTTCATTGTGAATTCAGAGTAACATCAGTATTCATTTTCAGAGATGGTGAGTGTCCTTTCTTAAAAGCAGGTATTTGGAATTGAGAGTTGATGGCCTAATTAGCCATGGACCATTTTTTAGCCTCGTGAAGTACTATAGATGGTTTCAAAGGGAGAAGCAGGCTTTCCTGTCCCTCAGGGCTCCTTGCTCTGCCTGCCTCTCTAGTTGCCTCCCCCAGTGGCTCTTCTCCAGTGAAAATGGAGGATAGAGGTCCCAGAAAATGCTTCTATTTGCTTTTATCCTTCCCTCTTTGGAAGTAATTGGAATTTCTTTGCTAGCTCATTTCCGTACTTAGATAATATTCAGGAAATGCCCTAGTTGGCTAAGTAAATAATCTTGAGGTATATTTATAGAAGTATTGACCAATGTTTACATAAAAATAATATAGCTAACATTCATTGAGCACTACTCTATGCCAGGCCCGTCCTGGTTGCTTTTAGCACTTAAAGCCACCCCATGAGTTAGACATCACAATGACTTAGGTGACAAGATAGGGTTCAGATACAGCCCCAAGTACGGTCTGATATCTCAAGAGTTTGTCCACTCCAGTCTCTTTTGTCCCATTGTGTTAAGCAGATCTTCTTTGGGCCTTAGTTTCTTAATCTTGAAACAAAGGGGTGTTGGATGCCTGATGTTGAAGATTTCTTCTACCCTCAATGTTTTCTGACTCCATGAATCTACTTAGAAAACCACCTCACTGCTAGGAATCATTTTATCCTCCTGTTACATTTAATCACTGCAATTGCTGCCTTTGTTCTCTGGCCAGCCTTCATTTTCTTGATGGCAACGCTTAAGCTATAGTACACCAGAGCGGTACAGAAAGTGCCCACAGAAAAGCCCCCAGAGGTCCTTGTGCACAAACGTGGAGACACTGTGCCCTGTTAAGGGCCAGGCAGTGCTGCCAGGTCAGGGCCTTTCAAAAGTGCACAGAGAGGGCAGCAGGGCTCCCGTTGTTCATGGTAGGAGAGAACCAAATGTGAATGGGTCATAACTTATTCATGACTAGAATCTAAAAGAGCTTGTTATAACTCATTCACAGCTACCACCTGAGTGCTAGTGTGCTATTTTTTTTAGATTCTAAAATTATTACCCTGTTTCCACAGGCTTTGTGTTCAACTAAAAGATAACGTTTGTTCTTGATTGCTCAGAAACAATCTCCCATTTTTAAATGGTGAGACCCTTTCCTACCGAAGATATTCCATTTCTTTTTGTCCAAGAAATTGGTCTCAGGAATACGTTGGAATATTGCTTCTGGAATATTGAGAAATGATGGGGTGAGGTCATGTTCAGATTCATGCTGCTGAGGTGCTTTTTGACGAACGCAGTGTAGTTCTGGTTTAGATCTCCACTCGGTGCCATTATGAAGCGGTAGGAAATGATCTGCAGCACGTATGTAATGCGTGAGTTCAGATGTGCAGGAAGAATGGAAGTTAATGAGGCGGGGGCAGGGGATGGTTTGCCATGGGAGTTCTAGACAGAGGGAACAAGGTGTGCAAAGGCCCCGTGTTGGAGGGGTCTGGGCCATGCCAGGGGCTAGAGGACCCGAGTGTTGACAAGCACACCAGCCCCGAGGGGACCCAGGGGGATGCCGCTGGGGAGGGCAGGCTGACCAAGCAGGGCCTCTGGAGCAGTGGGGCTTGGTCCCAAGAAAGTCAGAGAGATGCAAGGTGATCAGAAATGTGCTTGACCATGAAAACTTGTGCCAAGGAGGATGTGCACACAGGAGAGACACTAAAGGAAAAGGCATATTTTTAAAAGGGGGAAGATAAGTCTGGCCTTGGTTCCTCCCACGGGTAACATCAGAGCTGTTTTTGGCAGCCAAGTGCTGCTTTTTCCCAGGAATAGCCTATTGCTAACTTGGCCCCCAGAGGACTCCTATCAGCCTGGCCTTGCAGGGGAAGAGAGTGAGTCTGCCCCTGGCCCTGGGACCGAGCACCTGCTGGGATCCCAGGGACCAGGACGCACATGCTACATAGTGGAATACCTTGTGCTTTCTTCCTAAGCTAGTCTTGCTGCTTTGTTAAGGCCCCAGAAAGCCCCACCCTCACCCAGCTTCCTAGGAACCTTTGCTGGTATTACGAGCAAGAGTCATTAGTGAGTCTTTTTGCCGTATTGGGTGGTCGGCAGTGCCTTTACAGCTGTGTGATTTTCTAACGTGGACCCTCGAGAGCCAGTGGATCCAGCCTCCGTGCGAGCAGTGCTGTTCTGACGGCCTGGCCCTGTGCTCTGGACTCTGGAGGAACGCTGCTTTCCCTTCCGGGCCAAAAGGCTACTTCAGTGGGCTGTGTTTGCGTTTCCTCTGCAGTTTCAAAGTATTAGAGACTTGATGTGCACAACTTGGAAAACATCTGAATTTCTGCATGAAATTAAATCTGCCCCAGACGTCAGGATTGTCACCACATCACCTGCGGGCTAGGAGAAGCGGCAAGGCTTAGATGCATTTATTGGTTTATGTTCTCTCTTTTCATGGGATAGTGTCCTCTTTTCCCCAGAGGCGGGTTGCAAGAGCAAATGATGTAAGTAACGTGAAAGAACACTGTGCTCGGGCAAGTCAGGTGGTCCATGGATAGAATTATGTCGTCATGTTACATTAATGCCCTGAGAGGAAGGGATAGCACTTTGGAATGAAGATGGAATTCGGCTTGAGCTGTTGATAGGGCCCCTTGTCTTCACGCTGCTGGAGAGCATACTCGGCGAGGCCGGGCCTTCCTCAGACACGTTGACACTAGGAAATGACGGCAGTGCGCTTCCCCATCCAGGAAGCTGTCTTGCCACGTCTTCAGAGCCTATCTCTATAGGATTTGGAATGAAAAGCCTTTTTTGAGTATTAACTTTCTGAACAAGTAGAGTGAACAGTAAATTAATTTACCTAGTGGATTTGCCATAGGAAAAACTGTACGTGTGGCTTAACCTTTGAGCCCTGATCAAGGTAACCTATTCAGCAGGACTTTGACCCTCGAGGTACCCATTTGCATTGCTTCTGCTGGCGTTCTGTGGGGAGAAAAACTAGCAGAGCTGTGCAAAGTCACCTGGGTGGGGCTGGCCCTCTGGCAGCCGTGACCAGGCCCTGAAGTGATAGTCAGTTGGAGCCCCATTTTCTGCAGCTGTGGGCAGCATCTCCAAGGAGGGAAGAAGACCAATGTCCTGGCCTTGCCGCCTTTGGTTGAGCAAATACTGTAAGATTGCGGATGGCTCTCAGCAACGCTTAGGAACAAAATTGGATTTGCCTCAGGACGGACTGCTGCAGTACAAAGAGCACACAATTTGTAGCGTATGCCCTTTTGACACAGAAAGTGCAAGCGTTTTGCCAAACGGGCTGGATGAGCTGCCCTCCATTCCTGGCTGACACACAGCTAAGATGGGGTGAGTGCCCTTACTCAGCAGGCGGCGTTATTCATCTGCAGCAGACGCCCTGCCTTTCTCCTTTCATCTGCCACGCTGACCCTTTTAGGGATCTGTCTTGAATGCTCCTTCATGTTTCTAAAGCATCTCTGATACTGAATTAAGCCTCTTGGGACCAACTCCATTTCTCCCTCTGAATTATGTGCATCTCCCGGCTGGGTCTCCTCAGCCTAAACAGGATGCCTCGGTGGCTTCAGTCATGTCACAGTACTGGGAGCATGACATCATCACAATGATTACCTCTCTTCAGTAGTGAAGGATCGCAATGGAAAACACCACTGTCTTTTCAGCCGTGAAAACTCTTTTGCCCTCAGAAAGCCAGTGATATTGTTACTCTTTTGAGCTGATGAGAAAATAATTGAGTAATCTGGATGCCATTTGGAGATGTGTTTTGTTTCCCTGGCCCCAAGTGGACCTGCCTTATTCAGGAATATCCTAACAGCTGTAGAATGCCCTGCACAGATGGCGTCTCCATGTCAGGGCCTTTTCAGTCAGCACAGAGTGTGGAAGAAGGGGAGAGCGACAGTCAGTGAAATGCCCCAGGCCAGGAGACCCTTGTCCCCCACTGTGAGGGCTCCGAGTGGCTCACCAGCGCTCACTGTGGAGCTCTGCGCGTTACATGGTCACACTCTCCCTGCTCGCCTGCCGTTTCTTCTCCAGGCTGTCTGCCCATTATAATGGGACGCTTTAAGGACGCTTTTGTATTTCTGCAGTTAACAGAGTGGATTAATGACACACAGCGTTGTTATAATTCAAAGTTGCTGATTGACCAAGGCAGTTAGAGTATGAATACTTACTAAATCATATTTAAATTTGTTACAAATGAAATGTAATACCACACTATGATAGAGATGGCTGCTGATAACATTTGTACTCCATTCCCCTCTGCCCCCGTGGGAGAGCGTAGAAGAAAATACTGACATCTACATATAGGCACATCCCATTTTGTGCCATCATGGCGGGTGAGGTGGTCATCTCATTTCGGGATGTTTTAGTATATCCCGTTTTCTTTGAGCAAGGTGTGCCTGTAAAGGAAGTGTGTCCGGAATTGGTGGGTTCTTGGTCTCACTGACTTCAAGAATGAAGCCGCAGACCCTCGCCGTGAGTGTTACAGCTCTTAAGGTGGCGCATCTGGAGTTTGTTCCTTCTGATGTTCGGATGTGTTCGGAGTTTCTTCCTTCTGGTGGGTTCGCGGTCTCACTGGCTCAGGAGTGAAGCTGCAGACCTTCGCAGTGAGTGTTACAGCTCATAAAAGCAGCGTGGACACAAAGAGTGAGCAGTAGCAAGATTTATTGCAAAGAGCGAAAGAACAAAGCTTCCACAGTGTGGAAGGGGACCCGAGCGGGTTGCCACTGCTGGCTCGGGCAGCCTGCTTTTATTTTCTTATCTGGCCCCACCCACATCCTGCTAATTGGTAGAGCCCAGTGGCCTGTTTTGACAGGGTGCTGATTGGTGTGTTTACAATCCCTGAGCTAGACACAAAGGTTCACCACCTCCCCATCAGATTAGTTAGATACAGAGTATCCACACAAAGGTTCTCCAAGGCCCCACCAGAGTAGCTAGATACAGAGTGTCGATTGGTGCATTCACAAACCCTGAGCTAGACACAGGGTGCTGATTGGTGTGTTTACAAACCTTGAGCTAGATACAGAGTGCCAATTGGTGTATTTACAATCCCTGAGCTAGACATAAAGGTTCCCCACGTCCCCACCAGACTCAGGAGCCCGGCTGGCTTCACCCAGTGGATCCCACACCGGGGCTGCAGGTGGAGCTGCCTGCCAGTCCCGCGCCGTACGTTTGCACTCCTCAGCCCTTGGGTGGTCGATGGGATTGGGCACCATGGAGCAGGGAGCGGCACTGGTCGGGGAGGCTCGGGCAGCACAGGAGCCCATGGAGTGGGTGGGAGGCTCAGGCATGGCAGGCTGCAGGTCCCGAGCCCTGCCCTGCGGGAAGGCAGCTAAGGCCTGGTGAGAAATTGAGTGCAGCGCTGGTGGGCTGGCACTGCTAGGGGACCCAGTACACCCTCTGCAGCTGCTGGCCTGGGTGCTAAGCCCCTCATTGCCCGGGGCCGGCAGGGCTGGCAGGGCCGGCCCGCTGGCTGCTCTGAGTGCGGGGCCCGCCAAGCCCACGCCCACCCAGAACTCCAGCTGGCCTGCAAGCGCCGCCGCACGCAGCCCCGGTTCTGCTTGCGCCTCTCCCTCCACACCTCCCTGCAAGCTGAGGGAGCGGGCTCCGGCCTTGGCCAGCCCAGAAAGGGGCTCCCACAGTGCAGCGGTGGGCTGAAGGGCTCCTCAAGTGCCGCCAAAGTGGGAGCCCAGGCAGAGGAGGTGCTGAGAGCAAGCGAGGGCTGTGAGGACTGCCAGCAGGCTGTCACTTCTCAGAAGCACCTAAATAGGAAGCCCATGGAAACAAAAGCTTTTCAACCCTGAAGCCCTTACATTCCTCTGGCACCACAGCTGCACTCAACAGACTGGCACCAGGCCCATTCGTGGGCCTCCAGGGTGCCAGGCACTGTGCTAGGGCTTAGGGTGCAGCAGTGAACAATCTGGAGTCTGTGCGAGGAGGCGGGAAACAGACCCACACTTACAGACCCTCACAGAGACACAAAGACTAGAACTGGGGACAGGGTGGTAATGCACCCGAGTCTGGGGGCCAGGGCTTCCGGGAGGAAGTAAACTTGTACTGAGACCTAAAGGATAAGTAGACAGTGGAGACCCAGGAGAGGTGGGTGGGAGAGAGGCCTAAGAAGAGTGTTCTGGGCAGAGGAGGAGCCATGAGAGGGCACCAGGGTGGGAGAAGCACAGCCCAGCAGGGCACCCGGAGGAAAGCTCGTGCCACCTGGAGCCCTGGGGGTAGGAGAAGGGCCAGCGAGGGTGGCGGGGCCAGTTGCAGGGCCGGGCAGACCAGTCTGATTCTCAGAGCAGTGGGAACCATTGGAGGTTTTTAAGTAGTCTCAATTTAAAAACAAGATCACTCTGCTGCCACGTGGAGAGCAGAATGGAGCAGGTAGGAGAGGACAGAGGGAGGCTTTCTGGCAGGGATTTGGGTGAGGGTGAGGACGGCCTCAGCAGCGGAGACGGGGAGAGTTGAACGGATCTGAGAGCTGCTTTCAAAGCAGGATGCCAGCAAGATCATCATGGACTGGAAATGGATGGCGGGGGATGCCAGCGTCAAGGCCACCCCCAGGTTGTGCAGCTGGGGACAGTGCTTGTGAGGGGTAGGACACTAGGCCTAGGGCAGCTCTCCTGTCATCCAAGACCCACTAAATTCTGGATCACATTTAAATGGTTCTTTCTCTTTGACAGCAAGCCACTAACATATGGGCTCTGCTTCTTCCATCAGCCAACAGAATCCTGGATTTGAGTCTGTCCTTTGAAAGCATCTCTGCTAGAGTTCCCACTTCCAAACCCCTTTCAGCTCTTCGGGATTCAGCCTCCAGGTGAGGTGCTGGAATTGATGCCAGAGTGAACGACTCCGGATTGCTGAGTGGAAGGAAAACGTAGGCACCGCTACTGACAGCTCTCAGGCGCTCCTGGGATTTTCCTTCCTTTGACGCTGAGGCTGTTCCGCTTTCAAGCGTTCTGCTTTGTGAGGGAAGGGCAAGGTCAGAAGGTGCTCACCCTTTCCACAGCAAGCACGCGGCACACGTGTGCCACACGCTGAACCTGCCTTGGTTGTAGCTGGCTCCTTTGTTAAGGTCAGCGCCCCCCAAGACCACGTGCTGTGCAGACAGTGTTGGGATCTCGGGAACTGTGGGGTTCCACTTAGAAACTAGTGTCTGGCCCAGCAGCCTACACAGGAGAGTTTGCGGTTACAGCACAGAGACGGTTTCGGGGACAGAAACATCCTTTCTCACTCCTGCCGGAATGCTGCTCACGGCTCCACTGAGGAAAGCCCTGCTTGATGGAAACTCAACTCTGCCATCATCTGCAGCCCAGTGCGACGGCAGTCAAAGGCCAGGGAGAGCTATGCTTTGTTTTATAGAAACATGCCTAGAAATGGTCGCCTTAAGTTATTTAACCCACTCCCTATTGTCGGGTTTTGAGTTTGTTTCTAGTCTTTTCCAACTGCAAACTGCACTGTAGTGACCATTCTCACAGCTACCTCTTTTCACACAAAAGTAATAATTTCCCTTTGGTAGATTTCTAAAAATAAATTGCTAGTTCAGAGAGATGACCAATTCCAAGGCTTCTGATCAGCTCTGCCCAATCACTGCCCGTGGTGAGGTGCCCCCCGAGACTGTACTTGCCGTGTCCTGGGGCCACTGCCCTCTCCTGCCAGTTTTTGTCCCCAACTGAAAGGGCCTCTTGTTTCTCTTTTTCTTGGTCCTTTTTAGGATGTATCATTGTTCATTCCCCTTCGTGAGCTCCGTCGTGTTTTATTTCCTTCTCTGCGTTCTCAGGTTGCCCTCGGAGTGGAGTCTGTGGCTTTCCACCGGAGCAGCGCCCAGGAAGTGTTTTCGTGTGATGAAAGTGTATGTCTGAAGTTCGTTATGAACTCGTCCTAGCTCCAGAGCTAGTGTGCATGCATGTCACTGGTCGTACAGATAATTGATGAGCAATTGGTGTCGTCTGAAGCAGTGACAGCCTGGGTGTGTCAGTGTCTCCAAAACGGTTCCACTGTGGCATCCTACAAATGGGCTGCGTCCTGGGAGCCATTGAGAAGTTGTACCTCCTTTACGGAGGGTTCTCTGGAATAGCAAATTAGGGAAAATGCATTCTGAGGTTCTGTATTTACAATAATAATTTATAAGCAAATAACTCACATTTCATCCTCAGTATTTTTCAGTGCTGTACAAGCGTCTTGAATTACTCTGGTAGCTTTTCCAGAAAGACCCATGACTTCACCACATTTCTCGAGTTACGATGAAGGTAGAGTCTGGGGCCCTGAGTGAGCATCAGATGCTGGAAGCTGGGGCTGGGAGGGGCCAAGCATTGGGGACAGACTCCAGACACCTGCACCACCCCCTGGCCCCATGAGATACGTTCTCAGACCTTCCCAAGAAGGATCTGTGGCTCCTCTCAGTGCTGTGAAGTGCAGGGGGCTTCCCTCTGGAATTCAGCCCATCTCTCCCTCCTACTTTGGCTGGCTCCAGATGCCATTTAGAGGAAATGTTTGGCCCATTTCCCAGGTGCCAGCTTTTCCCATGAGGAAGCTGTCAGTGCTTCCTGGTCAGGGAAATCTTTTGGGCGTGATTTGGTCAGTCACAGTCTGTTGGGGTGAGGTGGTGCGTGGAGAGGACAGGATTTGGAACCAAGGGTCCCTGGATTAGAATCCCTGCTCCATACCTCACTGGCTGTGTGACCCCAGGCTCGCGAATCTGCCTCTCTTGATCTGTTTCCTCATGAGTAAAGGGAAATGACTTTGTACTCTGGAGTGGGCCTCACTCATTCATGTGCCAGGCATCGTGCTAGGTGCTAGGGCACACCCCAAGGCGTTCGGGAAGCAGAGGCTGCCGTCCCTGGCCTGGGGCCTCCCTGCAGTGATGGGAATGTAGCCCTGGTGCCCCCACACCCTGCCCTTCAGGAGCCGTGGTTTCCTTCTGCTCTCTCCTGGGAGGCGCACACCCCTCTGCACCCAGAGCCAAGGAGGGCAGGCAGCCCTGGGACCCTCTTCAGGCACCGCAGCCAGGGTCTGTGTTACCCACAGGTCCTCTGGATGTCAGCATGGCAGCCACAAACCTGGAGAACCAGCTGCACAGCGCACAGAAGAACCTCCTGTTCCTTCAGCGGGAGCATGCCAGCACGCTCAAGGGGCTGCACTCCGAGATCAGGCGGCTGCAGCAGCACTGCACAGGTACATCGGGGAGCAGGCCCGGGCAGGCGGGGGGCGGCTATGGGGCACGGCAGAGCCCAGCGTCAGAATGTGCTAGGCCTGCCCTGCCCCCAGCTCCCATCATCGTTGCAGGAGTCCATCTGAATGCCTTATATCATCCTCATTGCATAATCAAGATGCACTAAGCATAAAGCTGCAAAGCCTTTTCTTGGCATACTGAGGACTTAAGAGATTAAAATACAATGGTTAGAATCTCCAATGTGTTTTGGAACTGATAACCAAGATATAGCCTGTGTGATACATAGAGCCAGCTGCTGGATTGTTTGGTTTGGATGGTTGGGATATGCTGTGGGGGAATGGGGAAGGGAGTTTGGGGGAACAGAGGGTGCCCTCTGACCCCAGGGAGCACAGTGGCCGCAGATGTTTTCTGCTGCTCTCATGCTCACCTCTCCTGCTGCCAAACCCTGCTCTGTCTGGGTAGGACTCGCTGGCTAATCGTGGGAATCGGTTTTGCATTTTCAAAGCTGATGAAGATTTTGAAATGTACAGTAAAAGAATTAATGTGTAACATTTCCCTTTTAGATTTAACATATGAGCTGACAGTCAAAAGTTCGGAACAGACAGGTAAGAACTCCTCCCCAGAAGTAAATGACAGTAGGTTTCCCTTTGTGGTACGTGTTGGTGCCGTTTTCACTAGTCACACACTTAGGAGAAAATGCTCTTGCTGGGAAGAGTTATGCGTGTGGCCTGAGCTCTCTAAGAGAAGATGAGAAGGATGTTTGGATCCCTCCGTGTTGCAAGTGGTTATTAGTGGGCAGGGGGATGAGTGATTTTGTTTTCTTTTGAATGACACATATATTTGGAATGCCTATTATATGTTTTTCTGATTTTCCTACAATGAACATGTGTTCCTTGTGTAATCAGGACATAAAAATAGACGTGAGTTAAACCCAAAAGGAGGAGTAACAGCAGCAGCAGCATTGGGCAGAACCGCCCCCGCTCCTCCGTGTCGCTGCCGCCTAGCATGGGCCTGGCACAGAGCAGCAGCTTGCTAAATGCTGGCGGGCGAGTGGTCACATTACTAGACAGCTCCCTGAGGATCTGGGGCTTTCTCTGGACTACAGCCCCAGAACCCTCCCCAAACCAGAATCCTCCAGGACCTCAGGAAACCCCAAAGGGCAGCTGCCTGCTGGCCGCCAGAGAAGAGACAGAAACCCAGGCCTTCCCAGGGCCCTCTGTGCCTGCTGCAAAGAGCCTGCTCCCTAAAACAGGGTGGGTGTTTGGAAAGTGCTGAATCCATGTTTGTGCAGAGACACCTGTTGGAAACGGGTTTATCACGTCGGGAAGGCAATGGATGGCTCAGCAAGGCTAGTTTACTTTCTGCAGAAAGGGTGCAACTCGCCAGCAGTCTTACCACGAGAGCACACTCAAACAAAGGAGACGAGGACATTTATAATCTTCATAACCTGATGCAATTGCCCTATGACTGTGTCCAGTTTCCATTGACTGGAATGGGACCTCACATTCTAAGCTTGACCCGATTGGCTAACAGCTTGAAACTTTCCTAAATAGGCAAAAGGGAAAGAGGACAAAGAAAAGAGGAAGCTAGTCATGAGAGGGTCAGGAGAGTTTCCAAATAAGGAAGAGCATGCACTATGGTCCAGGGCTCGCTCAGCCCTGCGCAGGCGTGCCGGGGCAAGGCGGAGCAGCTACACTGGAACATATATAGAGATATACATAGAGCAAGGAAATGACAAGCTCTTTATGGTTTCAAGAAACTTTGAAGAACTTCTCCATTCCCCACAATGCCTTTTTCTAAACAGGCCTCACAATGGCAGTTACTATTCATGAGAGTGTCCAGTTCCTTGTAAAAGACACAGACCATTTCCACCAAGCCTTAGTGGATTACCGAGCACTGATTTTTTTCCATTTGCATTGCTCATATTACAGCCTCCTGAGTGCGCCACCCAGGAGCCCAGACATCTTTTTGTCTGCGTGTGGTAGGGAAGGCGCCGTGGGCTTCTTGGGGTGGTGGAATGGGAGCCTGTCCTCAGAAGTCTCCCTGTGGAGGGATACCAGGGACCTCCCCCGAAGCCCTGGGACTGGGAGCTGGGCCTGTGGGAATGCAGAGGAACAGGATTTCAGCCTGACACTAGGGACCTCCAGCGTCCACACCTGCCAGCACTGAAGCCTTGGGAAAGGAGCTACCCGTGTCATGGAAGCCAGGGCGTCCTCGCTCCCTGTCCTCTCCTGGCCCAGGCTAATCTGAAGCAGCATAGTTTTGCCCTGTGGCCTCTCCAGTCACGGTTCTCAACCTGAGGTCCCAAGGCCACCTGCCCACCCACCCACCCACCTGATGTAGTACTCCCAGCAGCAGCAGGGTCTCACAGCAAGGGCTGTGTCTTAGGGGAGGCAGTTTCAAAAGCCTCTCAGGTGGTTCCAGTCGGGGCGTCTCCCCTCCCAGTGGTGAAAATCATTGTTTTACATTAGTGCACCCAAAACTGCCCAATTCCAAGCAGTTTCGGGACCCAGGGTACAGCATAGACTCTTGGCTTCCCTCCCCTGGGGGCTGTGACCCCAGAAGTCTGGGCGGGCCCAGGGAGTGCGCAGGTTTAGAAGCGTTGCAGTGCCCTGACGCTCGGGCAGGCTCAGCAGTGCAGCGTTTGGAGACCAGCAGCAGTTGGCTGCTGTCAGCTCAGTGTGCACCAAGCTTTCATGGGAAGACTGAAATTTCCAGAAAGGGGGTACGTACAGAGGAGGAGGTGGAGTGGAGCTTTCTATAAAGAGCAAGAAATTGGCAAAACAGGAGGTGCTGATTCCTGGGAAGGACAGTCACTGAAGCAGCTCTCCAGAGCTGGGGATGGAGGAGCAGTCGTACCAGCTCCTTCCCACAGGACGGCCCACTCAAGTCGGGGCCGGTAAACATCAGCCCGGAGCCAAGGCTGCACCCTGGAGGAGGAGGCAGCACAGCTAGATGACTCTCAAGGAAGGATGATGAGGAGGATGTCTATCCAGGAGGAGCTTCTCTCAGGATGCTGTGGCGAAAAGAACCAGAGTGATGCTTAATGAGCCCCAGATTTGGGCCTCTGCTCTGACTCGGAGGGGCTGTGTGGCCTTGGGCAGGTTCTTTGACATCTCTGAACCTGCATCTTCATCTGACAGGTGCCCCACAAATCCAAGTCCCCAGTCCGACCACCAGGGCCCTCTGCCTTTGTGGGCTGCCCCTCACAGGACATGAGCAAAGCCCAGGGACAGCCTTGTTCCTGAATGTTCCAAACGTCCATCAGCCTTTTGCAGCACTGCCTGGGGGAAGAAAAATCCCAGGATGCTCACAGCAGGCCAGGGATGTGGTTGAAGGTCTGAGGTTGCAGCCCTTCCTCGGAAGGAGCCCAAGGCCCACTGTCCACCCGAGTGTGGGCTGAAAGCAAAGGCCCTGCGACAGGCATGGGTTGTTGTCCCACAGGCCCTGGGGGAAGGACAGCGGGTACCAGGCCCAATGCCGTGCCCAGGTCAGCATTTCAGGTTGCAGGGGTTCAGCCCAGGTGGCTGGGCTCCTGGGTCTTACAGTGTCTACAGAGTCGTGTGTGTGTCTCTGTCCCTCTCTCTACCTCTGAAACTGTGTTTTAGGATCTATTTTCCTTTTGGCAAAAGAAGAAACCTCATGAAAGGTAGTACTGCATGCATCCTTTTTAGGGAGGTCATTTGCTGACATTATACCTGCACATACACACACAGACACATGGTTTTTAAAACTAGAAACTTGCAATGGTTCAACTTAAAATTTTTCAACTGCATGGGGCAATACCCATTCAGTACACTCCTCGACTTACCATGGATATGTCCAGATAAACCCATGGTAAGCTGAAAATATCGAAAACACACTTTTGACTTACGGTATTTTCAACTTACATTGGATTTTTCGGGACATGACCCCATGCTAAGTCGAGGAGCGCCCATCACCTGCAGCGAGCTTGTAACATGCAAGTGTCCTGCACAAGACCAGTCCAGTCAGCTGTGGGCCCTCAAAAGCTCAGAGTCTGGCGGCGGGACATGCTGCAGAGCTGCTGCTAGCTCAGGCAGGTGGGAAAATTCAAAGCAAGACAGACAGAAGCCCGGGAAAGACGTCCAGTGGCGTCCAGTGCCTAGGCAGGCCCTGGGTGGTGGAGTTGGTACAGGGAAACTGGGCGTGCAGGTCTGGAGTTAGGGCAAGGACAGAGGGTACAATAGAGACAGAACAAGAGGTGGTGGCTTGGGGAGAGTGATGGAAGCTTTGATTTATGTGGGAGCAGATAACATTCAGGACAGATTGAGGAACTGGAAGGCATCTGGCAGTTTGGGTTTTATTAGGCAGTGAGGAACCATTTTGAACAGAGGACAAGAATATTTAGGGGGTGACCAAGCTTCCTAAATACAGGATGGGCTGAAACGAAGACCAGAGAGGAGGTGGGACCAAGGCCGGCTGGAGGAGCAGGGAGGGGGCAGCACTGAGCAGCCAGCAGAAAGGCACAGTCAGGGAGGGGAGGCCAGGGATGGCGACTGCATCCAGTTTCCCTGGGAGAGTCAAGATGTGGGAAGCAGAGCAGCTATCTGGACTTGAGGGTGTGTCTGACGGACACTCACTTGGAGAAGTGGTGCTCAGGAGACACTGAATCGGGAGCTGATGCTCAAGTTGAATTCCAGACCAGCAAGGAAGAGTCTAGAAAGAACTTCCCAGGGGCCAGGCAAGGAGGATGGCCAGCCAGCCAGCGTTAGGAGGAGTAGGATGGTGACCCAGGGTTTAGAGCCAAGGGTGCTATGTGAGGTGACCAGGGACTGCAGGTCACCAGAAGAGCAGGAGAAGGAGGTGGCTGGTGTTTGCTGAAGGACTGGGTGAGGGCAGGCACCCAGGGACAGCAAAAGGAGGCAGAGGCCCGAAGTGTTAGGGCAGGGGCAGGGAGGGACCAAGGGTAAGAGCCACAGAGGCGAGACAGCTCACTCTCTGAGCAGGAAGTGGGAAAGAGTCTGTGTGTGTGTGTGTGTGAGAGAGACGGGGGTAGGGGGGTGAGAGAGGCGGCCAGCGGCAGAGCAAAGGTGACAGCCCCACACCTCTTCTCCTCTAAACATCAGAATTTTAATTCAATAGACATGGATAATTCTTTTTACATTTGAGTTTCAAAACAGTACTTTGAATGTAGCAGGCATTCCATAAATGCCATCTGAGCAGACAGAGGGATTTGCGGCCAGTTGAATCCTAAGTGTTTGCTGAGGTCTGATACTCTGCAATTGCCTGTTTTAAGTTCAGCATCTTTAAGGTTCAGAGACATTCTTTTATGCAGTAGGCCAGAGAACTAAGAGCCGGAAAGGGCCTCTGAGATGCCCCGATCTCCCCACCTCGGGGAGGGGAGGGGTCTTTCCAGAGCCCCCACAGCCCTGCCTTCTGCATGGCCCCCACAGCCTAGACAGGGCCCCCACCAGACAGGTCCGCCTGCCCCATAGGCCTCACCACTCGGCCTCAGTCTAATGAGTTCTTCACCTGCTTCCTCGGCTTATTCTTGTAGGAGACGGGACTTCTAAAAGCAGTGAATTAAAGAAAAGATGTGAAGAGCTGGAAGCCCAACTGAAAGTGAAAGAGAACGAAAATGCTGAGTTGTTGAAAGAACTGGAGCAGAAAAACGCGATGATCACAGTGCTGGAGAACACCATCAAGGAGCGAGAGAAGAAGTACCTGGAGGAGCTGAAGGCCAAGAGTCACAAGCTGACCCTGCTGTCTAGCGAGCTGGAGCAGCGGGCCAGCACCATCGCCTACCTGACCTCCCAGCTGCACGCCGCCAAGAAGAAGCTCATGAGCTCCAGCGGGACCTCAGATGCCAGCCCGTCAGGGAGCCCCGTGCTGGCCAGCTACAAGCCAGCGCCCCCCAAAGACAAGCTACCCGAAACGCCTCGCCGCCGCATGAAAAAGAGCCTCTCAGCCCCCTTGCACCCGGAATTTGAAGAGGTCTACAGATTCGGGGCAGAGAGCAGGAAACTCCTTTTGCGGGAACCAGTGGATGCTATGCCCGACCCCACCCCATTTCTGCTGGCTAGGGAGTCCGCCGAGGTCCACCTCATCAAAGAGAGGCCCCTCGTCATCCCCCCCATCGCCTCCGACCGAAGCGGCGAGCAGCACAGCCCGGCCCGCGAAAAGCCGCACAAGGCCCACGTCGGGGTGGCACATCGGATCCACCACGCCACCCCGCCGCAGGCCCAGCCCGAGGTGAAGACCCTGGCGGTCGACCAGGTGAACGGAGGCAAGGTGGTGAGGAAGCACTCAGGGACGGACAGAACTGTGTGAAGCCCGCCGTGCCCCACCCCGCGCTGTCCATGCACTGTGAGCACCACTGGGAAATCTCAGCCACACCTTTTCTGTTTAATCCCATGCATGCCAAACACTTTTCACACCTACCGACCCATTCTCCTTCTGCTTCTCTTGCCCTCTTCTTCACACCAAAATATGATCGTGTCCCTGCCGCAGAATATGTATTTCCTAATTGCTGTGGCCAAACGCCTGTGTGCCGAATCGCTTGCTTCTGATCCCGCTCCGTGTAACCTAAGTGCGCTGCAGGCAAAGCCCAGGCCACGGCTGCGTCACTACTGATGTTCACGATGCCACACAGTCACACACCTAATTCATTCTCAAGTCGGAGCAACACATACCAACCTTGACCTTATCCTCAAGCTCCAGGGCAGCCTGGCCGAGCAGCCCCTGCTCCCTCCTGGAGACCCTTGTCACCTCCCGAGCTCCTCCTGGAGACCCCTGTCACCTCCTGACCAACCTTTCCCAGGGCGGCACCGATCACCGAGCAGCCGTGCGTGTATCTCAAGGAACTAAATAAGATGACGCTACTCCTCATAGCACCACAACCTGAATGTGTGTTCATATTTTTTTGTTAGTTTTATCCAAAATGTTTAAGATCCCAACAAACTTTATTTTCTAAACCTGCCTTCCTTCTGTTTTGTGTCTTTTATTAAACAAACACCTGAAGGAGGGCTAGGAGACTGCAGGAGGGAGAGCAATCACAGGTCCCAGAAGCGACTCCGGCCTCCTCCCGGCCCAGAGCTAGTCCTTAGAATGTGCTGCGCTCCTGAGCTTCTGTGGGAAGCTGCTTTTGCCTCTGATGGCCCCTGCCCACTGTGCTGCCCGTGCTAGCCCCTCTCCTCCCTCATGGAGTGAAGCCACCCCTCACCTCCAGGTGGCCAGCCAGGGCTCCAGGCCAGCCTCATGGTGCACAGAGGGAAGGGGTGCCCAGTGACCACTGGTCCTGGAGGTTCTGTGTCCTTACCTGACCCCACACAGACCCAGGCAGGCTGGGGGTAGAAGCTCATGCAGGAACTAAACACTAAGCTCAACAACTTCACAGTCGCCGTAGCAGGTCAGAGCCAAAGAAGCTAGGGCCAGAGAGTTCTGGAAGGGGGAGAAGTGGCTCCAGGTGACTGGTCACTTCTGCTCTGTGCCCGACATCATCAGCCCTTCTTGCCAAAAAGGAGCATCTGCTGAAACAGACCTGGATCATCGAAAACACACCTTTGGAAATTACATTAGGATTCTCACTTGTGCCAATGCTATGTATGCCAGGCACTTTTGCCTAATCAAGTGTTTTCTCTGAGAAGGAAAAGAAAACTCCACACATCTTAAAATACTCTCCAATATTTACTTTTTGATTATATAAATTCCTTTTAAAAAGTAGTATTAAAAACAAAACCATTCAGGTTAATTTGTATGGAAAGAGATTTAAGTGGCTGATTTCAAATGAAAAATCAGTGTCAGTCCCCCTCCTGCCTCTTGAGAGGCCCCAAGAAATGACAGCAGACCCGATCACTCTGACAACCCCAGGCTCCGAATTCATTAAGCAGTTTTCTTCACCCAAAGGTTAATCAGAATTCAGGGTGAGGCATACTCCTTGCAGCACCCAGTGAGAAATGTGCCTCGTGGTAAAGAGATCAGCTTCAAAAACCAAGCCGACTCCCATGGCGTTCCTTCTCATGGAGGTGGTGTAGACGGGGGTCCGGAAAGTATTCTGCAAGGGAAAGGCAGGTGAGATGCCCCCACGGAGAGAGGGTGCAGAGGGATAAAGGCAGAGGTGCAGTGTAAGTCTTGACAGGCAGGGGCCCCTGTGCAAGACTGCACCTGAGAACACGCACAAGGCTGGGGCTGCTCAGGGCCACCCTCCGCCAGCTTCACGGGGACCTGGCTTCACACTGACACCCTGGTTAAAAGTGGGTCCTGGCCCAGGCAGAGCAGAAGACATCTGCTGTCCACACCAGCGGGAACCACTTTATGACTCAGGCAATGTCTGCAGCATTTTGCAAGAAGGGAGGGAGTCTCCCCTTGGTTAGTCTAGACCACAGGATCACAGCTTGAGCCTGACACCTCTGGAAGGACCGGCATCCACACACACATACAGCCGCGCCTTTTCCAGGAAGCAGCTATCCGTAGCTTTTATCACGGCTCCAAGACTCTCCCCAGCCCATAAAGCTTAGGCACCCCTGTTTTAAAAAGTAGGACTGTTGGAAACCACCTCAGCCATAACTACAGTCAGAAGAGGAAGGGCCCTGGTGTCAGAGAGGAGGGGCTGGGACCTTCACCTGCAGCTTGAGGCGATGGGCTTCAATGGGGATGATCTTCAGGATCGGCAGGTCCACAACCAGCACCTTGGGTTTGCTCTTGATAAGACATCCTTTTTCTATATCCCAGTCAGCACCTTCCAGGTACAGTCCTGAGACAAAGCATCCTAGGGACACAAGGCAGAGACTGGATACAACTGGAGCATGCACAGCCTGCCACGGAGTGGCTCTATCAGGCGCACACACAGCGACACACAGGCCACTGGCTGGCCTCCTCCCCAGCGCATTGGGGACAGCCCAGGCCCTTCTCCAGCATTTCTGTCCTGCCCACCTTCCCTCTGTGGAGGAGCAGCCCAGACAGGAGACCCTGTGGCCCTGCCCCATGGCCCAGAGAAATGGGTGTGGGGCGGTGGCCTCTCCCCCAGGAATCCTCATTCCTGGGGCATCAAGGCCCACGGACTTAGACCACCCTGGGCCCCCAGGCTAGAAAGATGCATGGTCCCAGAGTCAGAATGGGCACCATGGCAACCCCAGCTACCCTGTGAGCCGAAGTGGCTGGGGAGCAGGAAGTCGAAGCCTCACAGAGAAAGTGGTCTCCGGGGAGGAGGACCCAGCAGATGTGCAAAGAGAGGAACACACTCCTGTGGCCCCAGAGAGAGTGGTGGCCCGGACACCTGCCACCTCCCCTGCCACTGAGACCTGGAGAGTCCCTGCATCTTTACCGTAAGTCCCCAGTCCTTAAGCCATCTCAAAAGAGCTTTTGTTCCTTGCAGTTAAAAGAACTCTAAGACAACATGGACCCGGGGAAACAGCAGTTTCCAGCTCTCATTTGCACAGTCAGTAACCAATGTCTAAGGGACCTGAAGTTCTGGCATAATCAAAGAGTTCCAACCAAGTTAGTCCATGCTGCTCTGTGGCTCCCATGCCCCTGGCCCCGTCAGGGGTTACAAGAAAGCCACCTGATGGTTTTTGCAAGAGCTAATTCTGACCTAGGAGCCCACTTGCCATGAGCTAGCAGAGTGAACATGGTTCAGGTCTCCCCTGCCATAGACCCCAGGTCTCAACGGAGAAAGTGGAAGAGAAACTTCCGTATCCACCCTCAGAGGTGTTAAGACATGGGCAGTGCAGAGACACAGGAAATATTTGCAGCAGGCTGGCTTTCAAACATGGCCTGGCCCATTTAGGCCCACGCTATGCCTGTCCCTTTGAGTTGGAGGTGGTTCAGGGAGAGAAATCCTAAGTGAGAGGCTGTGGATCCCTAACGAGCTGACGGTACCTTGTCCCGCCCGCTCATTCACTTCATCTGCATCCTGGAACTTGGTCACTTGTGTGAACAAGGTGGAGCGGTCCAGTGGCCAGCCGTTCTTCCGGCAGGTGGCCTGCACCAGCGCCGTGAGGTAGGACTCAGGGATGTGCAGCCCCGAGAGCCACATCACGCTGGGCTCGCTCTCGGTCACCTGGAGAGAAGAGAGGACAAGTGCTGGGAGCCTGGGGCTGCCATCCAATGCCAGGTCAAAGCTGGCCTGGAAGTTTAGTTTATGATAAAAGACATATTTCACCTAAGTGGCAAAAGATGGCGTTGGCACAACTGGCCGCCTGTCTGAGAAAAACAATCTGGACTGCCACATTCCAGGTAGATCAAAGATTTAGATATAAAAATAAATAAAACCACAAAAGTACTGGGCCACATCTCCAATGAATGCTTTCATATCGTGGAGTAGGAAATACAAAGCCCAGGATAAAAAAGAAAAGCCTTGTAGGTTTGACTACGGAAAAATGTAAAGCTTTTCTGTGGAAAAAATACCGTAAGCAAAGTCAAGACTTATGACAAGCTTGGAGAAATACCTGCAACACTGGCAGACCAAGGGCTAATTTCTTTGATTTGCAAAGAGCTCTTAAACATCAATGAGAAAGATGGAGACCTCACTAAAAATGAAATCCAGATACAAAAGGACAATTCACAGAAAAACAAACACAAAATGTCTGTAAAGCATGCAAAATACGCTCAGACTCACCATAATTAAAGACATGCAAAACAATGAGATATTATTTTCACCTATCAGGGAGACAGTGATCCAAAATGTTAAGAACGCAGCATTGCAGCGGAGTGAGGAAAGAAGCACTCTCATAGACTGTGGTTTCAGCCTTTCTAAGAACCATCCAACAAGAGCTATCAAAATTTAAAATGCACAAGCTCTTTGATCCAACTCTTCCACTGTCAGAATTTACCCATGGAATATACCCCTATGCATATTCATATACATGTGCACCAGAATGTTATTTGTATTAGCAAAAAAAAAAAAAAAATGGTAACCACCGAAATGTAGGCAGTTACCATATTTTTAGGATACAGAAGGAGGAGAAAGGATATGAAACATTTGTACAATGGCATACTCTAAAAAAGAACGAGCTAGCTGTGTACTAATATGGAACAAGTGCCAAGATATACACTTAGATAAAATAATCGGGTATGTAAGAGTATGCTTCAAAGTCTTCAAAAGAAAAGGAAAAACAAAAGATACAGATAGGCTTGTAAGAATCTCAGACCATTTCCAGAGCACCCAATAAACTTTAACAGAGGTTACTGCTGGGCAATGGAAAGAGGGGATTGGGAGGTGGTTTGAGGAGTCTAGGCTGACACCTGAATCGGCAGAGAGGAGGCGGTGACGTGCCACTTACCCACAACATGTACTGGCTGAACCGCCGCAGGAAGTAGACCATCCAGTTTCCAAGGGACTTTAAGGTGTCAGGAGCAAGCCTTCTCCAGATATTAGGGATATGCCCGATAAAAAGAGACCTGGCCACATCATCTAACTCATTGCTCATTCCAACTTCTCCAGCCAAGGCCTATTTAGAATCAAGAGCAATCGGGCAGGACTCTATCAGAACCCCAGGTGCCACGTATCTAGGCAGTAATCTGCACATGAGAGACAGGCTCACCCTTTGAAGTTCAGCCAGAGACTTCGTCATCCGGACCACAAGCTTGTTGAAGCGTTCCAGTTCCTGCAGGAGCACCACCGAAGTGGGGGAGAGTCCTGTTCCGAGGCGCTTCCTCACCTGGTCCAAGTCAAAGACTTTGGGCATCTTGTTTTCTATTTCTTTGGCCACTTGGCCAATATAATCATCGCGGCTGATACCACTGCTGGATTCCCCTAAAACCAGGACACTTTTCAGAGAAAGCAAGGCATCCACGTGCAGAACCGGAGCCTCCTGAGCCTTCCAGTTCTGGGAAAGGCATCAGCAACGTGGGAGGGCTACAAGAAGCAATCGTAAAACCCCAATCAAACTAATGAAGTCCTCCTGAGTAGAGTTTACCTGTCTGAGGCTGCAGCTCCAGCAGGTGAGCCCACATGTCTCGAGCCGCCTGCGTGTAATAGCCAATCTCAGCGTTGGGGTGGAGACCAAACACTTCTGGCGTGTTGGCAAGCGGGAGGGCCTCGATGGCTTCTGCAATCACAGAGAACAACGGAGGTGGCACTGTCCAGCCACCTGTGCTTTCTCAGGGCCCACAGCCTCAAAGTCTCCAAGACATGCAAGACTAATTTCCACTGTTTAGAGGGTGACTTTTTTTTTTTTTGAGACAGGGTCTTAGTCACCCAGGCTGAAGTGCACTGACATGGTCATTGATCACTACAGCCTCGACCTCCTGGGCTCAAGCTCTTCTCCCATCTCAGCCTCCCAAGTAGCTGGTACTACAGGTATTCACCACCACACTCAGCTAATATTTTTGTTTTTTGTTTTTTTGTTTTGATTTTTTGTTTATTTTTTGTAGAGATGGGATCTTGCTTGGTTGCCCAGGCTGGTCTTGAACTTCTGGGCTCAAGCGATCTGCCCTTCTTGGCCTTCCAAAGAAGGGATTACAGGTGCGAGCCACCATGACCAGCCAATGACATGTTTTTAATGTAAAAATTCTACACTACCACACCCAGTCCAGCCGTATGTTCATCTTTTACGAAAATGGCTCAGTGAGCTTCACTGTGGCCATTCTGCCCTTCCAGGTGGAACCTGATTTATTTACCATCATTCCAGGATGGGAAATCTGAACTCTATCAGTCAGCTCTGCAGCCAGGAAGCGTCTGCCGAGCCACCTAACAGGCTTAACAGACCACACCTGACCAGCCGAGGAGCCCCCACCAGGAGAGGAGCCGGTTGAAATGTATGGTCTCCCTTAGAAAAAGCCTTGAAAACATCTTTTCATGTCTGAGAAATCTCACCAACAAATTTCTCCTTTTCATCACCAACAGGGATTTTGTAGTCCACTTCCTTGTTCCGGAAGAAGTGGAATGGCTGGAAAGTATCAAAAATGAAGTCCCCCAGGTACTCATCCATGTAGATGGTCAGGATGCGGCGATCAAAGCTGTCGATGGCCCGTCCTCCATACATGACCTGAAATTAGAGGGCCTGAGAGCCAGCCAGGAGCTCAGAACCTACTGTGTGCACCCTGGGGGCCCGGGGCCAGAGGCTCACCCAGGGTCAAGAGACTCCAGCAGCCTGGCTGCTGCAAGGCTTGAACCTGTTGACTTGCATAACCTTTCGGGCCACTGTTCACACAATTGATCTGTGGCTTTGCTGGCTTCCCAAGGGATAGGGCCCAAAGCAGTAAGAAGCCCTCAGGAAGTGTTGGGAGCTCCTGTGCAGCAGGCAAAGTCCCCCAAACACATCAAACAAACAGCTGAAGAAGCCAGCAGCTGCTTCTGTCTTTGGAATTGATGTCACTGCCTGAGCCGTGTGCAGACCACCGGGGATGCTTCCTGTGAGCTCTGTATACAGCAACAGCTGAGGCAAGGGGCTAGAGGATGCCTTGCCTGGATCCCCAGCCATGGATCCAGCTCAGGGAACCTCCATGTGAACAGAGCTCACTTAGGACAAAGAACAACCAGGTGAGAGCAGAGAGAATTGTCACAGAAACCCAAGGGGAACACAGGGGCAGAAGAGGCTGGTTCTGAGGGCTCAGAGGAAAATAGGGGCACGAGGCCACAGCTCTGTAGCCCCAGAGGCACCTGCGGAAGGATCCCCGGTCACCCCTACCTCTCCAATTAGGTACTTGAGGCTGCCCCACGGGATCCTTGGGTCCCGTTGCTGGAAGGCTTTCGTTAAGTACGTGTTCAGAATTTCCATGCAGACCTTGAAAGAAGAGAACACGCTCAGTTATACTGAAACCCACCAAGCTGTTCACATTCTGATACTTTTCTGAAAAGGCTGCTGGGAACGGTGCAACCCTGCTGTGGTTGAACCCGGAGGAAAGTCGGGAGGAAGTGGGCCGCCTAAGGAAGCCATTTCCAAGGAGAAGCAGCCACTGTCACCTGGAAGTCAGACTCATTGAAGTCATAGTACACGTTCCAGCCAATCTTCCCAAACTTCCTTCTCTCCTGCACCACAGCATGAAAGAACGCCAGCACGTAGACCAGCGGCTTGAAGGCAGGGTGCGGGCACTGGTCCAGCATTTCGTGAGAGATCTTGAAGTAAGTTGCCCTCATGTTGAGTTTCAGCCCATTGGGTGGCTCGGTGACAACCTTCAGAAGAGAAGAAAACACACAGTGATGGAGACCGCAGGCCCACAAGCTTGGAAGAGTGTGCACAATGCAGGCACTGCGCTTTCCTTCCTCTCTACGGAGCCATCTGTCTGAGACCTCCAATAGCTAAAGTCTCTTGTCCAGGGCCCAGGCTGAGAAGTTAAAGGACTAGATGTTCTGGCTCTCAGGGTCAAGGGTCAAGAGTCTTTGACCTTCCTCTGAACCATGAGATCCTTTACTATATATAAAATGAAAGTAAAGTCTTCCCTCCACCTCCCCAGAGAGAGAGAGAGAGACAGAGAATGACAAAACCTTTCCAAAAGAATTTCCCGGAGAATAAATTAAATGGGGCATGTAAACCACGCGAAACTCCTGCAGTCAGCACTAGCGAACTGCAGGCTGTGTGTGGGGGGGGGGGCCGTGAAGTTTATGAAAAGTAGCGTAGATATTGTTAGGGACACATGCAGAATTGGTAGAGATAGGCCTGGGAGTCACAAACACCCAACCCAGGACAGCGGCTCCCTCTAAAGAGAGAGGTGGGATTGAGAAGGGTTTCAACCGCAAGGTTTCACCTGCAGCCTAAGGTTTATTTCTACACAGACAAAGGCACACCCCGGCCCCAGAGCAGCATGCAGGTGTTCTGAGAAGCTGCGTGCTGGCATGTTGATGTCCATCCTGAAGCCAGACCTTTAGGGACTTCTGCAGAATCCCAATGGGGAAGCCCTTGGTGGGGTCCGTGGTGAGCCACAGGCGGAAGTCTGGGTGGGGCTTGGTGATCCTCTCCAGGGACTTCTCCAGATCTTTCAGCCACTTGACCAGGAGGTGGCAGTTCTGCAGCATCAGCCACTGCCCCCGAGCCACCGCCGTCTCCAGCAGCTGCAGGGCCACCTGCGCCGGGGGAGAGGGAAGAGGAGAGGGGTTGGCATCCAAACCCAACCCCGTGCTCTCCAGAGACCCACTCCACACCCACAGAAGGGCGATGGCAGCTCCAGCAGAAGCCAAAAGCAAGCCGAGGATCCAGGAGCTACAGGTGGAGCCTTCAAATAAACCATCTTTGAGAAACCCCATGGGCCCCGTGGGTGCACTGAGCTGGTCACACCCAGCCTGGAAGATGGGTGAGCATTTTGCACTCATCTGCCTCCCTGGCCCTGGAAGTCCCAGCTCCTCCCACACAGTCGCTCCTGTCCCCTGAGGACTCCTGAGCAGGGCTGCAAGAGACCAGCTAAAGCCCACCAGGAAGTCGGGACTGTCCTGGCCACTGTAAGATCTTCAGGGCCCTAGGCCTGGAAAACAATCACCATGTCCCCTCCCAAATGTAATTCAAAGCACAAACAAGCTAAACACCCAAATCAAGCCTTGCTTTCTGAAATGGCTTAAAACACATGAGTGCTGGCGTTACAATAGCTTATTTCAGTGTTGTGGTTGAGAGAGCTGGCCCGCCTTGCTGGTGCCCAGGGCTTGCCTCCTGGGCCATCCAGCATGGGTATTGCCATCCTCATCTCACCCAGGGGCTTTCAGCAGTAGAGGGGCTTACCCAAAGCCTCACAGTTCATAGCAAAGCCAGGACTGGCAGTCAGCTCCCTCTGACCCCAACACGCATGCCTGCAACCATCACACTTACTGACGCACAGACTTTTCCTGCAAGCTTTGTCCCACATTGTACTGAACTTGTGTAGCAAGTTCTAGCAGGGAGCACTGTGATGCAGAGAGGCAAGACCTCAGCAAAGAAAGCTCACTGGCTCAGAAAGGTAGGAGGATTTGCACCACAGTTCTGTCCTGAATGGTCCTGGGCTCAGCCTCTCTCCACCCACTCCCTTGGCCATGCAATTGGGGCCATAATAATCCTGATCCACAATGAGGCTGTTCAGGGACTAAGGAAGGTAAGGACTGTGTGTGAAAGGGCTTTGAAAACAGCACAGCCTGAGCATCGTGTCTCATGCCTGTGATCCCAACACTTTGGGAGGCCGAAGTGGAAGGATCGCTTGAGCCCAGGAGTTCAAGACCAGCCAGGGCAACATGGTGACGTGTTTGTATTTTTCTCTACAGAAAATACCAAAAAAATTAGCCAGGCATGGTGACGCATGCCTGTAGTCTCAGCTGCTACTGGGGAGGCTGAGGCAGGACGATCACTTCACAATCAGGAGGTCGAGGCTGCAGTGAGCTATGTTCGCACCACTGCACTCCAGCCTGGGTGACAGAGTGAGACCCTGTCTCAAAAAGAAAAGAAAAAGGAAAAAAAAAGAAAACAGCACAGCACCATGATCACAACATGAGGTTGTGAAATCATAACTATTATTGTCATCTTCCCAGTGTTTCATTACTGCTTCTTAGCTCGGAAATGCATCCAACTGATTTGTGGCGTGGCACTCAGCTTAAACCCAGGTTAGCTCCTTCTTAGCAGACACCAGGGACCTCCCCTAAACGTAGAGCTTGTTCCTTTCAGCCACAAATTACCTTTTCTTGACCTTGACCCATTGCAAGGAATTTGAGGCGATTTCCTCCAAAACCACTTCGCTCTGCTAATTTCATAAGATCAGTGGCAGGGTCGGAGCCAGGACTCAGGATAAACACAATGGGCGAATGTGGAGTGCTCTGCTCAAAAATAGCTTCAAAGCTGATCATTGGGGGCTGCACATACCTGGTGAAAGAAACACAGTCAGAAAACTCTCCCGCGAGGACAGCTCCAGACCAGGGGCTGGTCTGTCTGATCAGCGCTGCCTCCTCCGGTGTCCAGAACCTTCTGACCACTCCTCTGGGATAGCTCGTTGCAGTCTTCCCTGTTTTAGATTCTAGTTTCTATGCACGTCTCCCACCCTGATGGGGAACTCCTGAGTGGCAGGGACTTCTCTGTACCCCCTCACACTCGATTCAGTTGGTTTGTGCTGAGCTGGGCACCTCAGCTTGCCCTCTAGGTGGGCCTGCCCATGGCACAAAACCCTGAGGTTCCACAGGCGTGTCCTGAATGGTCCACATCTTGAGTTTTGAGTTTTGTGTTTTGTGTGTGGGTTTTTTCTTTTTCTTTTTTTTTTTTTTTTTTAAATTGAAATATATAATCTCACTCTGTTGCCCAGGCTGGAGTACAGTGGTACTATCACAGCTCACTGCAGCCTCAAACTCTTGGGCTCAAGCAATCCTCCCACCTCAGCTTCCTTAGTAGCTTGACTACAGGTGTGCACCACCACGCCTGGCTAATTCTTTTTTATTTTTTATTTTTTAGAGGCAGTATCTCACTATGTTGCCCAGGCTGGGTCTCGAACTCCTGGCCTCAAGCGATCCTCCCACATCAGCTTCCTGAAGTGCTGGGATTACAGGTGTGAGCCACCGCACCTGACCCAGATGTGCGTTTTAAAATTCATTGCAAACACAAAGATATTGGGATATTTCAGGAAAAAATCTGAAGTCCTAGCTTCTTTCAGAGTCAGAGGATCCAGCCACTGTGGGTTCCCAATGGCACCTGGTATCAGTCAGCAGGAGCTAAGGGCAGCTGCCCAGGGACCAGGACCCCACCCAGCCTCATCACTCACTGCCATGGCCTGCTGGCTACAAGGGCACATCTGAGCTGCAGCCCCACACGCTCCGCCTGGCTTCGTACCCCATGCTAGAGCTACATTGTCCAGTGCGATGGCCGTGAGGCACAGCACTTAAAATGTGGCTAGCCCCAATTGAGATGTGCTGTAAGTGTGAATTCACACAGGATTTTGTAGACTTAATACCAGAAAAAAGCATGTAAAATGTCTCAATCATGTTCATATTGATTATACATTCAAATGATAATTTTAATATATTCATTTAAATAAAATGTTATTACAATTAATTGCGCCCATTTCTTTTCTAATGTAGCTACTAGAACTTTCGAAACTGCATATGTGGCTCACACTGAATTTCTTATGACTAGCACTGTTCTAGAATATTGAAGAATTCTAGAATATCGGCTATCGAATATTGTACAGCAGGGTGGCGACAGCTGTCTCGGGAGCTGGTCAGCCTCTGCTTTCTTTGAGTCCAAGGTGGGAGGACGCTAGAGATTCCACCCCACGGAAAGTGGCAAATCAACAAAACGACACACTTACTTCTCTCCCATTGTTACAGTCACATAGTCAGTCACGGCCCGATAGACCCGATCCACACGGAAACAGCGCAAAATAAGCAACTTCTGGAAAGGGGTGATGTTGTTATCGTAACCCAAGGGGACGGGAAACTGCTCCAGTGAATCCAGGTCATACCACTGGGAAAAGCAAAGAATATTCATTGTGCGTCAACTCAGAAATGACATAGGTCCCCATTTATGTGTGAAGGTGGCAAAAGCCACTGGAAAGGGACGAGAATCCATAGGTGTACTAACTGAAGGCCACCTGGTCAGATCTGTCATTCTCTACCCCCAAAGGCTATGACATTGAGAAAGGAGCAACTGAGTCTTATTCACTGAGTCCCCAGTGCCCATCAAGGGACATGGTACATGGCAGATGCCCAACAACTATTTCTTGGATGGACGGGTGTGTAGGTGGATGGATGAGTGGGTGCATGGATGGATGGATGGATGGATGAGTAGATGGGTGGGTGGGCAGATGGGTAGATGAATGGGTCGGTGGGTAAATGGATGGATGGGTGGGTGGGTAGGTGGATGGATGGATGGACGGACGGACAGGTAGATGGTTGGATCTCCCATACAACTAGCTGAATTAGCCAAAGGAGAATTCCAATCAGGGAGTTACAGGGCATCAGTTACACACTGAATGGGTTACTCAAAGGAGTGTCTTCTCTTAAGGGGTTGGGCCACAGTTGAGGTTTGGAGATTGTTGACATGTGGGGAAGGAGAGGAGGAGAAAGGGAACGTGGGCTCACCTCCTGCCAGACAGTCTGATTATTCTCAACATCATCAGGAAGTTGCCCAAAGTTGTCTGAAAACATTTCTGATAAAAGAATGATATCTTCCCATCCTTGGTCAGACAACCAAGCGCAGGGCTTTTTTCTTTTGCTTTTCTCCAGGGAAATGTTTCCTAATCACAACAGAAGAGAAGCAAGCAGCCATTGTACCACTAACACAAAGCAAGCAACTCTGCTTCGACTTCTCCCACTTTTGGGAAAAGTCCACTTTTCAAGAAGGAGACTGGAAACAGGAAGTGGCCCAGGCTTGCCCTCGTCACCGCCAGTGACACCAACCAGGCGCTCAGTGCAGCATCCAGCTTCCAGCCTCAGGATGGCCCCGAGACAGAGGCTGGCTGCTCCGATTTCAACCAGAGCCATTTCTGAGGCTGGAATGATCAACTGGAATAGTGAAAAATGCAGTGCTGTTGGAAGCCAAGTTTTAAGGAGAATTTTTGTTATTGTTTGTTTCAACAGACAAACTTATATACATGTATCATGTGGGCAAGGAGATGGGAGGAATGAAGCTAGGCAAATTCATTACCTTTTAAAAAGAAATCTAGTTCTTCTTGAGGGACTCTCCCTTCTGCTTGTTCTATCTTGATGGTCATATTAAAAGAAAAGAGTAGCTTGTGCCTCTCAAACAGCCCTGGAGGGAAACATCAGATGAGTATTGATTTCTTAAAATTCATTTTTAAAAAACTGAGTTTCTTATGCACACTGTGCTTAAACGTAAGATAAATGAAACACTCGAACTGTATGGCTGCATTTACCCCTCTTTGCACCTAATGTCCATGAATATCTAAGTTCAAGAGAGATGAGCTCAGTTCCTAGGTCATGCCCCAGTCTGTAGTGACATGCTCCTGTATGTAACGGAAATGGCCATGTCTACAGGAGGTAAAATCACACCAACCTGGGAAGAGGAAAAGCCAGTGAGGGGCAGTACAGCAGGGGCAGCCCTCTCCACTGAAGGCAGGTTGTTTGCCTGACTCCATGGCATTTGTGTCCATTAGAGTCTAGAAGAGGTGTTGGCAAACTTTCTACAAAGGGCCAGATAGTAAATATTTTTGGCTTTGGAAGCTAGATGGTCTCTGTCATAACCACTCAACTCCGCCATTGTAGTGCAAAAGCAACCATAGACAATATGTATACAAATGGATATGGCCCTGTTCCAATAAAACTTTATTTACAAAAGCAGGCAGTGGGCCAGATTTGGATGCTGGCTAGGGGGTTGCCAACCTCTATTGCAGAGGACACACACTCCATCAACAGACTCTTTATTAATGGATGCAAAATACCAGCGTTCTTCTTTTTTGCTTTTTAACAGAAGACATGTGTTCCTGGAAAAAAAAATTGTTTAAGTCAAAATTTGTAATTTGAATTCTACTTTATATGTGTTAGGAGGGTTGGCTACTTAAGTGAGCCCTATAGAAACAATCTCTTTTCTGCCCAACTGTTAAGGGCTAAATTATATTTCTCCAAACTTCCTATGTTGAAGCCCCAACTTCCAGTACCTGAGAATATGACAGTATTTGGAGACAGGGTCTTTAAATAGGTGATTAAGTTCAAATGAGGCCATTAAGGTGGGCCCAGTCCAACCTCACTGGTGTCCTTATAAGAGGAGGAAATTTGGACACACAGAGACACCAGGGATTCACACGCAGAGAAGAAAGACCTTGTGTGGACAGAGCAGGAAGACAGCCTCCTACAAGCCAAGGGGAGCATCCTAAGGAGAAACGAAACCTACCAAAACCTTGATTTTGGACTTCTGACCTCCAAAACTATGAGAAAATAAATTTCTGTTGCTTAAGCCACCCAGTCGGTGGTATTTTGTTATGGCAGGCATGGCAAACTAATACACCAAACGCTGGTGCATGGAAAATATCACTGTCAGTACAGTGTCTCAGCAGAAGAGGACTGGAAAGGGACACGAGTGTGTCCTACCCACCCTCTGCTTCCTAAAGGTCACTCTACAGGCCCCTGGTTAAAAATGGCCATTCTGAGTTTATCCCAACTCCTTTTCAAAAACCAACTGAAATGGTGAGTTTTTTTGTTTGTTTGTTGTTTTTGTGCAGTGGCGCGATCTCGGCTCACTGCAACCTCCGCCTCCCGGGTTCAAGCCATTCTCCTGCCTCAGCCTCCCCCCCAGTAGCTGGGACTACAGGTGCCTGCCAACACGCCCAGCTAATTTTTGTATTTTTAGTAGAGACGGGGTTTCACCAGGTTGGCCAGGATGGTCTCCATCTCTTGACCTCATGATCCGCCCGCCCTGGCGGCCCAAAGTGCTGGGATTACAGGAGTGAGCCACCGCGCCTGGCCTAATGGTTAGTTTTTTAAAAAGGTATAAGCTCCCAGAAAATTGGAGAAAAGACAATAGCAATAAAATTTTGCAAGCTAGGCCAGGTGTGGTGGCTCACATCTGTAATCCTAGCACTTTGGGAGGCCGGGGTGGGCAGATCACTTGAGATCAAGAGTTCGAGACCAGCCTGGCCAACATGGCAAAACCCTGTCTCTACTAAAAATACTAAAAATTAGCTGAGTGTGGTGGTAGGTGCCTGTAATCCCAGCTACTTGGGAGGCTGAGGCAGGAGAATCACTTGAACCCAGGAGGCGAAGGTTGCAGTGAGCTAAGATCGCACCACTGCACTCCAGCCTGGGCAACAGAGTGACATTCTGTCTCAAAAAAAAAAAAAAAAAAAAAAAAAAAAAAAAAAAAAAAACTGCAAGCTACAGACAGATGGACAAGTGATAACTGATTTAGCAGAGCTGAGAAAGTTGACTCTCACATGAGGAGGAGATAAAGCTGAGATGCAAACCACAGAACACATCAAAAGCTCAGGAACTGGCAGTACCAGATCCTTTGGAAGTGTGGGTGAATATGGGCTAAAAACAGGAAGATGGGTGGACAGCTTGTTTGACAAGCCGTCAGATCCCAGATCCCCTCTCACTCCATGCTGCCAGGCAACTGCCTGCCCCACCCAAGTGAACTTTGGAAAAGATAAAGCAGGGTCTCTGGACGGGGGAACACCAGGCATAGTTGAGGGTAAACCGTACTGAAAATATGGCTTTCAGTGAACGTTTTCACGACGAATGCTGAAATCGACAGCCTTCTTTTCTCACTTGGTTCCACGAAGGCTGGCAGCCAGGATTACATACTCTAGGAAAAGGCTGAAGACTCTTCACTGGGGAATCCTAAAGTCTCATGAGAAAAGAACTACATGTATTGGCATTTGAGAGTTCCTCCAATGACACACTACAGAGAGGCGAGCACAAAATTCAGACGACGGGAAACAACCCAGCAATCAGGTAGGTTTCTTCCACAGATAAATGCAAGGGGTGGGGCAGACACGGTGGCTTATGCTTCTAATCCCAGCACTTTGGGAGGCCGAGGCAGGAGGATCCCTTAAGCCCAGGAGTTCAAGATCAGCCTGGGCAACATGGCGAGACCACCATCTCTACAAATTTTTTTTAAAAATTAGCCAGGCATGGTGGCATGCACCTGTAGTCCCAGCTACTGAGGAGGCTGAAGTGAGAGGATCACTTGAGCCTGGGAGGTGGAGGTTGCAGTAAGCTGTGATTGTGCCATTGCACCCTAGCCTGGGCATCAGAGCCAGACCCTGTCTCCAAAAATAAACAAACAAAAATAAAAATAAATGCAAGGGGGAAAAGAGAGAAATTAAGTGACACAACCAATTATAATGTATAGACCTTAATGAGGTCCTGATTTAAAATAATGTGAAACATGACATATAAGACAATTGGGAACATTTGAAAACCTGAATATGATGATATTCAGGAATTATTAATTTGGGGATATGATAATGGCCTTATGTCTATGTTTTGAGATAGAATCCTTCTATTTTATAGCAGGGATGGGCAAACCACAAGCAAGGGGCCAAATCCAGCCTGCTGCCTGTTTTTGCTAAAAAAGTTTTATTGGAACACAGCCATGGCCATTCACTTCCATATCATCCAATGGCTGCTTTTGTGCTACAATTGCCACCATGCCCAGTGGGGCCTGTGGCACACAACTGCAGAAGTGAGTAGTTGTGGCAGAAATCACTTAGCCTTCAAAGCCTAAAACACTTACTATCTGACCCTTTCCAGAAAAAGTTTGCTGACCTCTGTTTTAGAGATACAAACTAACATACTTACAGATAAGTGATCTGAATATGAAGCAAATTTTCAACATAATCTGGGTTGATGGGGAACCGTGTTACATATAAACAAATCCAGAGCTAATCATTGCCAGGTGAGGGCTGTGCAGACGATCACGACACTATTCTCTTTTGCATATGTTTTCCATAATAAAAAGTCTTTTGAAAAAATCAATGATTTAGGGGTTTAAATATACTGTAGTCACTTTGGAAAACAGTTTGGCAGTTCCTCAAAAGTTAGACATAGAATTACCCTATGACCCAGCAGTTCCCTTTCTAGATATACCCCCAAGAGAATTAAAAACACACATTCACACAAAAACCTGCACACAAATGTTCACAGGAGCATTGCCTTAATAGCAAAACAAGCGAAACAACCCAAATGCCCATCAGGTGACGGGTGGATAAACACAGTGCGGTCTGTCCATACATGGAATGTGACTCAGCCACAGGCAGGAATGAAGCGCTGACACACGCAGCAACACGGATGAACCGTGAGGTCACGGAGTGGAGTGAAAGATACCAGTCATGAAGTCACACACCGTATGATGCCATTGACATGAAGTGTTCAGAGCAAGTAAATCCTTACAGATGGAAGGCAGAGCGGTGACTGCCAGGGACTAGGAGTGGGGGGCCAGGGGGTGACTGCTAATGGGTATGGGATTTCATTTCGGGGCTGGTGGAAACGTTCCGGAGCCAGAGAGTAGTGATAGCTGCACAACTCTATGTATATGCTATGAATCACCACCGAATGGTATATTTTTAAAGGACGAATTTATGGTATGTAAATTGTGTCTCAATAAAGCTGCTATCTTAAAATTCAGTGCTTTAAACATTCCTCTTGTAACATGAATCGCCAGACTCAAGAATGCCATTCGGAGCTGGGCATGATGGCTCACACCTCGTAATCCCAGCACTTCAGGAGGCCAAGGTGGGTGGATCGTTTGAGCTCAGGAGTTCGAGACCAGCCTGGGCAACATAGTGAAACCCCATCTCTACAAAATATACAAAAACTTAGCTGGGTGTGGTGGCGTGCCTTTAGTCCCAGCTACTCTGGAGGCTGAGGTAGGAGGATCACCTGAGCCTGGGAGGTGGAGGTTGCAGTGAGCCGTGATCGCACCACTGCATTCCAGCCTGGGTGATGGAGCAAGACCCTATCTCAAAAAAAAAAGAAAAAGAAAGAAAGAAAGAAAAAAGAAAAAATGCTATTTGGTAACTTTCCATTTTCACAGATCACGTTTCCTTAAAGCCACGTCTGGCACACCAAACTACACTAACATGTCCTCCTCTGTGGGGAGAGCTCACCTGTGCAGCCGTGGTTATAGATGCTGAAGGTCAGCGTGTCCATGATGTTCCTCAGGCGTTTCATGAGGATGGAATCAGGCAGCGACTTCTTCAGTGACAGCCTGAAGACCTCTAAGAAGGCAATCAGGGAGTACTGGTACATGGAGTTCACCAGGGCCATCTCAGACAGGACGAAGAACAGGATGGCCCCCCTCCTGGCTGCTGGCCGGTAGCCATCCCGCAGCCTGTCGATGTCCAAGGCTGTCTTCTCCGCCAGCTTGAGTTTCTCTGAGACCTGAAGAAAAGCACAGGTGACCCTGGAAACAGGAAGACTGAGATGTGGGCAGAGGGCAGGAGGGGCAGGGGGACAGCAGAGAGGTATGTACAATGCTTCAGGGCTTTGAAAGTATCCAGGGACTGCAGGGGAGCGAGGGCACCCACCCTCTTGTAGGAAGGGGTGAATATTTGTGGCTGACGCCCCTGCACCCATGGCCCCTTCCCCTAGTAACACTGCTTGTAAGTCTCCGGTACTGCCCTCTCCCTTTTCTTCCCATATGGGGTTCCACCCCGACTCCAGGAGATGTGACCCAGGGCCAGCTAACCTGAGCCTAGCATCCCCAAGCTCCCAGGGCTGCTTTGGGGTAGAAACGTGACCTAAGTGACTCTCAGGACCTTCACGGTAGGAACAGGAAGATTCTCACTTACCCCTTTGGGTTTGGACCCGAGAGGACGTGAGGCCAGACCAGTCTTATGACCATGTGGGGAGCTGGCAGAGAATGACGCCAACCCAGTAGAAGGCCCAGCCCAGAAATGGACAGAAACCAGGTCCTCCTGGTATTTTTGAAGTCCTGGATCCAGCCCCACCTGAGGCCATCTCTGAACTTTTCTGCTTTCTCAGCTGATAACTTCCCTTTTGACTTAAGCCAGGCAGGGCTGGATTTTCTATCACTCTCGATTTAAAGAGACTGACCTGATGCCCAAGGGTCCCTGGGAACACCTTTAGGGCTCCCCTCCCCACAGCACATCCCAATAGAGGTGGGTTTTTAGCCCTGAGATCACAGAGCCCCATTTTCTCATTGAGCAGACAGAGAAATGGACGCTCCAACGGCGCATGCAGGCCCCGCCTGACTCACGGCCTCTTCCACTGTGGTTGCTACCTCTGTTGCCTTGGATTTGGTCTCCTCCAGGGTGTGCACCAGGTCCACATTGTCCAGCATGTTCCCCGTGGACGTGGCCAGCTCCCGAAGGAGGGAATCTTCCAGGTCCTTGAGCAGGTTCTTGTTCTCGCTGGTCTCCTGGATGAGGTGCTCCCGCTGCTCCTCCAGCTCCCGCCTCTCGTAAGCCACCAGCACGCTCAGCAGCTGGTCCTCCAGGCCCTTCAGCGTGACTGTGGGGGACAGTGAGAGGCCCTCACCACCTGCGGCCCCCAACAACAGTCTCTCCCGCTGCCCTGCTGTGACGGGACAAGCTTAGCGCGGGTCTCAGCCAGCAGGCCAGAGGCACGAGGATTCACTGCCCACCAAAGTCACTCTAGAGCAGCAAGGTGGCAGGCAGGAGCAAAACAGCGATGCTGTGGTGCAGAGTGGCAGATAAAAAGGAAAAAACACACTGAAATAAAACCCAGGCTTCCACGGACTGGGGTGCCATAGTTTAAAGTATACCCAGACTGGGCGCAGTGGCTCATGCCTGTAATCCCAGCACTTTGGGAGGCAGAGGCAGGAGGATCACTTGAGCCCAGAAGTTTGAGCCCAGACAACACAGACAAACCCCATCTGTACAAAAAAAGAAAAAGAAAAAAGAAAAGAAAGTACATCCAAATCAAATTAGCCTATTTAAGCAGGAGCATGACAGCCCTAGAGAATGTAAGAGATAACATCCCATTTCTATCAGAATTCAACTGAGAGGAAGAAAAAAAAAATTCAACATCACAACATGTATTTTAAATACACGAATATAGAGTAACTTCCTGCCCCCACAGTCAGAGGTCCCATCCCACCCCATGTGTGAACACATAAGCCCACGGCCCCGTCTCAGCGTGACTCATGACAGGTGACTCATGGCCTCACACCTTCTAAGTGGTACCTAATTGGTAAGAGCTGACTAGTCCAGATGTGCCTATGAGAGAATGATCTGGGGTCACTGAGTGAAATGATGTCCCATGAATGCCTTGATCTGAGGTTGCGGTCTCCCTCATAACCATCTGAATTAGCAGTGGAGGTTCTACACATTCTTACCAGTGTAATTGATCACCATAGCTTTCCCAAACACGGATGGGGAATATCTGGGATTGGCCAGCTTGGTGTTCAGGTACAGTCTGAAATTTGAATCATAGTCCACTTCCTTGTCTCCCAGGATAATAAACTGCCGTCCTTGGGAGACTTTTATATTTTTTTCTAAGACGTTGTCAATCACAGGATCGATGTATTCATCAACATCGCGGAACAGGAAAGGGGTCCCGTACTTTATGGACATCTCTAGCTGCTTGAGGAAGTCAGGGTCATTAAAGGAAGCGACCTGGAAGAGAAGGGAGGCAGATGCTGAAAGCCCACGTTTAACTGTGGCCCTGCCAAATATAAGGGGAGAATGGCTTGGAAGTGGGAAGTGGATGGGCCAGGAACTTGGAGGGGGCCAGAGGTGAAAAGAAGAGAGAAGCAAGGGGTATAACGCATATACACCATGAGGTCCAGGCTCAGGGCAGGATCTTGCTCAAACAGGGTAGAGAGGAAAGGAAGGGGATTCCTCAGCCCCTCTCCCGTAAGCTAGAACCCCTCCTCTTTAAGAGAGAGGGTAGATGTTGGAATTGGACTAGGGGTAGGCTGACAATTTCAGTGCTCCCTGGCAGGCTGAGGGAAGAGGGAGTCTAGAAAAGTTCCTGCCCTCATAGTATTTGCTCCCTGATAGCTCCATGTGCATTTTGGAGGCAGACTGTTCCCCTGACCTTGGAGTACAAATGGGCTTCCTCTAACAGCAGGCAAATACCTGAGATCAAGGACCAGAAAAAAATGAGGAAAAGCTAAATTGAAAATAATTAATTTGTTCATTAGCTCAGCAAAAAGTGATTGGGCCGCCCCGGCAATTCCATTCCTAGGTATCGCCCCAAGAGAACTGAAAACACATGGCCACATAGAAACGTGTGCACCAACATTCACAGCGGCATTCTTCAAACAGCCAAAAAGTAGGACAACCCAACTGTCCCTCAGCAAATGGATGGATGAACACAATGTGTCTGTTCATACACCGGAATATCATTCAGCCCAAGGAAGGAATGACGCCCTGATGCACTACAGCAAGGACGGACCTTGAAAACATCAGGCTGAGTGAAAGGCGCCAGACACAAAAGGCCACACAGCGTCTGAGTCCATTCCTAAGAAATGTCCAGAGGAGGCACATTCACAGACGGAAAGCAGATGAGTGGCTGCCAGGGGCTCGGGGAGGGAGAAACGGAAGGACTGGAGGGGTGATGGCTAAAGGATGTAGCATTTCTTCCAGGGATAATAAAAATGTTCTAAGACTGACTCTGGTGATTGGTATACAACTCTGTAAATATACTAAAACTCAAACTGAATTGTATGTTTTCAGTGGGGGAAAGGTGTGGTATGTGAATTACATCTCAATCAAGCCATTACTCTCCCCTCTCCTCCCCTGCATCCCCATCCCCCACCTCAGCTCCAAAAAATAGTGACTGAGCACCCAGACCACGAACCCCGTACTGGACAGAGGAACACGAAGCTAAGGTTGCTCACAGCCTGCGAGGGGAGAGGCAGAGTTCATGGCGGTTTGAGCTGCCCTGGCAGACCCACGGGGTGGAGGCGGAGGCGGAGCCGGGGGAGGGCTCCGCATGGGGGTCAGGATGGAAGCATTTCAGCCCAGCCTCGCTGAGGCTAGGGACTGCCACGTACAGGAGGCGGGAGGGGCATTCTCCAGAGAACAGGAATAGGGGGCAGAAGACGCCCTGGGAGGAGCCACCATACCCGCAGATTGTTCTTCTCCTCTTTTCTCTTGATCCAGTTGAGGGCCTGCTGCTGGGGGTCGATACACAGAGGGAAGCGGCTGGCCCGGGTGGTGAGGATGCCATTCTGAACGGAGAGCTCATCGGGGGGAAGGCCCTGGGATCCCCATCTGGAAGAAACAGCCATTGGGAAATGAATTTTTCTCACCAATTTGTGAGCCAAGGGCTAAGGGTGGTAGGACTGGCCTTCCAGAACAATCTACCCATCCCCAGGCCACACAAGCCTCCTCAGAGGCCAGGGAGAAGGGCTCCGTGCTGGGTTTGCAGCTTGCCCGGCCACTTCCATGCAGTCGAGCCAACTGTGGTCCTGGTGATGCCCCCCAGGCCATTGCCTCCCCCCAGGGTGACACCCACGTAGACCCCCTGTGCTAAGGTGTCCCCTCCCTCCTGCTGGCTCAGGGTGCCACACACCTGCTGATCTCAACATCATCCGTGAGCAGGCTTTCCAGCCGGAAAGGCTGGCTCAGGGGGATCTCCCGCTCCAGGATGTCATTTTGCCAAATCCGATTGACCATCTCGTCACGGAACTCCCAGGTGAAGGCTCCCTCGTAGCTGAGGAAAGCCGCGCAGAGCAGGCAGTCCCCCAGCAGCTTCACGCGCCGGTGCATCAGCTCATCCAGGTCGTTCAGCCACCTGGCACGGGAGGAGAGGGAGGCTGCCGTGAGTTTACCTTCTGGCCACAACCAAAAGGAACATTCCAGAAGAACCAGCTTGATACCTTGCTAACAGGGCTAGCCAGATGGAAACATGTTTTGAGATATTCTTTCCTTGTGAGGAACAGAGACCAACAGCTTATCTTGCAACTTCCCACCCTAGTGAACCTGGTATTTGGAGCCAGCATCAAGCAGGGGGCTCAGTAAAGGCCTGTGGTCTTTATTAAGCAGTAATCACATTGCGTGGATCATATTAAGTAGTAATCACGTTGTTTCTGAAGCCTTAATCAAAGACATATAAATCAGCCCGGCAGAGCTAACAAGTTCTGGCCTCACTCAATGACAGAATTCCACCCAAGATAAAAGAAAGCGTCTGTTTCATTTGTCCTCTTTCAGTAAATGCCCCAAGACTTAGGTTTAAGAAATACTGAAAATTGTTTCCCACACGCAAACAACATTTTTCAGTGTTTTCTACACCACACTTACAGATGCTAGATTCAAAATTGTTGCCCTATTTGGTGAATAAGCTGTGGCCAAGCGGTCTTGCCCATAAATATCAAACAGCCCCATCACTTAAGACTGAAGCCCAGGATTGAACAAGCCACTGGGACCCTTAGAAGGCATCTGTGCGGTGACAGAGATGGGCTTCTCCCACAGACTCTTCTAGAAAAGACCCAGGGGTTAGAGGTCACCAAGAAGTGAACACTTCCCAAACCTAGAGCACCCTGCTAAATGGTATGGATTCCCCCGTCTCCACAGCTGCACTGCCTCCTTGACCCTTAGTAATTAATAAATAACACTCAGTGCCTAATACAAACAAGAGCCTATAAAATAGCCATTAGCTGCCATAAACATGATAATAGGAACATAAGACCTGGTCACATGGTTTTCACATAAAAACACAACGTGAGATAAAGAATCAACATGGCGAGAAACTCTGTGGGTGACGTCCGTTTACAAACCGCAACAGGTGGGCTCGTGAGCAGCGCTAACCTGATGTTTTCTGACCCCAGACCCGAGATGAGTTTGTCTGCGGCAATCAGCCGCCTCTCCATGATCTCGGCTTCTTCCTGCAGCTTCTGCTTTTCCAGTATGGCGGCCTCATATTTGGCACCCAATGTTTCCAGCTCTTTCTGAATTGCTGCCAACTCATTCTGGATCCTTTCCAGTTCCCGTTTAGTGAGGTAAAAATTCCGCTCCAGCCTGGCCACCTAAGTGAAGACAATTTGCAAAAAGATGGGGAAAAGGACCGTGGTGGGGCCGCGATCCCATGGCCTCAAACCAGGCCACATGTCTAAACTGCTCTAATGGTGTCTGTGCTTTTCAGAGCCTCTATATGCTATGTTGAGACACGTGGCTTCTTAGTTTCTTCTTCGACTGTTTGCTGCAAAAACTCCATGTCCCATTAGAAGACACAGCACCCAAGTTATCAAATGGTTTTACTTTCATGTACTGAGGTCTCCGTAAGATGACACTGTGGTTCTAAGTCAAAAACTCAGAAGAATATACCATAGACAGTAACAGTATTTCTATTGGTTCCAAGCTTTCTGAATAATACAATTCCGAGCTATAGCGCAAGGTCACAATATGACTCAAAATGATCAAATTAACCTTATTCTCTTTGTATTTTGTGATCTTCATGTGACTTTGGCCCCGCTGCTCTCAACTGCGGTAGGTTTTGTCCCCCAGGGGACGTTTGGTACTGTCTGGAGACATTTCTGGATGTCACAGCTTGGAGGGAGGGTGCTGCTGGCATCCAGTGGGGTGAGGCTGAAGATGCTGCTAAACATCCTATAGTGCCCAGGACAGACCCCCCCAGGACAGACCCCCCCCCAGGACAGACCCCCCAGGACAGACCCCCCAGGACAGACCCCCTGCGGGAAAGACCCCCCCCGGGACAGACCCCCCCCAGGACAGACCCCCCCGGGACAGACCCCCCAGGACAGACCCCCCCAGGACAGACTCCCCCAGGACAGACCCACCCAGGACAGACCCCCCAGGACAGACCCCCCCCAGGACAGACCCCCCCGGGACAGACCCCCCCCAGGACAGACCGCCCCAGGACAGACTCCCCCAGGACAGACCCACCCAGGACAGACCCACCCAGGACAGACCCCCCCCAGGACAGACCCCCCAGGACAGACCCCCCCCAGGACAGACCCCCCCCAGGACAGACCCCCCCGGGACAGACCCCCCCAGGACAGACCCCCCCCCAGGACAGACCCCCCAGGACAGACCCCCCCCCAGGACAGACCCCCCCAGGACAGACCCCCCCAGGACAGACCCCCCAGGACAGACCCCCCCAGGACAGACCCCCCCCCAGGACAGACCCCCCGGGACAGATCCCCCAGGACAGACCCCCCAGGACAGACCCCCCCCAGGACAGACCCCCCGGGACAGACCCCCCGGGACAGTCCCCCCGGGACAGACCCCCCCCAAGGACAGACACCGCCCAGGACAGATGCCCCCAGGACAGACCCCCCAGGACAGACCCCCCCCCAGGACAGACCCCCCAGGACAGACCCCCCCCCAGGACAGACCCCCCAGCACAGACCCCCCAGGACAGACCCCCCCCCAGGACAGACCCCCCAGGACAGACCCCCCCCAGGACAGACCCCCCAGGACAGACCCCCCCCCAGGACAGACCCCCCCCAGGACAGACCCCCCAGGACAGACCCCCCCCAGGACAGACCCCCCAGGACAGACCCCCCCCCAGGACAGACCCCCCCCAGGACAGACCCCCCCAGGACAGACCCCTCCCAGGACAGTCCCCCCAGGACAGACCCCCCAGGACAGACCCCCCTAGGACAGACTCCCCCAGGACAGATCCCCCCCGGGAAAGACCCCCCCCGGGACAGACCCCCCCAGGACAGACCCCCCCCGGGACAGACCCCCCAGGACAGACCCCCCCAGGACAGACTCCCCCAGGACAGACCCACCCAGGACAGACCCCCCAGGACAGACCCCCCCCAGGACAGACCCCCCAGGACAGACCCCCCCCAGGACAGACCCCCCAGGACAGATCCCCCAGGACAGACCCCCCACCACCACCAGGCCACATTCAGCTGCAGCTGAGAAACTCTGCTTTGACCCTAGAGAAACAACTTTAAACATCTTTACGTCATTTTTTTTTTTTTGAGACAGGGTCTCACTCTGTCACCTAGGCTGGAGTGCAGTGGTACAATCACAGCTCACTGCAGCCTCCCAAGTAGCTGGCAGTACAGGTGTGTGCCACCATGCTCGGCTAATTAAAAAACTTTTTTTTTGTAGAGACAGGGTCTCACTATGTTGCCCAAGCTGGTTTCAAACTCCTGGGCTCAAGTGATCCTCCCATCTGGGCCTTCCAAAGTGCTGGATTACAGGCATGAGCTACCACGCCTGGTCTGAACATCTTTATACTACACTTTCACAGGAAGTTTGAAACTCTTTCAGACCTCGGTCTTGTCCACCACCCACACTATGCCTAAGTGATAGTGGTGTTTCAGGATTGCCATTTATTGGGTGGTGGAGGGAAAGTTTATGCAGCTTGAAGTCAGAACCTCGGGAGAAGTTTTTCAGCAAAGGTATGTACATGTGAATTCTGACTCTGAATGGGTCCCTTGGCAGTGGTGTGGCAGTCTTACATTCGGGCAATACCTTCTCTCTTTTGGGCTTGATTTCTCTGAAAACATCACAGTAGCCCATTACAGCTTCAACAAATTTCAGCATCCCCAGCCCGGCTTTGCTGACAGCTTCCATTTCTTCAGTTGTGGTATTAAGAGTCTTCAAGAGGCCTAACGTGAAACATGCAATAATTTTTATGAGTGGCAAGCTTCATCTTGGGAGCATAAAATAGACAAAATAAGCATAACTAGTTTCTTATTCTTCAGTGGCCCTGTGAGCAGAATGCACAAAGCTCTCCTACGGCCAACAGCGTGGTGTCAAACCAAGATGGGTTCTGCATAAACGGATGTTTCAGATGTGGGCAAGGGACATGGTTTACTGCCACCCAGGACGCAGGTGTCACACAGGAGACCCAGGGCGTAACGGAGACTCCCAACTGGGCACCCAGGTGGCTAACTGGAATTCACAGGCCACTACAGGTCACCTGTTACCTTCACCCGCACCCTCACCCCAGGAGTAATTTCACATAAACGGAAGTCCATCCAATGAAGATTCAGACAGAGGGAGTGCCTTGGGTTTTTGTAGTGGTTGGGGTCATTTGTGTTGAGATTGCTTTTGTTTTTAAGGGGCTAAGAAAAAGCATTTGATAAGAGTCTAAATAAACCATCAAACACAGCGTTAACTTGTATTGCTTTTCGCAAAGACTAACACCATTACACTATCACCGCCTGGCTGAGCACTGGGCAGGGTCAGGAACTGAGCTCAAGGGGAACTCAGTCCTATAACCAAAGATGGAGGAGAGGCTGGCCATCAGTGATGCTGCCCACCCCCATGCCCACTCCCCAGGGACCTCCAGAAGACTTGACACTGACAAGAGGAGAAAGGGGGGAAGTCAAGGTCAGACTAGCTCTGGGCTTCTGCATGTGCACTGAACAGCACTGGGTGAGATGCACAGAAGACAAGGCTGGGCTAGGTTCCAATGAGAAGATCCTGTTTCCTGACACGGAGAGCTAGGACTAGTGCCGAATCGAACCCTCAGTGGGCACGGCTGCCGCCGCGCATCCCCAGCCACTCTCCCTGGGTCACGTCATGGGGCTGCTGTTTTCCTCTGGTGACCATCAGTTGCCTGTTCCATCCGATACCATCTGACCAGAAGGGGAGGGCCTGCCCACGACAAGCCTCCTTGCCCTCCATCCCTGTCCCAGAGCCTGAGATGCCAGACCGAGATCCACCCTGGCGATTCCCACACGTGGCTACACTCACCTTTGATGTTTTTCACTTGGCTCTGGGTAATCGAATCAAAATCAATCTCCATCAGAGACCGCAGGAAATTCGGGTCGGACATCACGCCCTTGGCTGTTTTCCAGTTCAGCTCTTTGTACCCTTTCATGATGAGGATGCATTCGCAGACCGTCTGCACCTGCTTCGGGGGCTTAGCAAACGACCTGGCAAGAAACCAAGGCACGTGGGTCACAACCCCGGGATGTGGCCAGGATCTGGCCTGAAAGAGAGCTCCAGAAAAACGAGCTCAACCAAAAGACAGTCCCTGGAGCTACTGCTGCAAGCAAACGAAAGAAGCCAGGTCCCAACACAAACCGCACTCCTGGGCGGGAGCGTCCCTAAGGGCAGGGCCGGGTCCCCCTCTCAGGTTCCAGACCAGGCGCCTGGAATGGTGCGGGGGCAGCATTAAAATACAAACCCAGGCCGTCCCCGGAGCGTCTGGATCAGTGGTTAGGGGGCAGCCTGAGCACCTATGTTTTAATTACACCCTCGGCTGATTCCTCAGACTCTAAATGGTGGCTGCCGTCATTATTGTCATTATCATCATCATCATCACCATCACCATCACCACCAACCATTATCTCTCCCCATTTACTAGATGGACAAACAGGGTCCTGGGAGCTTGCATGACTGGCTGTGCTGACACCGCCTGGGAAGCCTGGGGTCCCCGCATCCTGGGCTCTTTCCAGGCTATGTTGCCCCGTAATTGTGTTCTGTGGCTTTGATAAGACTAGATCATCACTCTGCTCCTCCAGAACGCAGATGTCCACTGCCCTTGTTCCTCTGGAGAACCAGAACTGCCAACGGAACAGGAGACAGAACAGCAGCGCTGGTACAAAGGCCAGAGAAGGAACCGAACCCATCTCACCGGGGCATCCCACTGCCAGGCAAGGTCAGTGAAAGCCACAGGAGTCTCCCAGACCACGCCATGGAAAGACAGAAGTGGAAGAGAACAGCACAGACAAGGCAAAGCAGGAGAGGAAGGAAAAGCAGGAGAGAAGAGCAGGAGACAGAGGTCCCGGAGGGCATGGATGCAGTGTGGGGGCGGCCAGGCAGGGGCCCAGGCATTTGTGCTCTGGTAGGAGGCTGGGGTGAGCCAGAGAAGAAAGAGGGGGATGGAGGGACAGAGGGGGAGACACATGCACAAGAACAGAGACAGGGAGACAGGGAGGAGACAGAGAGACAGGGAGGAGACAGGAAGACAGGGAGGAGACAGGGAGGGGACAGAGAGACAGGGAGGAGACAGAGAGACAGGGAGGAGACAGGGAGACAGGGAGGAGACAGAGAGACAGGGAGGAGACAGAGAGACAGGGAGGAGACAGGGAGACAGGGAGGAGACAGAGAGACAGGGAGGAGACAGCCTGAGCAGACAGCAACCTGGAGGCTTTCTGCAGTGAGCAAATCCCCCACCCCTCCTGACCCCGGAACCCTCACACACTCCCACACAGACAGCAGAGGAGAGAAGGCCCCATAGTGTACGGACAAGCCAGGGCAACAGCCAGGAGGGAGGGCGCCCACACTTCAGCACAAAGCCCAGTGATGAAAGAAAGGCCCTGAGTCCCCGGGAAAAGGCTCGATCACGCTGGTGTTGGCTGCTTAGGAAAGCGGCGGGGCTGTCAAGTGTCTTTAAAAGGTCCCTTCAGGGTGGATGGAAACCAGGCCCCGGCCACCGCTCTGTGAACAAGCAGGTGGGGAAAGAATGGGGCAGATGTTTTCAGATTCAAGACAGAAGGAGCCCAGGCCTGCGGCGGGGTCCTGAGCCCTTGGGCAAGTTAGGAACCAGCCAGGGCGTCAGTTTCCCCATCTGTGAAGTAGAGACGCAGAACTGGAACCTTCCAGTTCCCAAATCCTCTGAGTCTACCAAAGTGACGTTTTCTGCTGTTGGGTTGCAGGCCACGCTCTGGGATCTCACTTATCCAGAACATACCACTTTCCACAATGCCGGATGACCAAGGTGTGTGAAATGTGGAGGGTGCAAGTCAAGAGAAAGGGAGATGTCTGTTTAATTTGATTCCTTTCTTCTATCACAAAACAAACTCAGGAATGAGAAAGGGAGAATGATATGCTACCCTCCCTAGAGGAAAATAATCCTTATAAACCCCACTCCCCACCTCCCAGTACTCTACCCCTGACACACCAGCTGTCTCTGCTTTTTCTCCAGCCGAGCTCCTTGCAATCTCAGAGAAGGTGCCCCCTCCGCCCTCCATGACCATGACTAGGTCAGGTCCCAACATCCACTGTCAGAGCAGCAAGGACCTTTCCTTCCTAACCTAATCCTACATAATTTCCCCATGCACATGGGATTCCTATAGGAAAACAGAGTGTCAGCGCCACGCAGTGAAGACCCTGCCTGCCTCACTGCTGATGGGCCCCAGTGCCTGCTCAGGGCAGGGGTGGGGTGGGGGACAGACACCCACTGACTACTGAATGAATGAAAGGAAGAAAAGTGAAACTCAAGAGCCAGCAACAAAGGGAGGCTTTTATAGTTTTATAGTTAGAGAAACATCTACTTCTAATCTTCATGACTCTTCATCTTCCTGCCTTAACATTTAATGATTTCTACAAAGAGGATTGAGTATGATAAGAAGGAAGCGCTTTTTAAGGACTTAAAAGATTATAAAATTGTCAAGATGTAAGTGCCGGCTCATTGCGCTTAACATCCAAATGACCTGAGAAAAGCCAGATTTTACTCATCTGGAAAAACTCAAATTGGATCCAAACTCACACAGAACCCCAGGAAAAAAATCCTCAATAGATAAAAGATTTAAATATAAAAAATTAAAACATAAGAGTACCAAAAGAAATCATGGGGAAATTATTTTACAATCTTGCAGTGTGATCAGGCCTTTTAACTAGGACACAATATCCAAAAGCCACAAAATAGGTCGGGTGCGGTGGCTCATGCCTGTAATCCCAACACTTTGGGAGGCTGAGGTGGGTGGATCACCTGAGGTCAGGAGTTTGAGACCAGCTTGGCCAACATGGTGAAAGCCCATCTCTACTAAAAATACAAACATTAGCCGGGCATGGTGGTGGGTGTCTATAACCCCAGCTACTTGTGAGGCTGAGGCAGGAGAATCGTTTGAACCTGGAAGGCAGGGGTTGCAGTGAGCCGAGATCGCGCCACTGCACTCCAGCCTAGGTGACAGAATGAGACTCTGTCTCAAAAAATAAATTTAAAAAAAGCCACAAAGGCCGGGCGCAGTGGCTCACTCCTGTAATCCCAGCACTTTGGGAGGCCGAGGCGGGTGGATCACAAGGTCAGGAGATCGAGACCATCCTGGCTAACATGGTGAAACCCCATCTCCACTAAAAATACAAAAAAAAATTAGCCAGGCGTCGTGGCGGGCGTCTGGAGGTACTCAGGAGGCTGGAGCTACTCAGGAGGCTGAGGCAGGAGAATGGCGTGAACCCGGGAGGCGGAGGTTGCAGTGAGCCGAGATCGTGCCACTGCACTCCAGCCTGGGTGACTGAGCAAGACTCTGTCTCAAAAAAAAAAGCCACAAAATAAAATATTGCTAAAACCTGCCACATAAAAATAAACATAGATGGCAAAAACAAACACACACATAAACCTCATAAACAAAGTCAAATAGCCCATGACAAACCAGGAAAAGATTTGCAACTCACCTTATGGATAAAAAGCTGAGCTCCCCATTATATAAAAAGCCCCTGGAAATGGTTTTGAAATAAAAAGCAACAATAACCACGACCCAATAGATACGCAAACCAAGTTCACAGAAAAGGAAATACACATAACTCTTAGACACACTTTTCTCATAGGAAAAAAAAAAAAGGCCAGCTTCACTCACACTAAGAGAAATGCAAATTAAAACTACACAAGTACCACTCATCTACAAAATATGCAAAAATCCCAACATGTGATCGCGCCCCCTGTTGGTAAGTCTAGGAAAAAGCAGGTACTACTCGTTTGGATTGTTGGTGAGGATAAATAGGTTCCATCCCCACGGCGGGGATTAGGCAACAGCTATGAACACTATAAATGCCTACACCCTGGGACCCAGCAATTCCACTTCCAGAAATGTATCCTGCAGGTGGACTCGCCCACGTGCACAATGAACTATGGTCAGATTTATTCTTTGCCACGCTGTTTGTAAAGGCAAAAGACTGGAGACACAATCAATTTATTTAACAAACTCATCAGTAAGGCCTTGTTAAATAAATTACGGCACAGCCACACAATGGAATGTGAAGGAATGTTCTAAAATATCGGGGAAGTTCATCATACATCAACATGCAAAAGCTCTCCAAAATATACTGCTAAGCAGAAAAGATGCAGAAAGATATGCATAGGGTGTTATAATTTGTATATAAAAGAAGGAAAAAAGGATTTGCAGGCATCCCCTGCTCTCCAAACCCTCAGAACCTGAAGTCAGGAAGAGAAGAGACCCTTGTGTACCTGGTTGCCTTGGTCATGCATGAAAATCCTCAGGAAGTGTATATGAGAAATGATATACCCATACTACCTGTTGCAGTGTGGGAAGGTGACCACAGCTGATAGAGGACACAGTGGCCGTGGGCTTTTCCCAGCATACCTTTTGGATGCTGGAGCCATAATCACAGCTAATGCTTACATGGCTCTGACCATGTGCCCAGCCCAGTTCTTCACATATAGGCTCATATGATCCTCATGAAGACCCTGATGCAGCCGAGACAATTCTTATCCACATTTTACAAATGAAGAAACTGGAGCAAAGAGAGGTTAGATGACTTGCTAAACGTCACACAGCAAAGAGGCAGAGCCATGTATGAATGTGTAAAAATTATTCCTTTTGTACTTAGGCTTTCTCAGGGGTGAGCGGGGCACCTGTCTGCAATGCCTGTCTCACTGCAGGGGACACATGCCACGCCCTCTATTTGGCCCCATGGAAGCTCCCCCCCACTCCTCCACCTTGGATTGATGGAAGGGACTCACCGTTCCTTCTCTTCAAATAAATCCCCTTCAAAAATCCTTCCTAGTCTCTGCTTTCACGATGTTTTTATGCTGCTGACCTGGGAGCAGTGGCCCAAATCCTATCACCGGTAGCTAGAAATTTCCCTGGAGGATGTGTGTGCTGACCGTGTCTCCTACCCCTCCGCTGGGTGTGCACTTCCACTGTGTCCTGGTACCTCAGCCTAAACTTCCAACGCCTAGTGCTGAAGTTTTAATACATCGATCCTTATACCCTCCTTGACACCATCCTCAACACTGAACTAATGACTTCTTGCTGACCACAGCAGCACCTCCAAGTGACCTCCCAAGAATGAACCGGGAGGTCATTCTGTCCTGGAGTGAGCTGAATTCCATGCTCAAATTCACAAATGTTTCACCAATAAGAAAACAAGGGCACGGACTTGGACAAGGAGCGCTGCTCAGCCTTCACAGGCAGCACAGAGGCAGAGAAATAGGAAGCACAGGGAACATGCACCGCTCCAGCGGGAGCCCAGAATGGAAGCCCATTACTGACCCAGGAACGGAGCCTCTCGGCTGCGAGACCCGTGTGTGGGGCCAGGAAGACTGATCTCCTTCTGGATGAAGAGTGGGGAAGGAGAGAGCTGAGGCTCCCACGCCGAGGGGTCTGTGCGGGGCCAGGCAGCACAGGGGCAGAGGCAGTGGGCGGAGGCTGGCACCAGGACAGTGTTCCCTCCCAGGGCTTTACTCACAAGACTCAACTGACCATCAGAGCCCAGGAACAGTGCCCTGGGGAGGCCAAGCCATGCGAGGAGAAAGCTTGTTAGCCCACGCCACACCACGTTACCCTCGCTGACAGCAGATGAGCCCTCTGGTGTGGGGGACAGGGTCATCTTACAGATTGATTTGCAAGATGTATGGGGGCCTCAATAGTGACCTACTCTCACCCTCCTTGAAAGCTTCCTTGGCTGGAAATGGATTCAGGCATCGCCAGTCCGGCCGTGGTGTGCACACATCTCTGCAGAGCTGTTTTCAGCAGGGCTCAGCCCCATGGTGAGCATCCTGCCCCTGCTTAGGGCGGACACTTGCCCCCGCATGTTCCGTGAAGAGCACTGTTTTACCCCACTCCATCCTTCCCTTGGCCTGGGTTCAAGGTCAGCAGGCCCTGCTTCCTACTAGCTGGGGGATCTGGATGCCTGGGGCGCCCACCTCATCTCCCTGGGCCTCATTTTCCCCATCCGAAAATGAGGGCAACAACAGTCTCCACCATGGAGAGAGCCAGGCACAGTGGCAGCATGTGGCATCGGCTCCTTTGTAAGCTCCTGGTTGCCACGATCATGGAGACTACTGGCTTGCAGAGGTGGAATGGAAGCCCAGAATGGTGGCTCAGGTGCATTACCTAATCTCAGTCACGTCCGACTTGTCCAGCTTCTGCAGTTCCAGCTTGGCGGCCTCCAGGATGGGCATGACCTCTGCCAGGGTCGTCTCGGCCTCGGCCTTCTCCATGGCAATGACTTTGTTCTGCTCCTCTATCTCCATGGCCTTTTCCTCTGCCAGTTTCTTCTTCTCCTCGGCTGCAGGGTAGGACAGGGGGTGAGTAAAGCTTGGGCTCAGAGGAGATGCACTCGCGGCCCCGGCTCTGAGCAGAGTGCAGTCCTCAAAGGTTGGCTTGAGCCCTAGCGGGGATCTAAGGGGCTCTGGCCAATGTGGCAGCCTCAGTGATCCTGGTGGGACAGAAAACCTCACCATGCGTGGGGCCTCCAGCACTAGGCAGCCACCCTGACTCTGACCTTCCTCAACTGGCCCACCTGTGTCCCACCCACTCCATCCAGGACAAATCCCATGGCTCCTGATAGCCCCCAGCCCTGCCTCGCCGGTGTTCAGTGAGGATGCTGGGGTCCCCCTCCTGCTTACCGGCTCCCTGCGATCTCCTCCTTCTGCCTCTCATCGCCTCTTCCTACGCTCACTCGGGCCCAGCCAGAGCCACCCTCTAAGGAGCCTGCCCCTCTGTCGTCCTCTCTCTCCCTTCCTTGCTGACTTGCTTCATGACACCAATCGCAATCGGAAGTTTCATTTCACCACTGGCTGATTCACTGCCTGGGTGCCCTCACTCACTAGGATGTCAGCACCTCCCCGAGGGCCGGAACCCCAAAACCTAGAGCAGGGCTTGGCTCACAGTGGTTTGAACAGTGTCACCCCACCAAGATTCGTGCCCACTGGGACCTCAGGATGTGACCTTATTTGGAAGTGGGTCTTTGTAGATGGAATTAGTTAAGATTAGGTCATACGGGGTGAGGGTGGGCCCTAAATCCAATGCCTGGGGTCCCTATCAGAAGGCCATGTGCAGACACACAGGGAAGAGGGGCGTGTGGCAATGGAGACAGACGCTGGAGTGGTGCATTTATAAGCTAAGCTAAGGAATACCAAGGGCTGCCAACAACCCCAAGAAGCTGGAAGAGGCTTCCCCTAGAGCTTTCAGAGGGAGCATGGTCCTGGCACCTTGATGTCAGACTTTGGCCTCCAGAACTGTGAGAGAATAAATTTCTGTTGTTGGCCAGGCATGGTGGCTCACACCTGTAATCCCAGCACTTTGGGAGGCCGAGGCAGGTAGATCACCTAAGGTTGGGAGTTCGGGATCAGCCTGGCCAACATGGCGAAACCCCGTCTCTACTAAAAATACAAAAATTAGCTAGGCGTGGTGACGGGCACCTGTAATCCCAGCTACTCAGGAGGCTGAGGCAGGAGAATCGCTTAAACCCAGGAGGCAGAGGTTGCAGTGAGCCGAGATCGCGCCACTGCACTCCAGCCTAGGTGACAGAGCGAGACTCTGTCTCAAAAAAATAAATTAATTAATTAATTTAAAAAAATAAATGTCTGTTGTTTTCAGCCCCCAGATCATGGTGCTTTGTTAGAGCAGCCCCGGGAGATGAATGCAGCAGGCCTTCTACAAACAGATGCTGGCTGCAGAGGCTCTGCCTCCCCCATGATAAGGTCTCTCGGAACCCATCTCCACAGCTAACAAGCCAGCACTGGCACTTGCAGCGTGCAAAGCCGTGCACGGGCCTTGACACTGTAAAGGGTCCCCAGCCCAGGCACTACTTGTCCCTGGGGCAGCAGGGGGATGAATGCATCAGAAAAGGGTAGCAAGATCACGAGTGTGGAACCTTCGGAACAGAAAAGCAGAAAGGAAGCTGTCTAAGCTGTGAGCGTGCTGAGGCGCGGGGGTGGGGGGTGGTGCCAGCAGGAACGGAGTGCAGAGGTAACAGGACACCACCAGAGCTGGCTGGGAAGGAAGAGGGCTGGTACAGGCCTCAGGAACCTCAGTGTGGGGAGCAGCCTGCAAAGGGGGCTGGCGAAGCCAGGTGCTTGAGTCATGCTGAGGAGCAAAATTGTGGGCTCTTTCAGCCAGGCAGAAGCATGGGCTGGAGGCTGGGGCAGGTGCTGAAGAGCCACCCTCAGGAGAGAGGATTGTTTGCACTCCACCCTACCCTCTGTGGGACGTGTCAATGTATCCCATTCCTATGGCCACCAGGATTGGTTTCGGCATGGGCATGTGACCCAAATCTGTCCAATCACAGCCAACTCTGGGAGCTTTGAGGGAATGTATGGGAAAGAAGAGCCCTCTCTCCCCTGGGGATGCTGAGCTAATAGGATGCCAACCTCATGCTGGAGGCTCCCAAAGTCTCAGCATGGACAGAGCCGGCTGCCTGAGATGAAGCCCAAACGGAAGACAGCAGAGCCAAGAAAGGGAAGGAAAGATTCCCACTGATACATTTGAATCCTAGATCCAGCTGTGCCTGAAGCCAGCATGCCTCTGGAATCAATGCGTTTCCACTTTGGATTAAGCCACTTTGAGCTCAGTTTCTACCATTTGCAACCCTGGAAACAGAGTTCCTAGATGAAGCTTCCTCCAAAATTCCAAGTGGGAGCAAGGTGACCCTGGACAAGGATGATGGCAATGGGGAAAGAAAAACAAGCACAGGTAGGAGAGGCACTAAACACAGGTGTGGCAAATAGGCGGTCCTCAGTACAAACTGTGGCCTGGGCACCGGGGGAGGGGCTCTCTTGGTTGTGAGCTTCTTCGAGGCAGGGGTTGAGTCTCATTCGGTTTCTAGCCCCCACTCTCCCTACCACGGTGGCTGCCATGAAGCTGAAGTCAGTATCTGCTGACTGGACAGATGAATACGTGGAATACCAGCATCCTTCAAGACACTTCCAGTCTAGTTTTACATCTAGGGGGCCAGGAATATATAGTTTTTTACATTTAGGGGGCCAGAAATATATAGTTTTTAAAAGACAGATCAAAGCAAAGTGCAGCTATGTGGGAATGAGGCATTTGATCAAAGTTCTGGAAGGAGAAACATGGACAGGAAGAAAGAAGTGGTACGGATATTCTTAGCAGACCAAAGGGAGAGAAAGAGCAAGTTACTGCAGGACTCACACAGGCATGAAGAAGTGATGCTGTGAGCAGGCGACAGGGTGTCATGAGAAATTAGGTAGGCAAGATGACATAGAGGGATTGATGGGACCCTTCACGGCCACAGTGAGGACTCAGCATCAAAACAGGCAGCAGGGATATGCCACAAATTCCTGGGAAAGGATATCTATCGATTAAGTTGCTTTGGTTGCAAGCAACAGAAGCTAATGATGGTCGAGTTAAGAAAAACGTGAAATTGTTTTAAGAAGATATGGTAGCTCACAGACATGGAAGATGCTGAAACACATAAACTAGAGGCGCCTCAGGGATCTGGGCTCGGGCACTGAATGCAGTCTCTTCACGGCGCTGCTGTGCAATGAATGAACACAAATAATCTTCAGTCTTTATATTGGCTGATTCAAAATGTGCAGTCCCAGAGAACATCTAATTGGTCTGTCAGGGTTAGAATAAGCCCATCCTGATGGCAGGCACTGGGAGTCGGGGAGAGGCAGTTTGCCAACACCAAGTTAAGGTGCTGTTGCCAGAGTGATGACAAATGGATCCTGTGCACAGGGCCGGGTGCAATGACAAAGGAACTGAACCGAGATGACACTTAGCAGCAACACGAACACGGACCAGCAGGAGAAGGAAGAGGCAGGCAGGTTGAGCGGCATCTGCAGGAATCTGGGAACAAGCTGGGGAGGGTACACATCAGAAGCCACTGGCCCAAAGACCTAGAGAGGAGGCTTAGAGGCCAGGCACAGAGCTGTGGGCTGCAGGAGCCGTCCTGTGCCAGGCATCGCGAGAGGGTAGAGTCGTCAAGAGCAGGACAGTGCAGGTGACACAGAGGCTCGGCCAAGAAGACCGAGGGAAGGGGCCCAAGAAAGAACCTTGAAACAGCTTCAAGAACCAAGAAAGTCCCGCGTCGATGGTGCCAAGGCTTAGGTCATTTCAACCCCACGGACTTAGTTCACCAGCCCATAGAGGGTCGAGTGACTTTTCCACTCCCCTGAACATCCTCAGGCTACCAGCGCAGGGGCCTACATATGGTAGCTTCTCAGTGCTTATGAAAGGGGACAAGACTGGCTGGACACGAATTCAGAAAGAAAACAGGAATTGCAGGGTCAAAGATGGCACGCTCAGTGCCTACAAGCAGTTTCACAGGGACGGCCTGGCAGAGCCCTGTCCTGCTCGGGATGGGCTGCCCTGGCCCCGCCCTCACTCACCTACGGTGGGTATTGGGTGTTGGGGATGGGCTGCCCTGGCCCCGCCCTCACTCACCTACAGCGGTGTTGACGGCGATCTCCTCCAGCAAGGCCTCGCAGGCGGCGGACTTCTCCGCCAGCACGATCTTCTGCTCGGCCAGCTTCTGGTTCAGCTCGTCCAGCTGGATGGTGGCCTCCTTCAGCTTGTCCAGTCCCCCATCCAGACGCTTGCACTGAGCTGAGGAAAGAGGGCACCTATGTTCATCGTCGAGGTGGCCACTGTTCGCAACACAATCACTGAGATTTGCCTAACTTCAGCTTATCAAAAACAAAACAAAACATTTTTACAAGATGGCACATGTCTTTCAGTACCTCCACTGCCATACTTGGGACAGCATCAGCCAAAATGAATGTATTTCTGAAGACAGTGCTTCCCTTGGCCAACAGCCAGAGCACTTTTTAAAAAGCCCTGTCCGGCAGTGCATGCTGCTGCAGCAGATAGTTGTCTCTAATGTGCGCCAGGCATGGTGGCTGCACCTGTGGTCCCAGCTACTCAGGAGGCTGAGGCGGGAGGAGCACGTGAACCCAGGAGGTCGAGGCTGCAGTGAGCCATGGTTGCACCACTGCACTCCAGCCTGGGAAACAGAGACCCTATCCCTAAGATAAAAAATAAAATTTAAAAATTGCTAATGTGATCAAAATGTAAAGCTTCAAAGTCTAAGACTCAACACTGAGAACAAAAATAAGGACATGCCAGGGTCCTGCCCACATGAAAGAATCGCTCCAAGACACAAAATCCAAGATGTGCTTCGTTTGGCCTCAATACTGAAGATGCCCCATCTTACTAAAGAAAAGATCAGCGCTCGAATCCTTACCCATAAATAATAATGACTTTTGTCAACCACCCCATCCCCAAGGCTTACCTATATTACACTGAGTTTTCTCATCCAGCAATTTTGAATAGGTGTTAATAAAATCAAGGTAGTTCTTGGGAGTGACATAGTTGCTGCGCCTCAATTTCTGTAGAAACTGTTGGCTGTAGTGGTCCACGGATTGGTGAACCAAGACAACATGCTTCACCACATTTTCTATATTTTCTGCCGGGATCATTGGATTATACCCTGAAGAGGAAGGAATAAAAAATGTTTTCTTTCTTTTTCTTTTTCGACACAGGGTCTCACTCTGTTGCCCAGGCTGGAGTGCAGTGGCGTGATCATGGCTCACTGCAGCCTCCATCTCCTGGGCACAGGTGATCCTCCCACCTCAGCCTCCCAAGTAGCTGGGACTACAGGATGGGCCACCATGCCTGGGTAATTTTTTGTATTATTTTGTAGAGGTGAGGTTTCACCCATGTTGCCCAGGCTGGTCTTAACTCCTGAGCTAAGGCAATCGGTCCACCTCAGCCCCACAAAGTGCTGGGATTACAGGCGTGACTCACCGCACCCAGCCATGCTTGTTAAGAAAGGAAAACAGGGATTCTTCAAAGAGTTAAATATAGAACTATTATATGACTCAACAATTCCACTCCTAGGTATATACCCCAAAGAACTGAAAAGCAGGGACTCAAATGAATTCTTGTATGCCAATGTTTACTGTAGACTATCACAATAAGCAAAAGGTGGAAAGACCCAAGCGTCCAGCAACGGAGGAATGGATGAACAAAATGTGTCCTATCTATACCGGGGATAGTATTCACTTGTAAAAAGGAATGAAGTTCCGATGCTGAAACACGGATGAGCCTCAAAAACATGATGCTAAGTGAAAGACGCCAGACACCAAAGGACAAACATTGCATGATTCCACTTATACGAACCCTCTCTAGAACAGGCAAATTCATACAGACAGAACACAGATTCGAGGTTGCCAGGGGCTGGAGGGAGGGGCGATGGGGAGTTCGTGTTTAACGGGTATGGAGTTTCAGTTTGGGATGATGAAAAGTTTTGGCAACAGACAGTGGTGTTGGTTTCACAACATTACGAATGTGATTAGTGCCACATGTACATTTCAAAATGCTTAAAATGGAAAATGTTATGTTACATATATTTTACTACAATAAAAAAATGATGTTAAAGTTTTTAATAGGACAAGAAAAGAATGGCTATCACTTATTGGTGGCTTTTCAGGGCCACAGCAGTGATCCGTGCTAATCCTTCTTTTTTTTTTTTTTTTTTCTTGAGACAGGGTCTCACTCTGTTACCTAATTCCTTCCCTACTGTTAGGAAGCCCTGTCTTCCCTAAAGGCCAAGACACCGTGGCAGAAGGGCCTTGGGTTTTCAGAAGCGATCACCACGTCTAACTCTGCCCTGTTGCTCCCCTCGCCCGCCCGAGGACTGGGTGGGCTTATTCGGTTACCCACCGCTGGATGACACCCAGCACATATCGGCAAAGGTGGGCCTTCCTATACACCCGCTGAAAGAATGAATGATGGCTTCCAGTGTCAAGATCACATCACCTGGATTATCTGATAGGTTGTTAAATGCATTCAGCTCAAAGCAGAGAATGTCTCATATTAAAATGGAGGAAGGAAAGACAGATTGAAAGTACCGATTAATCCAGATTCTGCAGAGCTGGTCCTGAGTTACTCCGGGGTTAGCAAAACACAGCCCCAGGGCCCATTTTACAGTGTGCAGGAAAAACGGTGCCTCACAAATATCTGTGCCTTTGGGCATAGTCATCTCAATTCCAGGGAATATATTCTCTCTCTCTCTCTCTCTCTCTCTCTCTCTCTCTCTCTCTCTCTCTGTGTGTGTGTGTGTGTGTGTGTGTGTGTGTGTGTGTGAGATAAAGTCTCACTGTGCCTCCCAGGATGGAGAGCAGTGGCACAAACTCGGCTCACTGCAACCTCTGCCTCCTGGGCTCAAGCAATTCTCATGGCTCAGCCTCCTGAGTAGCTGGGATTACAGGTGCCCACCACCACACCCAGCTAATTTTTGTATTTTTAGTAAATACAGGGTTTCACCATTTTGCCCAGGCTGGTCTCGAACTCCTGGGCTCAAGTGATCCACCCGCCTCAGCCTCCCAAAGTGCTGGGATTACAGGTGTGAGCCACTGCGCCTGGCCTCCAGGGAGTATATTCTAAGGACAAAAAAGTTCTAAGCAAATTCTAGGCAGCATTATTTATGATGCTGAATCACTGAATACTGAAAGCAAACACAAGCACTTCACACATGGAAACGGCAAATACGCCTCTGAGAACAAGGGGACATCTATATTGGGGCTGGCCAACTACGGGCCAAAGGACAAATCCAGCCCGCCCCCTGTTTTTGTAAATAAAGTGTTATTGGATCACAGCCATAGCGATTCATTTACGTATTGTCTATGACTGCTTTCATGATAAAATGGCAGAATTGAGTAGTTGCGAAAAAGCTGTAAATATTTACCATCTGGACCTGAGATATATCATCAGAAAAGAGTCATTCTCTTGGCCCCTTTTCCCCCAAAACTGCATTATGATTAAAGTTATGATTTCTTCTTACATATAGGAACATTTATTTATTTATTATTGAGTACAGATTTAGAAGGTTGAAACTATTTTCAAGGTTACCCAGTGTCATTCATCATAAATCTGCTCAAGTTAGGTCAAAAGAAAAAGATGTTCCCTGAAGACAGACTTCCTTTCTTATTCAAACATTAAAATTAATATCCAAGGCCTTAGGTGTTTGAAACGCTAGAAATTCAATGAGAATGCAGAATGTTTGCTGAATTGTCCTTGGAGCATTCTTTGGATAGAGGCCAGCACATGTTTTCTACAAAGAGCCGAACAGTACTCATACGGTCTCTGTTGCAATTATTCAGCTTTGCGGTTGTAGCATAAAAGCAGCCAGAGACAATATGTTAATTAATGAGTGAGTCTGTGTACCAATAAAACTTTATTTACTAAAACAAGTAAGGGGCCAACTAGACAGCAGACCATGGTTTTGCCAACTGCTGCTGTGGAGAACACCTAATCAATTTTTATCCTAAATTGTCCTTGCTAAGTCTCCTGAAATGTCTTTGGACTAAAACACCAAATATAAACCAAAAACATACTAACAAAATTGAAAGCCATTTGTTACCATAGGGTTTTCCAGTGAAGAAATCTACAAGACCAGAATTCAAAGTCAGAAAAGGGAAAATAAATTGCTTTGTTTTATCAATAATGCAGTTCCCATAACAGCTGTGACTTACCTAGAAAGGACTTTGCGACCGCATGGAGGGCTTGGGGAGGCCAGGGCATGAACCAGTCAATACCAGTGTTATTTACCATACCTTGAAAGGAAAGAGAGATTAAAAAGATGCTCCCAGCCTGGGCAATGTGGCGAGACCCTGTCTCTACAAAAAATACAAAAATCAGGGCCGGGTGTGGTGGCTCACACCTGTAATCCCAGCACTTTGGGAGGCCAAGGCGGGTGGATCATTTGAGGTCAGGAGTTCAAGACCAGCCTGGACAACATGGCAAAACTCCATCTCTACTAAAAATACAAAAATTAGCCGGGCAGTAGTGGTGCACACCTGTAATCCCAGCTACTCAGGAGGCTGAGGTGAGAGAATCGCTTGAACCCGAGAGGTGGAGGTTGTGGTGAGCCAAGATCACACCACTGCACTCCAGTCTGGGCAACAGAGTGAGACCCTGTCTCAAAGAAAAAAAAAATCAGCCAGGCAGCGTGGTGGTGTGCGCCTATAGTCCCAGCCACTAGGGAGGCTGAGGTGAGAGGCTCATTTGAGCCCAGGAGGTCGAGGCTGCAGTGACCTATGATGGTGCCACTGCACTCTAATCTGGGCGACAGAGCGAGATTCTGTCTCAAAAAAAAAAAAAAAAAAAAAAAAAAGGATGCTCATTCTGCAACCCTGAGACACTCAAGAACATGGATGCCATCTTCAATAGCCAACAAGTTGGTGAATGAGCCAGATGTGTCCAAATCTAGTTCATCAAAAGCAGAGTTTCTCACCCTTGGCGCTATTGACATCTGGGCTCTAATCCTTTGTGGCAGCAGCTGGCTGTGCACTGTAGGATGCTTCACAGCATCCCTGGCTTCTACCCACTAGATGCCAGTACTACACTGCATGCTCCCCGGGGCTGTGATGACCAAAAATGTCTCCAGGCATTGCCAAGAGTCCCCTAGAACACAACCTCCCCCGCCCCTGCCCCGCCCATTAGGAACCTCTGCTCTAAAGGCTGGCATGAGGCTGGTGGAATTTTCCCAAATGGAAGGAAGCGGGGAGCCACCGTCCATGCACTGCGGGCCTCGCATGGAGGAGCATGGGTACATCCTCCTGTCAGAGGGACATCACTCACGCCCACTGGCACCTAGAAGGGGCAGTGAGCCCCAAGCTACAGTGCAGAGCCCACATTTCCACCTAATGGCCGTGTCTTGTTTTGCTTTGCTGGGGGAACCTGGAGAGGTGTGGACAGACCCTCAGCCACACACTCTGCCAAAGCAGGGGAAATGGGTTCACAGGCTCCACCGCGGGTACCTGGGAAGTTTCTGCACCAGGTCCTCAGGGTGTCCCCCACTGGCGACATGCCCAGGACAATGTGCAGGTTATTTGCACTTTTGTTCACGAAGTACTGCCACACAGACTCCTTGGCCGGCCCCATGCCTTGCTTCAGAGCTTCCTGTCCAATCTGACTCAGGATAGACTCTTTCTCCTCTTCAGAAAAAAGCGCAGGTACAATTCCTGGAAAAGGAAGACATGCTGGTGATCTCTCTGAGTCCCAGGGTCATGACCGCTCTAAGTGCTGACTGAGTGATGGAAGGTGTGGAAAGATCAGCAGGTGCTGAGTCCAGAGAGCAGCGTGTGGGCCTGACCTGAGACCCGAGGCTCCCTGCCACCTCGTGGCAAGCCCTTAGAGCCTCCAGCTCCTGTCTGTCAAACGGGGATCCTAGATGCCGCCAGCTCGCCTGGGAGGATGACCGTGAGCATCACAGGGAGCATGCAGAGCATGAGGAGGCCTCACTTGCCTGTAACTCCGAAGCAGGGATTCTCAGCTGGGATTTGCCCCCAGGAAACACTGGGCCATGTCTGGAGATATTTCTGCTTGTTGCAAGGGAGGTTGCTACTGGCATCTAATAGGTCAAGGCCAGGGATGCTGCTGAACCTCCCACAGTGCCCAGGAGAGCCCCACCACAACAAAGAACAGCCCAGCCCCAAATGTCAACGGCACGCAGTCGAGAAACCCTGGCTACGTGGACTTCTTTTTTCCTATATCTACGCCGTTTCAAATTATGCAATACATTTTATGCCATCTCTGACGTTCTCCTGTGCAGGGAAGAGTTAACGTGGCAGGCCACGGCTGCTCACCTCTGAAAGGCACCTGGGAACTTAGTTTCCTTAAGAGCTTCCTCCCCGATTCACTGATAAGAGTGGCCCAATATGGGATGTGGTTTGGATCTGCGTCCGCACCAAATCTCAGGTTGAATTGTGATCCCCAGTGTTACAGGTGGGGCCCGGTGGGAGGTGACTGGATGATGGGGGCAGATCTCTCATGGATGGTTTAGCACCATCCTCTTAGTGCTGTTCTTGTGAGCGCGAGTGAGTTCTCGTGAGATCTGGTTGTTTGAAAGTGTGTGGCCCCTCCCCCAACCTTGCTCCCACTCTGGCCATGGGACGCGCCTGCTCCCCCTTCACCTTCTGCCATGACTGTAAGTTTCCTGAGGCCTCCCCAGAAATCAGCACCATGCTTCCTGTACAGCTTGCGGCACTGTGAGCCACATGAACCTCTTTTCTTTATAAAAAACCAGTCTAAGGTATTTCTTTATAGCAATGCAAGAACAGCCTAACATTGTGCCCACACTGCTTGGGTATGCAACGTATTCTATGCTGACTACCCGCTCTCCCTCCGGGCATCCGGGATTTTGGCACATGCCAGGTAGAGGTGCCTACATGAGCAGCCCCAAGGAAATCCCGGAGCACTGAGTCTCCAACTAGCTCCCCTGGTGGGCAGTACTTCACACGAGTTGCCACAACTCAATGTTGGGGGATTAAGCATGTCCTGTGTGGCTCCCCGGAGAGAGGACTCTGAGACTTGAGACTGGTCTTCCCTAGGGTCCCCCATGCACTTTTTCCCTCTGCTGATGTTGCTCTGTGTCCTTTTGCTGTAATGACTCACAGCCATGAGCAGGACCACATGCTGAGTCCTGCGAGTCCTCCTAGCAAGTCACGGAGCCGGGGATGGTCTTGGGGATATTCAACAAGGGAGAGGGATCCCTCCCTTGGCAGGGAGCCCAAGACTCCCAAAAGACAAAGAGGAACTTGCTCCCTGTGCTCTGCCTGCCCTCTCAGTCTCTTCCTCCCGGGGCTCTGCCTGCCCTCTCAGTCTCTCGCTCCCCGTGCTCCGCCTGCCCTCTCAGTCTCTGCTCGTTCCTCTTCCACCTGAACTCAGTGCTGGGCTCTCCCTGGATGGTTCACTCGGGTCCCACCACATGTCAGTGACTCTGAAATTGACGTCCCCACCCTAGGCTCCTATTCTGAGAACCAGACTCATGTACACACTGCCTATGTATTACGGTTGAAGTTGCATGTCGCCCTGAAAAAGATATACTGAAGTCCCCAAAGTAGCTCAGATTGTGACTTTATTTGGAAATTGTCTTTACAGAGATAATCAAGTTGAAATGAGGTCATTGAGATGGGCCCTAATGCAATATGACAGGTACCCTTATAAAGGAGGGAAATTTGGACACAGAGACAGACAGCACACAAGGGGAAGGCCACGTGACAACGAAGACAGGGACTGGAGTTCTGTGCCTACAAGCCAAGGAACACCAAAGACTGTCAGCAGCCACCAGCAACACAGATTCCCCCACCCAGAGCTCAGAAGGAACGGGCTCTGCCGACACCGTGATCTTGGGCTCCTGGCCTCCAGAACTGTGAGAGTAGATTTCTATTGTTTTAAGCCACCCAGTTTGTGGCATTTTGTGACGGCAGCCCCAGCAAACTAATACACTATATGACATCACATTCAGATTCTCATCTAGTGCAGCAAACTCAACACGCTCCTAATGCCACAAGCCCAGAACTGGTCTTCCTCATCTCAGCAAATGGAAGCACTGATCACTCGCTCCACCAGAAACCTGGGAGTCACCCTTGATACCCCTCCCCCAACCCACAGCCAAATCGATCGAAGTCCCGTTGGCTCTGCCTCCTGAATACCTCGTGAATCCACCCACTTCTCTCTGTCCCCAGTGCCCTACCCTCCTCCAATCGCTGTCACTTCCTGCCTACACTGCAGGGGTAGCTCCAAACTGGATGCCCCTCTCCCACTCCTGTTCCCCTCTAATCTCGTCCCCACGGCGCACTGGAGGGATCTTTTAGAAACATAAATCTTGGCTGGGTGCAGTGGCTCACGCCTGTAATCTCAACACCTTGGGAAGGTGAGGCAGGAAAAACACTAGAGCCCAGGAGTTCAAGACCAGCCTGGGCAATGCAGGAAGACTCCACCTCTTAAAAAAAAAAGTGTGTTTTTTTTTTTTTAATCAGCTGGTTGTGGTGAGATGCATCTGTAGTCCCAGCTACTCGAAAGGCTGGGACAGGAAGATTGTGTAAGCCCAGGAGTTGGAAGCTACAATGAGCTATGATCATGCCGCTGCATTCTGGCCTGGGCAACAGAGTAAGACCCTGTCTCTGAAATAATTAATTAATTAAATCTAAAAAATTAAAAAACCCATAAATCTGGACTACGTCATTGCACTGAGAATAAAATCTTATCTCCTATAAATGACCTACAAGGTTCCACGCCATAGAACCCCTCCACCTCGTCCTGATCCCTGCACAACAGCCCTCTAAAGGTGTCCATGGCATCCTAAGCCCAGGAACCGGCCAATGGGTTTCTTTATGTTTCCTGCAAAAAGGACTCTGTGGATGTGACGCAGCCAAGGATGGTGGGATGGAGCGCGTGCTCTCAATTACCCAGGTGGGCTGGAGACGATCACAGGGGTCCCCACAAGAGAGAAGCAGCTGAGTTTGCATCAGGATGACAGAAGTAGAGACTGGAAGGATGAGAGCCAGCGAGCTAAAGAGCCAAGAAACGGGTGGCCTGAAGCAGTTGGAAGAGACAGGGAAACAGAGTGTCCCCAGGAAGCTCTGGAAGGAACCAGCCCCACCAACACCCTGATCTTAACCCCTTAAGACCCTTTTCTGATTTCTGACCTCCAGGCGCATAGGGGAATAAATCCGTGCTGTTTGGGGAAATTTGCTACAGCAGCCATAGGGAGTGTGATCACACAGCATCTCTCAGGCCTCAGCTGAAAAGTCTCTACAGTGACGCCTTCCCTGTCTGCCCTGAGATGCTCCTGCCCACACTCTCTCTCACAGCAACTCCCCTTTGCACTCACGGCACTTACCACAATCTGCAATTGCTGTATCTCTTTGTGTAGTTGTTGTTGTCGTTAACCAGTCCACTCACACGCTGAAATGTATGCTCCAAGGAGGGCAGAGGTCATGACCATCTTATTCCCTACCAAACCCAGTGTCTGGAATAAACACTGTGGAATAAATCCAGGTGGATGACCCGATCCCCCCTCTCAAGGAGCCGACAACCCACTGAAACAGACGCAACTTAAAACGCAATGATCAAAATGCAGCAAATATACACTTAAAATGTTGTGCGTTTCCCTGTATGTAAATTTTACATCAAAAGAAAACACTAAACAAAACTTGAACTCTAGATAGTGGCACGCAGAAGCATTTAGCGGGGAGAGCAGTGATGTTGCAATTGACTCTGAAACGCATCTAAAAACGAGAAGGGCGGAAGCAGGGAGGGAGGGAAAGCTGTTTACACGCATGGCAGAGCAAGTGCAGCAAGGCGAGAAAGGAGGGATCTAGATGGCATGCCGGCAGATGTTCACAGAAAAAATTCTTTCAGCCTCACTGTTATGTTAGAAATTTTTTATAGTAAATGCTGGGAGGCTGGGGCTCAATGAATAACACAGCAATACAATAATGAATATGGTCAGGTGCTGAAACAAACAAGCAATCGATGAAATAGGTCCCTGGGAAAGAAAGGAGGTCCCTGTAAGCCATTAGGCCAGACGAAGTCAGCACGGATCTTTGCAGGGCCCCAGGGTAGACAAGATAACAACACGGTAAAGTGGTTGTGAGCGTGGCTAAGATGCTAAAAATCCTGGGTTCGAGTCTCACCTCAGTGCCTTCCCAGCAAGGTGCCCTTGGATAAGGTAGGTGGCATCTCTAGTAGATTTCTGGGGCAGCCATGACTAATTACCCCAAAGCGAGTGGCTTCAGACAAGAAATACAGACACCGACTCTCTTGCAGTTCTGGAGGCCTGAAATCAAGGTCTCAGGGTAACCTGCCAACAGCTCCAAGGGAAAAATCCTTCTTTGCCTCCTCTGGCTTCTGGTGGCTCCAGGTGTCCCGTGACTTGTGGGAATCTTTATGGGACCTTATTCTCTGTGTCTCAAATCTCCCTCTGCCTTCTCTTATAAGGACAGCTGTCACTGGATTTAGGACCCACCCTAAATCCAGGAAGGCACTTCAAGATCTTTAATTTAATTACATCTGCAAAGACTCTTTTTCTTACAAAGGTCTCGTTCTCAAGATCCAGGGGTTTAGGATGTGTCTTTTAGAGGGCCGCCATTCAGCCCTCTACAGGGGCCTCAGTTTCCTCAGCTGTGAAATGAGGATGTTAATGGTACCTTCCCTATTAGGTTTGATTGTTTTTCAGTTGCTTTTGTTTTTTTTTCTTTTTGGAGACAGGGTCTCACTCTGTTGCCCAGGCTGGAGTGCCATAACATGATCATGACTTACCGCAGCCTCAACCTCCCAGGCTCAAGCAATCCTCCTGCCCCTCCTGAGTAGCTGGAACTACAGGCTCACGCCATCATGCCTGGCTAACTTCTTAAAAATATTTTTGTGCCAGGCACGGTGGCTCACGCCTGTAATCCCAGCACTTTGGGAGGCCGATGCGGGTGGATCACAAGGTCAGGAGATCGAGACCATCTTGGCTAACACGGTGAAACCCCGTCTCTACTGAAAATACAAAAAATTAGCCGGGCATGGTGGTGGGTGCCTGTAGTCCCAGCTACTCGGGAGGCTGAGGCAGGAGAATGGTGTGAACCCAGGAGGCGGAGCTTGCAGTGAGCCAAGATCACGCCACTGCACTCCAGCCTGGAAGACAGAACGAGACTCTATCTAAAAAAAAAAAAGAAAAAAAAAATTTGTAAAGACGGGGTCTCAAACTCCTGGGCTCAAGCTATCCTCCCTCCTTGGCCTCCCAGAGTGCTGGGATCACAGGCAGGAGGCACCACACCTGGCCTCTCATCAAGTTTTTGTGGAGACGGGAATGTATGATGCACACTTAGCACAGCCCGGGGCACGGCCAGATGCCCAGACACCACCTGTTCTTACTGCAAGGATACTGCCATCATCGCAGACGGAGAGAAGGGGGCACACTCGGGAGACTCCAGGACAGGAGGAGCCAAGGAAGATAATGAGACCTATCTCAGGGGCCGCCGTGAGGGAGGAACAGGTACACCCGCACAGGGCTACCCACAGTGTCTGGAGGTGGTAACTGCTGAAGAAAGTGAACTCCCTTAAGAGCTGAGCGGGGTGTTGGCCACAGCGGGCGCCAGCCTTGGCTGTACCTGAGGTCAGCATGTTGTTGATGAGCTCCAGGAAGCCCTCCTCAGCCACATGGGCATCCGTGAACAGAAAGATCATCGCTTTGTTCTCAATCCCAAGTTTCAAATAGAGGCTCTTCAGGTCTTCCCGGAAACTGTTCTCCGAGTAGCCTCGGCTCAGCAGGATCTCAAACACCTGCGATGCAGACACAGAGCACATGGGCGTCACCACCACCAGCCTCCCTTCCCTGCGGGCTCCGGGGTGGGGACGCTGGAGGAGAGTGCAGAGGGCGTGGGTCTGTCCAAGCTCGAGGAAGTAGGTCAGGAAAGAAAAGTCTGGAAGGGACTCCCTGTCATGAAACAGAGGAGGGGGAAGCCCCATGAGCCCAGCAACAGAGGAAAGGGGGGAAGAATGTACCCCAAGGTGAACGCCAGCCACATACTGCAGTTTACAGAAAATCAGACCCTGTGGGAAGACGCACACAGGGAGAAATAAGCAGGCACTTTAACTTCGTGACAGGAAATCAATGTACACACGAAATCGATGTAAATGTGAATAAGGACATAAGTTTAAAGCACGCTTTTTCTGCTCAAGTGTTTCTTTTAGCTCAGAAGCAGAAATTAAAACTTTCATTGCAACCAGCGACTGTCAGAAACATGGCAGATTTCCAGGAACTGAGAGATCTCTCTCTGTTCCCTACCTCCCTCAACCCTATGCATTGACACACACGCTTCACTCACACTGTCACACTCACACAGTCATTCCCACATGTTCACACTCAGCCACACACTCACTTGCACCCTGGCATGCACTAGAACACATGCTCACACACACACACACACGTGTGCACACACACGCGCGCGCGCGCAACGCAACCAGGATGCCTTCTGGCCAATAGACTCTGGTCTCCAGTTCTGCCTGTCGCCTGCAAACCTTCCTCACCCCTCCCGAGTGCAGCCGCCTCCCCTCCCCAGCAGCTCCTGGCACTACTCTCTGAACACCTGTTCTGACCCCACTACCCAACCCTCGCCACTTCCTAGGGCCCAGACACAGCCCTGTGTGTCCTCAACCTCCTCCAGATCTCTGTCCCTCAACATCCTCTCTGCTGTTCCTCGAGGCGCTACTTTAGGGGAAAATGCCTCAGATTTACCTGGACAAATCAACAGAAAAAAAATAATAAAACTTTCCAGTGGGGAATGCCTTGTCCTATAGAAAAATGTGGAAAACAATTGCAAACAGTTATATTTTAACAATGAATGATTTCAATTATGTATTTCATCAGATTTAAAGCTAGATCAAGCATATTAGTTTTTCCCTTTTTTACAAATACCTCAAACAAAAGGCCAATATTTGTGAAATTTTGGAAGCTGGATTCATTGAATGAACTGTGATTGCTCTCCTATATAAAGAGTTCTCACAACTCAATAAGTATATAAAGGGGCAATACACAAAAGAGAAAAGGTAAATGTCCAAAAAATGTATAAAAGGATATTCAAACTTTACTATTAATTGGAGAAAGGATCATTTAAACTGCAATATTTTCCACCTATAATCTTGACAAATATCAGCATGACAATATCTAGTATTGGCAAGAATATGTGAAAACAGACACTGCCAGTTGCATAAATTAGCATAATCCTTTGTGGTGGGGTGATTGGTTGTTAATAAGGACACTTTTTTCCTTTCCTTCTGTCCTGCATCCCCAGGTCCTTTCCACTCCAAAGAGGCAAACTCCATATGAGTTTAGATCCAACCTTCCCAGTGCGAAATCTGGTGCCAGGCAACCAAAGCTGTAAAAGAGCATATACCCTTTAACCTGCCAACTTACCAATCTCTAAAGAAAGTGATCCTATAGGGAAAAAAAAATGAACAATATTCAAAGATACATAAACAAAGGTGTTCATCACTGCACTGTTAGTAATAAGAAAACAAGGACAAAGCTAAATGCCCGCCATTGGAAATGGGTTATGTGTGGCATATCCAAACAATAGAATACTGTCCAACGCTTCCAAAGACAATGTAAATATGTATTTATTGACTTGGAAAGACGCAGTGACACAGTGGGGAAAAATGACATAAGTTACATATAACTTTAACCCATTGCTGGTAAGAAGGAAATACGTTTGTGTATGAATGCACATATGGTCCCTGACTTCCTCTGGTTCAACTTAGAACTTTTTGACTTTGCCATGGCGCAAAAGTGCTACACTTTCAGCACACTCCTCAACTTAACGATGGGGTCACATCCAGATAAACCCATTGTAAGTTGAATATATAAATCAAAAGTGCATTTTCAGCTTATAATATTTTCAACTTATGATGGGTTTATTGAGACAGCCCTATTGTAAGTTGAAAAGTGTACATTATTCCGTTGGTTCCCAGACCAAAAATGAAAATAACAGAAAAATAATTTAAAAAAAGAAAAGTATACACTAAAAGGCTACTGGTACCTAACAGTGGCAATCTTTAGGTGATGAAATTACAAGTGATCCTTATTTTTTTAGACGCTTCTGCATCATTTGAATTGTTGCAGTGAGGATTATTCCATTTAGAGGGAGAGAAATGAGTGAGTCCATAACAATAGTGATTCTTACTCCGTGCAATAGACTGAATGTTTGTTCTCCCCACACACACACACAAAATTCCTTTGTTGAAATCATAACCCCCAATGTGATGGTATTTGGAGGTTGGGCTTTTAGGAGGTGATTAGGTGATGAGGGTGGAGCCCTCACGAATGGGATTAGTGCCCTTATAAAAGGGACCCCAAAGACTTTTCGTGCTGTCATCCATCCATGTAAGAATGCCATGAGAAGCCAGCCATCTGCAGCCCGGGAGAGGGCCCTCTCTGGAGCCCGACCATGCTGGCACCCTGATCTTGGAATTCCCAGCCTCCAGAATGGTGAGAAACGAACACCTGCTGTCCACGAGCCAGCCAGTCTATCGCACTTTGTTATAACAGCCTGAACTGCCTAAGACTCTCTGTGGTAATGGCAATGATGCTGAGTTAAATCTGATTCCAGAAAACACACTGAAGACAAAGAAGAAAGTCTGTGCAAAAGAACACCTCTTAGGTCAGGAGTTCAAGACCATCCTGGCCAACATGGCGAAACCCCGTCTCTAGTAAAAATACAAAAGTTAGCCGGGCGTGGTGGCACATGCCTGTAATCCCAGCTACTCAGGAGGCTGAGGCAGGAGAATCGCTTGAACCCGGGGAGGCAGAGGTTGCAGTGAGCCGAGATCACGTCATTGCACTCCAGCCTGGGCAACAGAGCGAAACTCCATCTCGGGGGCGAAGAAAAAGAACACCTCTTGCTTGCCAGGAGGAGAAGAGTCATGAAAATGACCCTTCTGCAAGAAGTGTCTTCTCTAAAGGTGGACTTATCAAAAGGTTCTGAGGTAGACATGAGGGGTGGCTGAGCATCTGAGAAGAACTGAGGCTGAATACAGATCCCGTCCTGCACCACACACCCAGAACAGGCACGGACAAAACTTCAGTCCATTGCATGGAATAAGAATCACTATTGTTATGGACTCACTCATTTCTCTCTCTCTCTAAATGGAATAATCCTCATTGCAACAATTCAAGCAATGCAGAAACGTCTAAAGAAAATAAAGATCATTTGTAATTTCATCACCTAAAGATAGCCGCTGTTAGGTACTAGTTGCATTTTAGGGTACACTTTTCAGCTTAAGATGGGGCTACGTCTCAATAAATCCATTGTAAATTGAAAATATTATAAGCATGCATGTGTATCATGCAACCAGAGGCAAAAACAGAGGCATTTTGGATAACGGGAGACCCTAATAGTGAAAGAAGTCAGATACCAGAGAACTAATGAAGAGTCGGGGAGAAAAGGGTGAATGAGGGACATGACTCTTCTTCAAATTACATCTCAATGCATAGTGTCTGCTCCACTTCGAGAGGCCCCTTGCAGGTGAGTTACCTGTGGAACCTGCAGGAGGTACCTGTATGATTCTAAGAATGGTGTGGACAAACAGGAACCCTCAGACGCTGCTGGTAGGAATGGAAAACGGTGCAGCCACACCCTGGAGGTTCCTCAAACAATTAAACATAGAGTTATCATAGGATCCCGCAATTCCACTTGTAGGAGCATACTCAAGAGCAATGCAAACACATGTCCACACAGAAACTTGTGCATGAAAGCTCACAGCAGCACTGTCCACAAAAGCCAACAGGTGGAAACAACAAACACGCCCAGCAGTGGATAAAGGAAACGTGGCATAGCCACACGAGGGCCTCCTATTTGGCAAAAAAAAAATGAAGTACCGATGTATGCTACAACATGAACTTTGAAAGCACTGTGCTAAAAGAAAGATACCAGACACAAAATAGACACACACACTATTCACATGAAAGTCTAGAATAGGAAGACTATAGAGACAGAAAGCAGATTAGTCCGTTAGTTGCTCAGGGCTTGATGAGGGGAGGGTGCAGAGGTCAGGGTGGTGATCACTAAAGGGCATGGGATTTCTTTTTCTTTTTGAAACCACAAAATGTTCTTTTTTTTTTTTTTTTTTTTTTTTTTGACAGAGTCTTACTCTGTCTCCCAGGCTGGAGTGCTGCGGCATGACCTCAGCTCACTGCAACCTCTGCCTCCCAGGTTCAAGTGATTCTCCTGCCTCAGCCTCCGAGTAGCTGGGATTACAGGTGCGTGCCACCATGCCTGGATCATTTTTTTATTTTTAGTAGAGACGGGGTTTCACCATGTTGGCAAGGGTGATGATGAACTCCTGACCTCAGGTGATCCACCCGCCTTGGCCTCCCAAAGTGCTGGGATTACTGGTATGAGCCACCACGCCCGGCCGAAGCCACAGAAGTGTTCTAAAGTAGACTGTGGTCTGGTTGCACAGATCTGTGAATGTGCCAACAAGCACTGGCTTGTATGCTTTGAATGTGTGGATTGTATGGTCTTGAATTCAATCTCAGTAAAGCTGTTTAAAAATACAAGATTCTAAGATTAACCCAGATCTGTGTGTGCAGGCTGTGCAGATATGGCAGCCAGCAAATTGCCAGCCCCATACTATGGGTGCACTGAGGTTTGGGCCAAGCCCTCCCCATATGAACACACATCACCGTTCACAGGATGTGCTTGTATTTGACTTTCTAACTTGATCTGACATTCTCCATCCTAAAAACAAAGCAATACAGATGGTCCCCGGCTTTGATGGTTCCACTTAGGATTTTTCAACTTTATGATGGGTTAATTGGGATATTAAATGTATTTTCAACTGACAATATTTTTGACTTATGATTATTTTATCAGGATGTAACCCTATCCTAAGCCAAAGAACACCTGTACTTAGATGCTCTGGCTATTCAGTTAAAATATAGTAATATCAAGCCAAAAACAAGAAAAAATAAAACAAACCAAAACACCCACCTCGATACTCTATGAAAACATCATGCTATGATCTGCTGTGGATTGTTCCAATATGTACACGAACTACCAACTGCAGAAACTGGCATCGTAAACCTATTTCTGGGAGGGTACGTGGACTGACCTCACAGCTGGCTGTGAAGGCAGCCAGCCTCGAAAGAGACTGCTTCCCTGAGCCCCCTACCCCGACCAGCAGGGCGTGGCCGCGGTCCATGCGGATGATACGGTGCACCCGGGTTAAATGCTCCAGAGCATCGTCGAAGAGAACCAAGTTCATTTTGGTGTTGCTTTCATTATACTCTTCAAGAATTTCCTGCATTTAAAAAAAAAAAAAGAATTCAAAACCCAGCATGGTGGGTTTTACAATCTACCCATCTGACAAAGGGCTAATATCCAGAATCTACAAAGAACTTAAACAAATTTACGAGAAAAAATCAAACAACTTCATCAAAAAGTGGGCGAAGGATACGAACAGACACTTCTCAAAAGAAGACATTTATGCAGCCAAAAGACACATGAAAAAATGCTCATCATCACTGGCCATCAGAGAAATGCAAATCAAAACCACAATGAGATACCATCTCACACCACTTAGAATGGCAATCATTAAAAAGTCAGGAAACAACAGGTGCTGGAGAGGATGTGGAGAAATAGGAACAGTTTTACACAGTTGGTGAGACTGTAAACTAGTTCAACCATTGTGGAAGTCAGTGTGGCGATTCCTCAAGGATCTAGAACTAGAAATAGTGTTTGACCCAGCCATCCCGTTACTGGGCATATACCTAAAGGATTACAAATCATGCTGCTATAAAGACACATGCACACGTATGTTTATTGCGGCACTACTCACAATAGCAAAGACTTGGAACCAACCCAAATGCCCATCAATGATAGACTGGATTAAGAAAATGTGGCACATATACACCATGGAATACTATGCATCCATTAAAAAGGATGAGTTCATGTCCTTTGTAGGGACATGGATGAAGCTGGAAACCATCATTCTCAGCAAACTACTGCAAGGACAGAAAACCAAACACCGCATGTTCTCACTCATAGGTGGGAATTGAACAATGAGAACACATGGACACAGGAAGGGGAACATCACACACCAGGGCCTGTTGTGGGGTGGGGGGAGGGGGGAGGGATAGCATTAGGAGATACACCTAATGTAAATGACGAGTTAATGGGTGCACTACACCAACATGGCACATGTATACGTATGTAACAAACCTGCATGTTGTGCACATGTACCCTAGAATTTAAAGCATTAAAAAAAAAAAGAGAATTTAAAACCCAGCACAGTGGCTCATGCCTATAATCCCAGCACTTTGGGAGGCTGAGGAGGGAGGATCACTTGAGCCCAGGAGTTCGAGACCAACCTGGGCCACAGAGCAAGACTACGTCTCTACAAAAATAAAAACAAAAAAATCAGCTGGGCACGGTGATGTGTGCCCATAGTCCCGGCTACTCCAGAGGCTGAGGCAGGAAGATCACTTGAGCCCAGGAGGTTGAGGCTGCAGAGAGCCGTGATCGTACCACTGCACTGTGGCCTGGGTGACAGAGAGAGACCCTGTCTCAAAATAAATAAATAAATAAATAATGTCTTAAAGGATCACTGGATTTTAAGAGACAGACTCCCTCCTTTTGTCCAGAGGAGATTAAGAATGGAAGAGAGATTTTTCTGAACATCTATAGTAGTTAAAATAATTAAACTGCTTGGGTCTCCAGGACTAATCTAGCTTTCACAATCGAGATTTCCATCTGCTGGGCTTTGATTGGCCAGCAGCGACCCAAAGCCGGTAACAAGGCTCATCTCATGAATTTAAATGAAAATGAATATTAGGGAGTCAAACAAGTGGTTCCCAAACCTGGCTGTGCACCAGAATCTGGGGACCCTCCATGGGCCCAGCGCAGCAAATCTCACGGGGTGGCCCCAGGAGTCTAACAATTTCCTAACGTCACTCCCAAGCATGCTGGATGTGGGAACCACCGGACCAGACACAAGCCCGTATTTCAAGCCCTCAGACAGAGCCCCAGGTGATAGGCTCCCGGGCACCCGCGCGATGCTCAGCTCCCGCTTGGCCCATGCTCAGGAGAAAGTGAGCCCATGGACAGGGTGGGGCTCATCCCCACCTGGAACAGAGCCTTGGCCGCCTCGTAGTCCTGGATGTCTTCATAAATGCGTGGTTCTCCTTCGTGCAGAGCCATCTGGAAGTCTCCAAACAATATGGGATCCCTCATCACCACCTCCACGTCATCTTTAAAATGTTCCACAACCAAGCTGCCTATGTGCTGTTGTACCTTGAAACAGAAGCCCACTTAAGGACCCAAACTCAACAACAGTACACGGCCTGAAACTTGCTAGGAGCAGAGGATACGTACTATTATCTAAAATAATTTGCGTTCTATTTTTTTTCAGTTGCTGCAAGACGCTTAATAACCCACCCACCCTCCTTTGCCCCATTGACCTTTCGTGCCTATTTTTCCACAATTCGCGTCCTAATATAAAAAACACTTTTGGCGCTTGTTTATTTTCCTGAGAAGAATTTCCTGAGAAGAAGCATTGGATGTACTGACCAGCTGCTTGTCTGTTTCACTGATCAGCCGGTCGTGGAAGACTCTCAGACACTCATTCCTCCAGACTCTCACCATCTGGGCCACCGTCTGGAATCTGCAGAATGGAAGGGACAAAAATCAGCCAGGAAGTCACCTGAAGGATACCAGGGCTGACGGCTGTGACATTCAGACAGACAGACACACAGAGCGCAATAAAGGCCCAACATTTCTCCAGTCGTGCCCCCCTAGTCTCACGTTAATGAAATCTAACCAGAGAATCCAACAGAAGCTAAGAAAGTAATGTAAACCCCCTAAAGTCATCATCCGTAGCTTATCTTACTGTAGGAAAGAAAAAAAGAGCGTTGTCTATAAATGACGTAAAATAAGTACCTGACATCATCCCTACTTGTTGGAATACATGAATTTAAAATCAGCATCAGGGTCACTGGCAACTTCTTTTTCTCTCTTTTTTCTTTTTTTAAGAGGTGGGGTCTCGCTTTGTTACCCAGGCTGGTGCATTGGCACAATCATAGCTCACTGCCACCTCAAATTCCTGGGCTTAAGTGATCCTCCCACCTCAGCCTCCCAAGTGGCTGGGACTACAGGTACATACCACCACACTCAGCTAATTTTTTAAATTTTTTTGTAGAGATGGAGTCTCACTATGCTGCCCATGCTGGTCTAAAACTCCTGGGCTCAAGTGATCCTCCTCCCTTGGCCTCCCAAAGTGCTGAGACTATAGGCATTAGCCACTGTGCCTGGCCGACAGCTCCTTTTTCTAAGAGCCAACTCAATCTGGCCCCAATTCCAGAACTTTCCCTGCATTCTAGCAAAGAACCGTCACTCCACCTGAAACACCTGGAGCTGCCCTCTCCTGACCGCCCCTGACAGTCTGTATGTTTCAAGGCACTCAAAAGCAGGATACATGGAAAATTCTCAATTCATTTTTCAGTATCTTCTGGATTCATAATATGAATCCACATAATTGGACTATGCTTGCAAATCCACATAGACTAAAGTAGACATTCATGTAAAGGTATAAGCCTAGTTTTAATCGGGAATTTCCCTATATCGTGACTTAAATCCTTTCTGTCCTCTGCTTACTTCTCATAAAGACACACATCCTATAACCAACCGGCAACGACTGAGTTATGTGAGCAAAAGGCTCCATGCAGGCAAATTCCAACTTCAGAACTGAAAACGAGAAGTCAACAACACAGCCTGCCCAAGGGGTGTGATAGGCTTGTCCCCACTTCTGCTTCTCTTGGTTTTGCCTGTTTCAATGCAAAGGCTTACAAAGCATCAAGCCTTAAGCCAAGTGTTGGTCTCTCTTCTTCAACATAAGCAAAGACATTGGGTAATTAATTCATACAACGATTCATCAAATCCACTGATAAGCCCTCTGTCTTAAAAGAATAAGAAAACTATCATACCTGTGGGGCATATTTTAGTAAGATAAATCAAACTCACCGCTCCGGGTTAGTGAGGACAAGACCATTAAAAACCCGTGAGAGATCTCGAAGGTTGAAGATGTAATGGAACTTTGACGGAGTGGGAGGTAGGTCTTGCACAATATTTTTGTAAAGTGCTAGCGTGCAGAATGTCAGCTTGCCACTCACAGCCACAATGCTCTCATGAAACGTCTGAAAAATGCAAAGACACCCCCCCCAACACACAAATGTCCTTCAGTAGATGAGTGAATAAACAAAATGTGGCAGAGCCGTACAATGGACTATTACTAAGCTATAGAAAGGAATGAAGTTGGCCAGTCACGGTGGCTCATGCCTGTAATCCCAGCACTTTGGGAGGCCAAGGTGGGCAGATCACCTGAGGTCAGGAGTTGAAGACCAGCCTGACCAACACGGTGAAACCCCATCTCTATTAAAATAAAATATAAACATTAGCTGGGCATGGTGGTGCGCACCTGTAATTCCTGCTACTCAGGAGGCTGAGGCAGGAGAATCGCCTGAACCCAGGAGGCGGAGGTTGCAGTGAACCGAGATCACGCCATTGCACTCCAGCCTGGGTGACAGAGGGAGACTCCATCTCAAAACAAAATAAAACAAACCAGGAATGAAGCACTGACAGACACAAGCTCCAGCACGGATGACCCTTGAGAACATGATGAGGAGTGAAGCAAGCCAGGCACAGAAAGCCACGTGCTTTATGACTCTATTTATATGAAATACCCAACATGGAAAACTCCATGGAGACAGAAGGTAGAGTCACGGTTCCTGGGAATGAGAGGTGGGATGGGAGTAAGTGCTAATGTGTGTGGGTTTCCTTCCAGGGTGATGAAAATGTTCTGGGGTTAGACGTTGCTGATGGTTGCACAACGCTGTGAATGGACTAAGTGCCACTGAATTGTATACTTTAAAATGGCTATAATAACGAATTTTGTGTTATGTGAATTTTTTTTGAGATGGGGTCTTGCTCTGTTTCCCAGACTGGAGTGCAGGGGCATGATCAGGGCTTACTGCAGCCTCGACCTCTTGGGCTCAAGTGATCCTCCCACCTCAGCCTCCTTTGTAGCTGGGACTACAGGACACCATCATACCTGGCTAATGTTTCATATTTTTTGTAGAGACAGGGTTTCACCACATTGCCCAGGCTGGTCTTGAACTGCTGGGCTCGAGTGATCCGCTCTCCTCAGCCTCCCGAAGTGCTGGGATACAGGTGTGAGCCACCATGCCCAGCCATTATGTGAATTTTACTACTTATTTTTAATTTTTTTATTTTTTTATGTATTTTAGATTGAGACTCTGTTGCCCATGCTGGAGTGCAGTGGCATGATCTTGGCTCACTAAAGCCTTCACCTCCCAGGTTCAAGCAATTTTCCTGCCTCATCCTCCCAAGTAGCTGGGACTACAGGTGCCTGCCACCACACCCGGCTAATTTTTGTATTTTTAGTAGAGATGAGGTTTTGCTATGTTGACCAGGCTAGTCTTGAACTCCTGACCTCAAGTGATCCACCTGCCTCAACCTCCCAAAGTGCTGGGATTACAGGCGTGAGCCACTGCACCGGGCCTGATTTTTTTGTATTGCTCTAGATTTTCACATTAACTGTGAAGTCAACATGATGTGAAACCAAAGACCCCAACCAGCCCTCGGTGGGAGTTTTATTTGACCAGCACGGACCTCACCGTTTTGAAAGCAAATGCCTTCAGGTAGGGCATGAACGGGCCAGGTGCTCATAGTTCCTACTGATCAGGCCTGGCCACTCCACACCTTTATCTTACCCACCTGGCCCCTGGAGCCTCCGAGTGTGCAGACTCCGCTTTAGCAGGGAAACGCCAGATCAGAAGATGGTTGTTTAAATGAATGGGTTCCATTTGGAGGAGCCAAGTAAATCATAATAATAACAGCAGTAACTAGTAACCAATGAGTAGCTGCTATGCACTAGGCAGTGTGCACTAGGCACCCTTTACACGCATTTCTCTCCTTTCATCCTCCCAAAACCCAGTGAGGTGGGGACCATCATGATCTCCCCGCTCCAAATGAGAATGAGGTTAGGAGAGTTCAAGAGACCTGCTCCCGGAGCAGAAGGGGACTGACTCCAGGGCCCCAGCCTGCTAGTTGATTCTTCGCTGTCACTCAATGTGGCATGAGCACCTCAGGGCCACATCAGGACTCCCACGGGCCCAAGGCACTTTTACCTCCATGGACCTCTTCCTCCATAAAAATACATTACAATTACATTTTATAATGGCATCGTATAAAGATGATTTTTTTCTTCTGATTTTGCAAGAAATTAAAACATTTTCATAGGCCCTTAAAAGTATTGAGGGCCCTAACCCTGCTGTGCCTACATGGATAAGTCAGCCCTGTGTATGTTTCCCCCCAACACAAGGTCTTCCGGTTTAGACTTCTAGTTAAAATCAAGTTACCGAGGTGTGGCCTTTCAGGATGGAGGAATAAATTAAATGCAGAGACTCCTCTGAAGGAAATGGCACATTGAAGACACTGAATAGCGAAATAAATCTTGGGTCAACTTCATTGCGGCCTCCTCCAGCCTTTCCCATTGCAGCAATAAAGCCAAGGTCTCGAATGCTTTTACAGTTCAGCTCCTTCCCACGGTCATATAAGTAGCCTTTTTCCAACAGCAGCTTCAGCAAGGCAATGGGCTGCTGCGTGCCATATTCATCCACCTTGATTTTTTTTAAAAAAGAAAAGAGAACAGTAGTATCGCAAAGTAGGAGTCAGAGAGGCGTTGGCTGACCATCCCAGCTCAAGCTCATTTTTCCCGTTACTCTCCAGGGCACCTCGGTTTCAGTTTCATGGGGCTTCTCAAAGGTTGCAACTGTATATATCCATTTGTGATTGTGTTTTTTGAAGTTTGTCTCCCTTACGATACTACAGCTTCATGAGGGCAGGAACTGCATAGGTGTTGACTACACAGCACCAGTCCCATAGGAAGAGCTGAATAAATATATGTTAATTCAATTAATGAACGGATGGATGGATGGACAGATGGACGAATGGACAAATTGATGGATGGGCAGATGGACAGACAGATGGACAGACAAGAATTCAACAATGCAGTGCCACCCAGGGGGTGTGATATGCCTGTCCACACATCGACACTTCTGCTTCTCTTGGTTTCACCTGTTTCAACTCAGGGGCTTACAAAGCATCAAGCTTTAAGACAAGCATTTGTCCTTTCTTCATTTAACATAAGCAAAGACATTGGGTAATTAATTCATACATTGATAATGACAGACAGATTGGACCATCCATTGAATGGATGGATGGATGGATGGATGGATGGATGGGTAGATGGATGGATGGATGGATGGATGGGTGGATGGGTAGATGGATGGACAGGTGAATGAACAGATGGGTAGATGGATAAATGGACGGGTAGATGGATAAATGGACAGGTAGATGGAAAAACAGACAGATGGGCAAAAAGAAGAATAGATGGATAGATGAACAAATCTATGAATGAATGGACAGATGGATGGTTGGATGGGTGAACAGATAGGTAGGTAAATAGCAGATGGGTGGATGAAAAAAACAGACACATGGATGGATGAATGGAAGAACAGACTGATAGATGAATGAACATATGGATGGATGGATGGATGGATGGATGGATGGATGGATGGATGGACGGACGGACTCTGGCTTTGCATACAGTCCTTCTGGAAATAGACTTTCAGAAAAAAATGGTTCAATGAAATAATATAAATTTAAATTCTAGTATGCCAAGAAAACTTTGCACTTCTCAGGCTCAGATCCCAGAAACATACTCATAATGCAGCTGAAGTTTCTCTTCCTTGAAGAGTCCAGCGGAATTCTTGGGAAGGGTCTGTCCTGATGCCTCCCATGTACACGGGGCCAACAACAGTATTATTATCTAAATAAGAGCTCCTTTGGAAACCACTTCCTCAAATACATGCTGAATTTAGTTCAAAGGCTGCTGGCTGCCTGCTTCCCTCCTCTAAGAAACTAAGGAACATGATCAGTCAGGGAAAGGTCCCTCTGTGTAAGAAGAGCATCCCAGGTACATTCTGCCTTAGGCTGGCTCCCCGCAGCCTGTACCCTGCAGACATTGCACAGAGGTAAAGATCAATGTTCTCATACTCACTTCTAACACACACACACACCCATGCAAACACAAGCACTGTCTTGACCCATCCCTCCACCTGCTTGAGCGTCAAACTACCCTTGGCATATTCATGTCATCCATGAACACCAGCAGGCGTTTTCCCATGGGTGGGCCGTAAGTATCTTTGGTTCGCTTTTCCACATTTGCTTCTAAATTTCTTTGGATATCCATGGACGTGGTGCGGGAGGAGAAGTTGACCATTAACACAATCTGAAGCAGAAAGAGATGATGTGAAAAGCCAGCTTTTTCCCCAGGGTAGCAGCAGTAAACATTTGCAAATAAGCTAGCAACTATTTTGCAAATCCATTGGCCTCTGAACTAACTTTTTAATAACCCAGTGTGAGACTGTGCTTCATTATTTTCTAAGTGCTAAAGTAAGAGTTCCTCTTTCCTTTCAGCAGATTGTATGAGTCAATAGCGAATTGTCGCATGTGAGCCTTGGGGACAATGTGGCATACAAGAAAGTAGACTGAGGGTCTTGTTTCTGCACAGTTCTAGCAAGGCGACTTCCAAAAAGTCATTCAACCTTTCAGAGCCTCGTTTTTCTCACTTGTAAGACGATCGTAATGGCATCTCTTAGGACTACTTCATAGAGCTATTGCATCGTATGAGATGCAATATCCAACAGTATTTTCAATATGACAATATTCAAACATAAATCACTATCATGCTGGCTGTATCTAAATAGGTCAAAGAGAGCATGAACAAGTGGTTCAGGCTTTGGGACTAACTGCCGGCAGGAAGGGTGAGGGAAGCCCCCTGGATGCTCATGCATGTGTCCTCAGGCCCTCCTGCCATGCTTAGGCTGGCGAGAGCTCCTTGATTAGTGGTTCTCACACTTAACTAATTATGCATCAGCTCCACCTGCAGGGTTTGTGCCACACACCTTGCTGGGCTCCATTCCCCAGAGTTTCCAATTTGGTAGATCAGGGTGTTTTTGTTTTGCTATTTTTAGGAGACAGGGTCTTGCTCTGTTGCCCAGGTTGGAGTGCAGTGGTGCACAATCATAGCTCACTGCAGCCTTGAATTACCAGCCTCAAGTGACCCTTCTTCCTCAGTCTCTTGAGTAGCTGGGACTACCAGGCACAAACCACCATTCCTGGTGGTCTAGGGTATTTTTTTAACAAGTTTCCAGTGATGCCAAGGCTGCCGGTCTGGGGACCACACTTTGAGAACGAACCTCTGCCTTCCATAACTCTCTCCACGTAGGGCACCCAAAGTGCAGGTGCACATGAGCTGAACGTGTTGAAGCTGAATGTGTACCTTGCTAAAGCCACTGTGTTCAGGTGTACCTGGCTGGGCTGATGAGCACCAGCTGCAGAGTCCTGGGGTAGGGGTGTTGTGAAGGAGGCTCCCAAATGCGGCTTCCTAGTGCCTGACTCCACAAACCTGCAGGTCCCTCTGGCTGTAAACACTGCCATGCTCCCTGTGCACATCTCCATGTTTATCCCCCCACTGCCTGCAAATCCCTACAGAACAGATCTTGACAGCTTGTTCACTATCACTTGTCCTGTGCACCCTGCGAATTCTATGCCAGGTACATATCCGACCCCCGACACATTGGACACATAGCTGGCTGGAGGAAGGAAAGGAAACACTTGCAAAGTTTTAGAAACCCAAAAATGATGGTGAATAATGTGACAGCCAGCCTCCAAAAGGGCCCCAGATCATACTCACCTCCAGGTGTCCATGCCCTGGTGCAGGTCCCTCCCACACTATATCAGGGTGTACAGGGTGGCTTCTATCTCACCCATAGATTAGGGCAGAAGGGAGGGTATGTGACTTCCAAGGCCAGGTCATAAAAGACATCATAGCATCTGCTTTGCCATCTATCTTAAGCACTCACTCTACCATGTTGAGCACACCCAAGCCATCCATGGAGAGAGCCACATGGTGAGGAACTGAGGCCTCCAGCCTCCAGCCATGTGAAACGTCATCTCAAATGAGGATCCTCCAGCTCTACCCAGGCCTCCAGGTATCTACAGCCCTGGCCAACAGCTTGACTGCAATCCCATGAGAGCCTGAGCTAGAAGCTCCCAGGTAAGTCACTCCCACATTCTCGACCCACGGAAACTGTGAGATCACAGTGCTTGTGGTATGAAGCTGCTATGCACTGGAATAATTTGTTACACAGCAATAGATAATTCATATGAATAATGACTTACGTTAGTTTCTTCACTCAGATTTTTGAGGAAATTCTGGGTAGTGGCTGTCTTAGAAGTGCCAGATTCACCAACAAAAATAACAGGTTGCTTAATTTTAACCATTTGTTCCAATATCCAGGTAGTCCGAGTGGTATCCACTGTGTGAACTAAAGTAGACATTAGGAACAGGGGCATCTCAGCAACTCCAATAGGGTGAGCACTGGGGGCAACATGGAGTTGTCCTAGAACCCCACAAATCCCATAAAAAACAGGAGCAAAGGCCAAGACATGACCTCAGAAACATTCACCCATTGAAGTGTATAACTGATTGACTTTGGCACAGTTCTGCAGCGGCGCGACCATCACCACAGTCCAGGGTTAGAACGCCCAAGCCGGTTTTGAGATGCAATTCTGACTTATGCCAGGATATCAAAAACTCAGCTTCTTTGTTGCTGACATCACTCAGACCCCTGCGGGATTTAACTTCCTGAGCAACACCTTCCTCCGAAGAGACAGTGAAGCCACAGCATCGGGTCTGGCTCCCTCTTGCACTGGCAGGTTTCAACCCTGATGGGCTCCCGAGAAAACAGGGATGTCTCACTCCGTAAGCTCAATGGACCAAAGTCAGACACATGCTTTGTGAAATTATTCAGCCCATATTTTACCTGAATAGCCAGCCTATATTTTATCTGAACAGCCAGAGGGGTGCATTCTAAGTGTGGTTCAGTAGGTAAACGCCCATGGCACACAGCTTTTCAAGCCAGCGCCCTTTATAAAACACTGCCTCGTTCGTTGCCGTCTAGTCCCCACCCAGCCAGCTCTGTGGACTGAAGAGAGCCCAGGGAAAGGCCAGGGGAGGCGAAACGGCATCTCATCTGCCTGTGGGGATCGGCCTGCTGGGGAAAGAGCTGAGAGGCAGAGCCACGGAAGATGCTCAGAGCCAGCAGCTGACAAAAATACCAAAGCGGCCACCCTCCATGCCCAGGAGGGCCCACAGCTCACCCTCTTCAATTCTTCTCTACCAGCTCTCTGCGTGGGACTTAGAGTACCAGAGAAGCCATGGGATCTTCTTTGCCTCCTCCTAGAGCGAGTATCACACACTCCTAAACCCAGGAACAAGGATTTGACTCTGACTTACCCAGGATGTTGATGAATTTCCTCTCGGGGGCATGAATATACTCTGGAACTAATTTACTCCATGGGACCCATTGATTCCGTTTGTTATCAAAATGAAAGTCATACAAGGTTGGAAGTTGACCTGCAGGAAATCATGGTTGATTTCACTTGAATCATAAACACGGAAATACAAAAGCAGTTCTGGCACATGCTTGAAATGAACTAATGTTGCTTGTACTGCACGGAGGCCATAGTGAGTACTTCAATGCTGCTCCTTCACTGGACAGATACCGAGTACCTTGAACTAATGCTACTCATCACTGGACAGATGCCAAGTATTTGGAGCTTATGCTTCTAGTTCACGGGACAGTCACTAATGTGACTTGTGCACTTGTCAGGCACTTTCTGAGTATTTTCAACTAACACTTCCCTTTCACTGGACATACACTTCCCTGGGAATACAACAGTGAAGCAGAGAGCCCTGGTCCCTACCCTTGCAGTTGTTCGAGGGCCAGGTGGGGGACAGATACAGGCAAGAAGTGGCCATTTCAGTGTGGAGCCATAAGTGCTGCAGCAGGAGAGGGGCAGGAACAACGGACAATGCGGGAAGGCAGCAACCCAGGCGGGGCAGGGGAGAGATGGAAGCTGCAGGTGCCCGAGTAATCACCATCGCCTCCGCTCAGGCCATGCAAGGCTTTACTTGAGCATGTCTAAGAGCTGACAGGATGGTAGAGAGGCGGAGACTGAACATGAGAGAGAGAGATAAACTCAGATGGAGCGAGGAGCCTGAGAAGGAGGAAGGGGCTGGGTTGGCCTTGGCTGGGGTGCAGTGGGGGTGGCCTCTTCCACTGTAAAAGGAGAAAGTCAGAGACAGGAGCTATAGGCTTTTCAGCTGGAAGGAGAGATTCCTATCAGACAGCTTCCGTTGTTCCTGTTGAAGCAGGGAGAAAGATCAGCTGCGGAGAGCGCGGAAAGGGCAGGGTAGATATTTGGGGAAAAGGCCCAATGCTCCTTTGGAGCCAGGAGTGAGTGTGCCAGCTGGGGACTGGGATTTATGGAGACATCTGTCTTTGTGGCTGCATGGTCTTCTCCCTGTCAGCCCTTAGACAGGCAGAGAAGACAGACTTGGAGTTTTCTCGGAGGGATTCAGCAGAGCAATTAGGCAAGGCATGCGGAGGTCTCAGGCAAGAGTGGCTGAAGTGAAGGCCACCAGCCAAGGAAGTGAGGATGCAGGGAAGGGGCAAGTATGGGTGCTCGAGGCAACAGCAGACACTGGGGCGACACAGTGTCCATCCCCATGAGGCCAAACAGAAACACATGTGGCCCGAGTCTCAGAGGCAGAGTAGGTGGAGAGCAGGATTTGTGATGCAGACATGACAGTGCCAGAGATCACCGTCAAGCGTATGCTCGAGGGCCTGCAGGGCTGAAGCTGTGAGCAGGTGTCTGGAAATGGGATGCCCACAGGGCCATTCAGGCCCCCAAGATGAGGGCAAATGAGGGAGACAAGCCAGGGAAGCAGGCCAACATTGTCTCCGAGTGAGGGAATTGCAGATGGCAGCAACGCACAGCCAGCGTGGCTGGCGGAGCTGAAAAGCACTCCCCAAAGGGAGATTTCAGTTCTGGAAAAGTGCACTCAGACTCCCACCGAATAAAGCAGGGACCTGAAAAACATCTTTGATTTGCTCCATGACTGTCCATTAGAAAGACCGGAGGCCATTTCATTTTAAACTTTAAAAAGACCACCAGGTAAGGAGTATAAAATACAACTTCAAAAGCCATCTACATTCCAAGCCATGCTCGAATAGCAATAAGAGATGGATAAAGAAGGGTCCTACCATTGCATATAGACCTTGGAGAATGCATCTTTTTCATCATGTATGATTCATTGAAGATGCACATTTTTGTGCAAAAACATAAAATGTTAATTGTATGATTTCCTATGAACGATTTACAAATCCACACTTGATTGTCTACTGTGCAAATACTCAGGAATACAGCAGATGAATGATATGGTGAAAATGGAGATAGATGGTTAAAAATAAAAATTAAAAAGACAGATAGGGAAGCCCACAGAAGAAGAAACTCAAAGTCATGCAGAATGTGAAAAGTTTAAAGAGCAAAGGAAGCAAGTGCCTAAGCTGAGGCAAGAGAAGTTGACTCTCATCCAGAAAGACCACCCAGAGGGCCTGGGCTTCTGTCACAGCAGTCAATGCATGTGAACCGCTCCTGGGTGTTCCGCCATGTGCTCTGACCATTGCATGTTTCTCTAAAGAAGCAAACAATCTGGAAAACTCATACAGACAGAAATATGGAAAAGCTCATTCACTTCCTCTAGAAATTTAACCAAAGGCACTCAGAGCAGGGAAACAGGCGACACTCGGTTCCCACCTGGCAGTTCCCCAGGGTTGGCCCAAACTCCTTCTGTGTCAACAGTAGACAAAGAAGCAAGGCGTTTGATATATTCGTCAAATTTCATCCTTCCATCCTCAAGCAGGGAGGCTCCCAGAGAGCAGTACAAAGCCTCCAGGAAGTAGCACTCCAGCAGGTCAAGGTCTTCTATTTCTCCTTCTAGCAACGCATCCAACATCTTGGCTAACTGGGTTACCTGGTTCACAGGAAAATATCTGGTTCAGCCCACATAGTCCACCCCCACAGAGTCCATTCCAGTCATAAATCCTGGGATCCCAGGTCCCAGAGCGATGGGAGCATAAGACCCAACATGTTGGTTCAGACAGATGGAACCCAGTATCTTGACTTGCACAAAAGCAAGCACGGCGCCCGCCTTGGCACTGACCAACAATGCTACTGTTCACCCTGTCTGGCATCTTCACTCCCTTTAAAACCCTACCGTGAGCTTGTCTTTAGGAAAGAATTTCTTTTTGCTAACAGCAGGGATCATTTCTTACCATATTGAGGTCTGTCTGAGGAACTATTGTCTTCAGCTTTTCTGCTTGTCTTCCATCCACAATTCCTTCCACTATCACATCCATGAGATAGGGCACATACTTCTCAAAGAGACTATTCAAATTGTATTGCTCCACCTATAAAAAAGTAGCATTCCAAAGCATTTCAAGGGTTTGTTTATTTAAATGGAAGTTAGTGGAAAGCTTTTCTTGCCCAAAGAGGGTTGAGCAACATCTTCTGATGAATGATACATTTGGCAGGTGAGGAAATCCTGATAATAGTGCCCTATATTTGCAGAGAGATTTGTCCTCTGCAATATGCTTTCATCTCATCATGAAGTGTTTCATTTCGCTGCCACAGAGTCTACCATGCCCTTGGGGAAGAAAAAGGGAAGATAACAGGTCCCATTTGACAGGAAAGAGGCTGATCATCTTAGAGTTCAAGTGACCACAGTCATCCAGAAAAGACTGTAAAGCAGTGAAGGTCCCCTCCCTATCAAAGCACCAATCACCACCAGGGATTGCAAGGGTCCTGAGACAGCTGTCTCCCACAGGACAGTGCCTCAGATGGTTCTGTCATGCTTCCTTTGTTCTTCCTTTGTTCTGCTCTTTTCTGGCATAATTATGTCCTGGTTTCCATTCACCTCCAACCTAGTAGCCCTACTAGAGACACACCCAGAACACCTGTGTTCCTTTGAGAAGGTGGTCGTAGCGTCCTAGGTGTGGTTGAGCCACAACCCGCACGTGACTGTCACATCCATCTCTGCACTTTTCACAGAAGCCTTTTGTTAAGACAACACACACTCTGGCCTGTCATCTGTTTTGTAAATAAAGGTTTATTGGTACACAGCCATGCCCATTTGTATACAAATTTCTGGCTGTTTTCATGCCACAACAGCAGAGTTGAGTAGCTGTGAAAGAAATCATATTGCCCACACAAAGCCTCAGACATTTACTATCTACCCCTCTACAGAAAAAGTTTGTCAACCTCTGGTCTAGACCAACCAATCCAATCATTACCTATCCCACTGGCTATAAACTATCTGAAATTAAATAAGTGTGTCGGTGTGTCGGTGGCTCACGCCTGTAATCCCAGCACTTTGGGAGGCTGAGGCGGGCAGATCACGAGCTCAAGAGATCGAGACCATCCTGGCTAACACGGTGAAACCCCGCCTCTACTAAAAATACAAAAAATTAGCCGGTCGTGGTGGCGGGCGCCTGTAGTCCCAGCTACTCGGGAGGCTGAGGCAGGAGAATGGCATGAACCTGGGAGGCGGAGCTTGCAGTGAGCCGAGATTGCGCCACTGCACTCCAGCCTGGGTGACAGAGCGAGACTCCGTCTCCAAAAAAAAAAAAAAAAAAAAAAAAAAAAAAAGTGTGTCTGCCATGTTTTCACTTATTTTGTGCTCAGGGACATGGGCAGGTCAAGGACAAAGTCATCGCCTTCAACTACAAACATCCCTCTGGACTATGTTATCCAACTAGCCATCAATACTAATAAATTTAAGTTCATTTTAGAAAAAAATTTCACCTTGTTTGGTATTTGATTAACCCATTTTTTCCAGTATGGTCGATATTTCAAGTTTTTAGGATCCACATAAACCATTCCACATCGAGAGACAGTTGCAGGGGAGGCATACTGTAAATCTCCAACCTGGATAAATAAAGAAAATCAATCATGGCTATAGCTATACACAAGATAAACTAGATGTTTAAGGACCTTCTCTTATGGAAAGTTTTTACAACTGCATGAAATCCAAATAATACCAAAATCAACACAGCTTCCATGAGCTTTTTAACTGAACACCTGGGATTTTGATGAGAAGATTACACACTTCTGATGTAACATCTTTTTGGTTTTTCTATTATAAAATTAATGTGAAAATTAATACGTTGTAGAATATCTGACAAAAAATAGAAAAATATAAAGAAGAAAATAAGTTATCCAAATCCCACCACCCAGAAACAAATGTTGTTTTGGAGTGTTTTCCAGTCAATCTTTTTTCTTTATTATTTTTTTAACATAGTTGAGATCAGGCAGTATAAAACTTCATAAGTACAAAGCTAAACCAGATATATTAACAAACCTAGCTCTCTCTACAAAAAAAATATAGTTCAGTCAGCTAATCAGATAATAATATGTACAAATATTTCATGCACTGACAAATTTTACAGTTAGAAATGGCATTAATACTAAGCTAGAGTGAAAGCAAGTCCCAGGGCCACACCTATGAAACGAGCAGTCCATATCCTAAGAGATAGAGGGCTTTGGAGAATAGCCTCCAGGAAATAAAGGGGCTCGACAGAATACTTGATATGATAGAAAGTTTAAAAAAAAAAATGAGATTAAAATAAAGGCAAATAGTGTGAGGGAAAAAAAGGAAGGCAATTACAAACTCTAGACAAAGGAAATGGCTCTAAAAGAAAGTAAATGTAATCGTAGTATATTAGTTGGTTCTTCAGTAAATTATTTCTATCTTCATTATAATGTAAACATTATCTACTGTTAACCAACTTAGCAATATACTATTCTGACGTTAGTGGTATAAGAGATGAATTCTCACTTTTGTAGCAGTCAGTCAACAGATAATGTATAAACTATAAAATGTATAAAGGAAGAATATCATGCTAAGCCTGTTACTTATAGACACTAGGGTAATCATCAGAAGAAACAATTCATAAAAAGTAAAAGTAGTCACTTCTGGGATAAAGAGGGATGAGAGGAGTAAAGAACAAAGAGTTGTATTCATTATAAACCCTTATGCATTGTTTGTTTTTAAATAATCATCTACATTTACTACTACTTTAACAAACATTTGCATTTTTAATTACAAGAAAGATTTATGTTCAAATTTACTTTTAATCACTACTTGCCTCAAAGAGCAGGGCACAGTGTGCTTGGAGCCGGATGCGTTCCCCGTTGGCCAATGTCAACAACCTGTTGTCATCCATCACAGAATTCATGTTTTCCACCCATAGAGCATCCACATCACCATCAAATAAAATATACCTGCAGCAACCAAAGAAAGGAGAGCCATGGGTCCTAGAGAGCTTCCAATTATGGAACTTGGTATAACCTGCCCATTCATGTTGAATGTCTTTTTCCCAGGGTTTTCTACCCAGTATCTGAGACAGAGCACCCTAGTTGGCCCAGAGGTTTGACTGAAATGGTACATAAAAAACTGTAATCCCAGCACTTTGGGAGGCCAAGGTGGGCGGATCGCGAGGTCAGGAGTTCGAGACCAGTCTGGCCAACATAGTGAAACCCCGTCTCTACTAAAAATACAAAAAATTAGCCAGGCATAGTGGTGTGTGCCTGTAATCCCAGCTACTCAGGAGGCTGAGGCAGGAGAATCGCATGAACCCAGGAGGCACAGGTTGCAGTGAGCCAAGATAGCACTATTGCACTCCCACCCAGGCAACAGTGCAAGACCCCGTCTCAAAAAAAAAAAAAAAAAAAAGAAAAAAAAGTTTGAGTTCTTTGCCAATATTTAAGAATGAGGGAACTTCACACAAAAATCTGAATTTCTCACTTCTTGGGCAAGCTGGAAGTTCTGAGCACACAGACCTGGATTCCTTCGTGGGAACAATCAGCTGATGCTGAGTAGTGGCTGCCCATGAAGACAGAAAGTGTCATAGTCCCTGCCCCTGCCACAACTCCTACCTCATTCTTCTCTTACATCTGAGGCTGAGTATCAATTGCTATTTATCACTGGTTTTAACCCCTGGTTTCCTGTGGTACAGTCAAGAATAAAGAAAGTATTTTGGATGTCCATGTGTAGTGGGTCGAATGGTACCCACCCCCCACCAAAAGATGTGTTCACCCAGAAGCTGTGACTGTGACCTTGTTTGGAGAAAGGCCTTTGCAAACGCAATTAAGGATCTCAAGATGTGACCATTCTGGATTATACAGATGAGTCCTAATCTAATGACAAATGTCCTTATAAGAGAAAAGCAGGAGGAGACATAAGACACACAGAGGGGAAGGCCAAGAAAGAGGCAAAGTTTGAAATGATGTGGTCACAAGCCAAGGAACACCTGGAACCACCAGAAGCAGAAGAGGTGAGGATTTGCCCTAGAGCCTTCGGAGGGAGTGCAGTCCTGCTCACACCTCTTTTTAGACTTTTGGCCTCCAGAACTATGAGATAATAAATCTCTGTTGTTTCAAGCCACCCAGTTATTTGTTATGGCAGCCCTAGGAAACTAACACCACCATGTAATTTGCTCCACTTCACTCATTTGTGCTACCTGCTGGGTCCCTGGGAGCATCTGAGTTCACAAGCCCTGGGTTACACACCATGTGTCCTGGCAGCACGTCTACGTCCAAGGCCTCAGGTATTCAAGCTTCAGGATGGTTCCATTTTGTGGCTATAATGGGTGACATCTCATGCAGCAAAGCCCATCTCCACAGGACAGAGGCTATTCTACTGTGCTGAAATGGTGGTTTGATAGTGCCTCCATTTAACTCACTGATATAAGCAGTTAGATCTTTTTTTTCCAGGATTAACATTTTGGTTTATTTCCTTCCTGTATTTTTTTCCTTTTAGCTTTTTATTTTTAAATAATTTCAAACTTACAGAGTTATGAGAATAAAACAGTATGAAGAACTCCCATATGCCTTTCAGTCAGATTCCCCAATTGTTACGTTTTTTTGCCACATTCGCACTCTCTCTTATTCTCTCTCTCTGAATCATTTGAGAGTCAATTGCAGATAAAATGCCCCCTTCCCCTAAATACTTAAGCAAGTATTTCCTAAGAATAAGCACCTTCTCTTACACAACCACAGCAGAATTATCAAACTCAGGAAATGTAATATTGATACAATACTATTATCTAATGTATAGTCCACATTCAAATTTCACCAGTTGTCCCTATAGAAAGTCTCCATTTATATTCACTATAAAAGGACTCAACGGCCAGGCATGGTGGCTCACACCTGTAATCTCAGCACTGTAGTTGGCTGAGGCAGGAGGATTCCTTGGGCCCAGGAGTTCAAGACAAGCCTGGGCAGTACAGGGAGACTCTGTCTCTACAAAAAAAAGCAAAAATTAGCTGGGCATGGTGACATGCACCTGCAGTCCCAGCCACCTGGAAGGCTGAGGTGGGAGGATTGCTTGAGCCCAGGAGTTTGAGGCTGCAGTGAGCCGTGATCATGTGACTGAACTTAGCCTGGGCAACAGAGCACGACCCCTCTCAAAAAAAAAGAAAAGAAGAAAGAAGAACAAGAAGAGGAAGAGGAGGAGGAGAAGAAGAAGGAGAAGGAGGAGGAGGAGGAGGAGGATGACCAGATTCAAGTAACCATCAACAGATGCTCCAAACCATTGGGTGAATGGGTGAAGGTTGGATGAGAAATGGGATATTTACTTAGTCATAAGTTATCTCCCTAGAGTTGCATATCAACTGCAAAGAGGAAAATGGCACCTTAACCCAATAATCAAGATTAACACCACCCATAATAGGGCAACCAACACCATGTGCCCGTGATGAGATGCGGAGAAGGACACAGCATCACTCCTGCAGCCTTCCTGTCAAACAGCCATGGCCTGAATCTAATTATGAAGAAGCAGCGGACAAACCCAAACCGAGACCATTCTCTAAAACGGTTGGCCTGGAATCCTCCAGAACAGGAAGGTCATAAAAGATAAAGAAATCCTGACGAACTGCTCAAAATTAAAGAATGCCAAAAACAAGACAACGGAATTCAGCGTGGAATCCTGGGTTCATCCAGAATCAGGGGAAAAGCGCTAAGAAGCTGTTTTAAAAGCCATGAGTTGGGACTTTGGACTCTTGTTATTTAAGGATTTTATTTATTATTAATGGGATTTGATTAGAACATAAAATCAGAACCATTCCTGAGTTTAGCAAAGAGATATTATAGGACCAACTAAAAGCTTTTTACCTTACACACCCTCAGAGCATTTCTGTACTTGGCCTCACTTGGCCTTTGCCATGGCATGTGGTGATGTCATCAGGGCACCATCAACCACGTCTACAGATGGAAAGCCGTGGCTCAGGAGGGCATTCCTGCACTTTCCATGGCCCTTTGCTACCTTTCCTTGACTTACCTTGCCATAGAACGTGGTGATCAGGCAGCTTGATGGCGGCTGTGTTTGAGAACTTAGAGTCACACAGATCAGGGCCAAATCCCTGGCCTTGGGCCACATTTCTGACCTTTTCTAGGCCTCAGTTTCCTCTGTGGTAAGCTGGGAACAATCCCGGTACCTACCACATTGCATCACTAAGACAACTGAGGTCACACATAAAAAGCACTAAGATTGGACTGCGCACTTCCGAAGCACAGCCTCCAAGACTGGACTCTAAGTCTGTTGAAATCCAAGCATGAAGCTACAATGTATAGTCCTGCCACCGTTTTTAATGTTGAGCTAATTAACATTAACTAACCCAGGCTCTTTCCTACCTACAAAGATACTCACTTTCGCTCCTTCTTGTCTGTTGGCTTGTTGATTTCCCTGAAGATGTTTGACAACACCCCATCTGTCCAGTCTCGGGTGGTTGGGTCCAGGATGCCGTAGAGTTCTATGACACTCACGGCTTTGGGGTTCAGGATGTACAACTTTGTCGTCAGCCCAAGCCTAAATCAAGAGAGGCTTTAGCCATGGTTCAAGACAACTAAATGCATGAGGAAAACAGTCTGGGTTCCCTCTATGAGGAATTAGATGTTTTGACTTTAATCCAAAATTGAAAATGCAACCCATGCAAACTCTTCACTGGGCTTCCCTTCACTGTTAGTGCTTTCTTCTAAATATAAAGCAACCACATTTCACCAAAAATGTGGCCACAGCACAAATGAAGTCTGAACTAGAAGCACAGCTTTGCCTCTGGAGGGCACCAAGAAGCTAACTTTCATGTATATTTCATATTTATGCATATTACATATTCATATATATGACATTTAAGTAAATATCTCAGAATTAAGGGCGTATAGGAGACCACACTCAGTCATCCACGATAATAACAAGGCTTTGGACTACTAATGTTCAATCCTCCTTATCTACAGAACAACAGCTGCTCTGTTGACTTCATGAATCAAGCAGACAGGGCATTTCTCACCACAGTGCCTGTAAATCCCTGCAGCACTAACTATAGGATTAATTCATCTATAGAGAACAAAACTTCACACACTCCACAGTTCACAACCAACGAATCAGTAAATCATAATGTACATGCTATATTACACATGCATACAACTGTGTGATAGTTCTATAAACTTACAATGAATGAATTAAAGAATGAAATGCAGATGGCCACGGCACAGCCCACTTAGAGTCAGTAAGCCACTGTCGACTGGTTTTCTCATATGAAACATATGAAGAAATAATGGGAACATATGACAGACACTTACTCTTTAGATTTTATAGACTGCCTAGAAATGTTTAAGTCACAGAAACTTTGGCTTGATTTAGATTTTTGCCGGGCTATCAGCATCCACGGAGGTCTTTCTGGAATCTAGTTATTGCTTAGAAGAGAAGTGAGGAGTCAGGAATCCACTTTCAGTAGAAGGCTTTCAATTCACTGCAGGCTTTTATGACATACTCTCCTTTTTTTTTTTTTTTAGAGAGAAGGTCTCACTCTGTTGCCCAGGCTGGTGTGCAGTGGCACAATCCTAGCCCACTGCAGCCTCAAATTCTTGGGCTCAAGCAATCCTCCCTCCTTAGCCTCCTGAGTAGCTGTACTACAGGTGCACATCACCACACCCAGCTAATTTTTTTTTAATGTGGAGACGGAGTCTCATTATGTTGCCCAGGCTGTTCTCAAAATCCTGGACTATGGGATCCTCCCACCCAGGCCTCCCAAAGTGCTGGGATTACAGGCGTGAGCCACCATGCCTGGCTCCTTTACGATCTTCAATGTGGGAGTGTACGATCACTTTTTCCTTCGTGAAGAATTGCCCCCGAAGGGCTAGCGATTATAAGGCACCCGGGGAGGTGACATTCGTTTTCTGGCCACTGCGAAACCACAGCAGTACTGCATAAGGTGAATCCTGACTTACTTTAAGGAAGCAATTTGGACCCCAAGAAACTATGACTTACATTCATTTTCAAAATATCCTTATAAGATAGTTTGTGAAATTCTCATTTCACAAATGAACCTATTCACCATCTGATGCACAAGCGGGTTGCTATTTTGCATTCTAAAATATCTTAACTAAGTCTGCAATAAAGTCAGTAAAAACACGCTGAGTCGAAAGGGGTGTGTATTACAAATTTACCCTCCCAGGAAATCAGAGAGCAAAGTGGGACTTGGTAATACTGGCACCAAACATATACTGTGAGCCCCTGTGGCAGCCAGGCCCTCCCTACGGAGGTCATACTCACTTGGTCTGGGCCTGACACAGAGTGTTAATGACGACGGACTTGCCCCCTCTGGTGGGCCCCACCACCATCGTCGTGTGGCGGGTTAACATGGTCTCGAACATTTGAACCACTTTATCCACCTGCGGGACAAACAATGGCAGCTGGGCTAAAACATTATCTTTTTTCTGACGCAGTTTTATTGCGATACAACACACACGCCATACAATTTACCTTTGAAAGGGTACAAGTCAATGGTTTCCAGTATATTCACAGAGTTGTGCAACCATCCCCATGAGCAATTTTAGAACATTTTTATCACCCCTCCCCACAAAAAACCCTGTACCCATCTCTCCCAATCCCCTTTCCCCCAGCCCCTGGCAACCACTCATCTACTTCCTGTCTCTACGGATTTGCGTATTCTGGGCATTTCATGGAAATGGGATCCTAGAATGTGTGATCTCTCACATCTGGCTTCTTTCGCTTAGCATGTTTTCAAAGCTCATCCATGTTGTAGCACGCGTGCTGCATTCCTTTCTATGGCCAAAATATATCCCATGGGATGGACAGACCACATTCTGTTTCAGCAGTGGATCCATCAACTGATGGATGTTGGGTTGTTCCCACTTTTTGGCTATTATGAATAATGCTGCTCCGGACATTCATGAACAATTCTGAGCGGACGTTCGTCCTCATTCTTGGGTAGATCCCCAGCAGTGAAATTGCTGGGTCTTATGGTAACTCTCGGTTTAACCTGTTGAGGAACTGCCAGGCTGTTTTCCAAAGTGGCTGCACCATTTTATATTCCTTCCAGAAAACACATCTTTTTCAACAACCAACTCCAGAGAAAATCAGGGTCAGGAAAAGCACAGAAAGCTCTCGTCCACGGCCGGTACCCGGTGCCCACTGCCCAGGCCTGAGGTCTCCGGGGTAGCCTGACACCCTGAAGCTGCCCGACCCGAGGCAACCCCCCAGGTCTGGAGGCTCTGGGCATTTACACTCTCAGCAGGACTCTGCCAATCAATACGTGTTTGGCTTAATGACAACATATACAACTTACAGGCTTCAGAGGATCCAAATCCTATCCCTGCAATATCTAATTTAATTTTTTTTTAAGTGTGACTCAGGAGAAAAAAAAGGTGAGGTGAGGAAAGAACCTCTGATGGTTGATGCCTCAAAACAAAATATTTGAGTCACCTGATCACATTGTGTGAAAAAAAACTATATATATAAAATTTAGCCTTAAAAAGGAAGAAATTCTGACACATGCCACAACATGGATAAATGTTGAAAACACTGTTAGTGAAATAAGCCAGACACAAAAGGACAAAAATTACATGATTCTACTTACAGGAGGTACCTAGAGTAGTCAAATTTGTAGAGACAGGAAGTCGAGCAGAGGTTGCCAGCGGAGGGAGGGGAGAAGGTAAGCTGTTAACGGGTGTAGGGTTTTAGTTTTGCAATATGAAAACGTTCCAGAGATGGATAATGCTGATGGTTGCACAGTAATGTGAATGTACTTAGCACCAACAAACTCTACATTTTTTCTTTTTTCTTTTATTTTTTGAGACGGAGTCTCGCTCTCTCACCAGGCTGGAGTGCAGTGGCACGATCTTGGCTCACTGCAACCTCCACCTCGCGCGTTCCAGCAATTCTCTCGCCTCAGCCTCCCAAGAAGCTGAGACTACAGGCGAGCGCCACCACGCCCGGCTAATTTTTGTATTTTTAGTAGAGATGGGGTTTCTCCACGTTGGCCAGGATGATCTCAATCTCTTGACCTCGTGATCCACCCGCCTCAGCCTCCCGAAGTGCTGGGATTACAGGCGTAAGCCACTGTGCCCGGCCTAACAAACTCTACATTTAAAAGTAGGTAAGATGGTAAATATTGTTATGTGTATTTTACTGTGATTTAAAAATGGGGAAAAATGGTTAAGATGGTGAAACTTATGCGTATTTTACTGTACATATATTTTTAAAGAACTGCAAAAACAAAAAGCCAATGGAAAGGATGCACGGCCACAGTGAGGTCATTTTCCTGGCTTTACCTGGATGGGTAGGACCGCGTAGCCGTTCTCCTCCAGGACCTGCTCTACCGCATCGTTGAAGTCAGGGTAGCGGACGCGAGGGCAGTCCAGCCCAGGAAACAGATCCGAAATCAAACCAAGGAAAAGAGGAACATCTTCAAACACAAATTTGGGCAAGTTCATGTCTCGCAAGGCCCTCATCAGCACCACGTCCTGCAGGAAATGAAACACATGTTTCCAAGAGATTTCCAAAGGAACCCAGTGCTTTGGACTGTGTTTCCAACCCAGTGGTAACACTCTTATGAAATATAAAATATAATTTTTATATAAACATTTTATTATTTTTAACAATTTTATACACATTTAAAATTACATAATTTTAAATTACAGAAATTAATTTAAATTAATTTAAATTTAAATTACAGAAATTAATTTAAAATTATATAATTTCTGAATATATGTATTATATATTTTTATATACAGAAATTATATAATTTTATTTTTTATTTTATATTAATATGTAAATAAATATAAATTATATAAAATAGTTTACATGAGATTAAACATAAAATATAAAATATATATTTCATATATTTCATATAATATGTACTTCATATTATATAATATACACATATATGGCCGGGTGCAGTGGCTCATGCCTGTAATTCCAGCACTTTGGGAGGCTGAGGTGGGTGGATAACCTGAGGAGTTCGAGATCAGCCTGGCCGACATGGTGAAATCACATCTCTACTAAAAACACAAAAATTAGCTGGGTGTGGCGGCAGGTGCCTGTAATCCCAGCTACTCGGGAGGCTGAGGCAGGAGAATCGCTTGAACCCAGGAGGTGGAGGTTGCAGTGAACTGAGATTGCGCCATCGTACTCCTGGCGTGACAAGAGTGAAACTCTGTCTCGAAAAAAAGATAGATAGATAGATAGATATACACACACACACACATATATATACACATACATATATATTTAAATGAAATATAAAATTTAAAATGAAATATAAAATTATATATAAATTATATACATATATTACAATTTTATATAAATTAAATTTTATAAAATTTATATATTTTATATCATTCATATAAATTAATTATATTTGTATTATTTATAAATTATATAAATTTATAAATGTATATAAAATGTTATGTATATTATATAGTATAAAATATGTATAAGATATTATGTGTAATATGAATATATGAAATTTCATATTTCATATTTAATAATGATCATATAAATAATATAAATGTAAATATGCATTTTTCAAAGTTTCATATGAAAATAAAAATGTAAAATAAAATATATAAAAGTGAAATATACAATACAAAATTGTATATAAATGTAAAAATTAAATAAAATATAAAATAGGAGCACAGGCAGAGGAGTGAGGCCAGGGTGGGCCTGCTCCTAGGAGGCTGAGTGTCCTGGTGGGCCGTGCAAGGAGAAGAAAACAGATCTCGGCCAGAGGGAAGGAGCAGAAACTTCCTCCTCCCCACCTTACAGAGGGGTATGGCCATCTACGCTAAAGCAAAGGTTCCTTATTACAGGAAGAACATTTACTTTGACCTTTAGGTGCGCATATATATATATATACTTTTTATTATTATTTTTTTTTTTTTTTTGAGACAGGGTCTCGCTCTGTCACCCAGGCTGGAGTGTAATAGTGCCATCTCGGCTCATTGCAGCCTCCACCTCCCAGGTTCAAGCAATCCTCCTACTTCAGCCTCCTAAGTAGCTGGGACTATAGAAGTGTGCCACCACAGCCAGCTAAATTTTTTAGTTTTGGGTATTTGTTTGGAAAGAAATGGGGTTTTGCCATGTTGCCTAGGCTGGTCTCAAACTTCTGGCCTCAAGCAATCCTCCCACCTCAGCCTCCGAAAGTGCTAGGATTACAGGCATGAGCCACTGCGCCCAGCCTTAGGTGCTTTTATATAAATCTCAAAAACAAAATTCTGAACTCAGGACCTGGCAAGCGTCTCTATGTTGTCTCCTAGGACAGGTAGTCCTGCTTCTCTACTCAGCGTTCACTATCTGGAAATGTGGGTATGTCTTCTCTACCCATTACCTCCAGGATGTGGAGTGGAAAAGGCCACTTTTCCTTTTGTTCTGCCTCCCAGACTCAACACAGGAGCCCCGGGGATTGCAGTTCCCCGCCTTCTCCAGAAGAAGGAAGCAACTGACGGGGGCTTCTGCTATTTGCTTAATTGTAACGACATCATGTTGCAAGCTGAAGCCTGATGTTTCCTTTGAAACAGGTGCTGAGGTGGTGGTATTTGTGAATTCTTTACCTTTTATTCCAAACAAGACTAAATAAATGGCAAGTACAGCTGACTTCATGGGCTTTTTAATGTCCTCCAGTTTCCACCACTGTCATGATAAGCGCAGCTGAGAACTGCAGCAGTAAATTCCAAATATGTGGTTCTAATTTGAAGCAAAAGATGCTAAATCCTCACTCATCCTGTGACATAGATTTACTGAATAAGAACAAAGGTCCAAGCTTGCAAACTTTTAATGTGATAAAGAAGCCCAAAGACAATACAGCAAAGTTAATTTCCTATGTGAAGAAACCATCGCAGTCTCTGTACAAACACAGTTTTACATGTGTAAGTCCACATTGCTGGATGAGAAGAGGGATTTTCCTCCTAGAAAAGGAGGCTGTTTTTTACCTCTTTCTCGGAAGTCCTTGGATATTCGGTATTTGCAATGTGTTTTCATTCTTCTAAGGAAGTACCAGATTGTGCAGCAGTTGAGCCTATGAATGCATGCTTGGGTTCAGTGTAAGGCAGTAAAAGAAAACAAGCCAGTAGTGAGTGCAGTGATGGGACCATATTCACCGCCCTAGGAGGAGAGACTGCTGCAAACGGCCTCACTCTTCTTCGTAGAGCCTTAGATAGCACTTGAGACTGTTTTCCCTGTTGCTAAGACTGAAAGTGGCATCGGTGGTTTTTCAGTTCAGAAGATATGACCCACTCAATAGCATGATCGCCCTTCAACTTTGGACATAGAGGAGCAGGGGAGAAAATGAAAGAAGTTTCCATATAACTCCTTTCTCCTAAGAAAAAAGAAGTACAAATGACGAATGCAGCTCCATCTGACTTTATAGTGTTTTACATTTTACAGCTTCCTTTTTTGTAAGAGCATAAATAACTCTTCCTTCGACCCCTCCAAAAAAAAAAAAAAAAAAAACCCAAATGTGTGAAAATCCCAAAAGAATGAAGCGATTTGTGGCAGCCTCTCCTCCTATGGACACAAACAGGCTTCTATCACTGCACTCACGGCTGTTTTTTTTTTACTACCCAAATGTGTGTGTGTGTGCGTGTGCGTGTGCGTGCGTGTGCGTATGTGTACATGTGCGTGCGTACGTGTGTGCGCGTGCATGTATCCGTGTGTGTGTGCGCGTGCGTGTGTCCGTGCGTGTGCGTGTGTGTGCGTGCGTGTGTGCGTGCAACATTGAGTACAGTCACTAGAGAAACAGGTAAGCCTGTTGCCCACAGAACATTGACTAAACCTTTTATTTAAAGTCCATGTAAAAAAAACACAATTGTTCCCCTCTTTTGTTTCAAAGAGAAAATAACAACTCACCTTCATGCTTTCATGAGAATTTTGTTAGTCCCCACCCTTCCGCCACACCCATCCTGAGACTACAGATTATTACTATGGAAGCATCATAAATGTTGCTATTGGAGCGAAGACATTGCACTTGACCTTAAGGTACTAAGTGTAATTACAAGCAAACGATACAACAGGTAAGAGGCCAAAGTAAGGCCAGACCGCGGGGTGAAGAGGCAGCTAAGACTTAAACCTTTCAGGTGATACCATACTGTGCCCATCACCTCCCCAATGGCACGTAGTAAATGCCTGAAGCAGCTGAAACCAGAGAATGTTCCAGCACGTGGCCCCTACCTCCCTAAGGTCAGAGGAGCCTCTCTTCAGCTCACCAGCCATGACCAGCACCGATTTCAGGGCTCTGAGTCCAAAATCATAGTGATACTGCTTGGACAGCTGCTCCCGGGCCAGCTTATACAGAACCGTCATCTTTTTCGCCAGAGTCTTTTTGATAGAAGATAATAATACAAAAAAAAAGAAAAAAGAAAATGATTCAAAAGCAATGGAGCATCATTCTACAAATGCAAGAAAACGGGGGCAGGTGTTCCAGTGCAGCTGCTCTACAAATAAGCAAATTCCATCTCTAACTTCCAGAAATACCAGGGTGGGTCCTTCATTTTTAAATATGGCAAATTGGGAACTAATTTGAAGAAACATCTGTGTTACCAAAATCTTCACTATCTTAATTTAAAGAACAGAACCATCTGTAGGAATCACACTCCAGAAATACATTGCTTCTTTATTTTGACCTAAACCTATTATTAAGGCTGTAACTGGGCCAAGCATAGTTGTTCATGCCTGTAATCCCAGCACTTTGGGACGCCAAGGTGGGTGGATCACCTGAGGTCAAGAGTTCAAGACCAGCCTAGCCAACATGGTGAAACCCTGTCTCTACTAAAAATATAAAAATTAGCCAGGCGTGGTGGCGCATGCCTATAATCCCAGCTACTTGGGAGGCTGAGGCAGGAGAATCCGCTTGAACCTGGGAGACAGAGGTTGCAGTGAGCTGAGATCACACCACTGCACTCCAACCTGGGTGACAGAGCAAGATTCCATCTCAAAAAAAAAAAAAAGGCTGTAAATGTCTTTGAGGACAAGTCAGCCACCTCATCTATGGCAAGGGTTCAAAACCCACAGGTCTCTAAGGCAAGTGTGGCAATTTTAGTCGTGAAAACTAGGAACAAGAGATCTCATCGTGCCAACTCAAAATCCTGACACGGTAATAGGCACCAAGAGCTTTCAATAAAAGACATATTGCAGAAACGCAATGTGACAACCCTCTATGTTAAAAGTATTCTCTATTTTGTAACTTTTCCAGAGCTTCTGGAAAGATCTTACGTATGTACATTTTATAGATAGCTTAAAAGAGGATAAAAGTTATCCATAAAGTTGTTTTTGAATCTACATATTCTCAAAGGCATTGTGCTGAGTGAAAGAAGCCCGTCTCAAAGGGTTCCATACTACATGTCTCCAGGTAGAGAACATTCTCAAAGTGACAAAATTACACTGACTGAAGAATAGATCAGGGGTTGCAGGAGTTAGGGTTGAGGGGAGAATGTGTCTAGTAAGCAGTAACATGAGGCTGGGTGCAGTGGCACAACCTGTAGTCCCAGCTACTCGGGAGGCTGAGGTGGGAGGATTACTGGAGCCCAGAAGTTCGAGACCAGCCTGGGCTGTAGAGACCCTGTCTCTACAAAAAATAAGCAAGATTAGCCAGGTGTGATGGCATCTGCCTGTGGTCCCAAATACTCAGGAGGCTGAGGCAGGAAGATCACTTGAGCCCAGGAGTTTGAGGCTGCAGTGAGCTGTGATCCCACCACTGCACTCCAGCCTGGGTGACAGAGTAAGACCCTGTCTCTCTTCTTTGTGGTCGTGGTGATGGAATAGTTCTGTATCCTGATGTGGTGACGGCCACTCCCATCCACATGTGATAAAACGTCATAGAACTAACTACACGCACACGCCATAGAGAGAATGTGAAACCTGGTGAAATCCACACAACGTCTACACCTGAGTTAATGGCACTTGTGCCAACACCAACTCCCTGGTTTGGGCAATGGACTGTGGCTATGTGAGATGTTCTCATGGGGAAGGGGCACCTGGAAAGTCCGTGCTACTATTGTTGCAACCTCTTGTGCATCTTACATTATTCCAAAATTAAAAGTTATAATTTAAAAAGAGGTGGGGGAGGAAGAAGAGAGACACAGCAGAAAAAAAAAACAAAAATCAAAGAGCCACACGGAGCTGACACATCCTAGGTCCCCAGTCTGGAAGAGCCACATGGAGCTGACACATCCTAGGTCCCCAGTCTGGAAGAGCCACATGGAGCTAACACATCCTAGGTCCCCAGTCTGGAAGACCCACATGGAACTAACACATCCTAGGTCCCGTCTGGAAGAGCCACACGGAGCTAACACATCCTAGGTCCCATCTGGAAGAGCCACATGGAGCTGACACATCCTAGGTCCCGTCTGGAAGAGCCACACGGAGCTAACGCGTCCTAGGTCCCCAGTCTGGAAGCAGACCCGGGTGAAGTCTGCACTGCACGACCTGGCGCTGCCAAGGCCCCCCACCTTGGCCTCCAGGAAGCCCTCAGAGAAGAGCATGATCTCACAGATCTGCTGCAGGTCGGGCACGATCACGACCACAGGCCTGAACAGCGCCTTCACCGACTCGGGCAGCTCCGTGCGGCCTGCGTAGCCGGGGTTCATGGTGATGAAGATGCCCATGCGGGAGTCCAGGGAAATCTCCTGCCCTTCAAACTGGAGGGCAAGAAGGAAGAAAGAAAGAAGCAGTTAGGTGGCCCGGCCGGCCAGCCCCTTGGAAAGGGGGCCTGCGGCGAGCTGCGTGGCGATTCATTTTCATGGTATGAGGCTGACAACACCACTTGTCTCTTTTTCCCTCCCCGGTGTTCAATGCAGGGCCCCCCTCGCTGAAGGCCTTGGGGAGGGCAGGTCTCAGTGGAACCCCAAACTCAGACCTGAACCCAGGGCACTACCTTGGAGAAGGGGCCCAGGTTGGCGAAGCACAGAGTCTGGGGCTGATACAAGAAGCTGTGTGACCCTCAGCAGGTCACTTAACCTCTCTGAGTCTCAGTTTATTTTTCTGCACAACAGAAATGCAACCCACCTCGTGGCACGGCTGTGGCGATGAAAGGAGACAGCCCAGGTTGGGAGCGCCCAGCCCACCACCTCACACAGCGCCGGCTTCCATTCCTCTCACCTGGCTTTGCACCTTCTGCGGGTGCCTGGACTTCATGCAGTCACTCCTGCCTAAAGAATCCCACCTCAAACCCCTCAAGAAACCAGTCTTCATTCCTCTGGTTGCCCCAGGTACCAACAAACCACGGAAATCCCTATATTCTTAGCCTTTTTAGCTGAAGGTTGAGTCCGGTCGTCTCTCGGTGAAGTTTTCTATTTTATTTTTTTTGATTGTCCACCAGCCAGGCAGAGGACAGAAAATTTTTGTTGTTAGGAGGCACAGTCTGCATCACCAACGAGAGGGCAGCCCGGAAGACAGCCAGCCTCCCCCAAAACAAGGCCACTGCCTTGACTCATAGGTCGGCCCTGAGACCATCCCTAGCCTCAGTATCCCACAAGAGGCCCAGATGGCCCAGATGGCCCAGGGGGAAGAGCAGATAGCTGCTGCCTCCTGGCTCTGAGAAACACAGCTTCTGGAAATCTATATACATTGCAGGTTAATTCCCTCTCTCGGGAGCAGTCAGCTCAGCCCCAAAAATCCCTCAAAAGAACTCATCAAAGGGAAATCTATCCAGACCCTTTACTGGAATCCTGAAAATATTGAACAGTCTCCAGCTGACACAATCTCTTAACAGTGAGCCCTGCCAAGATCTGAGGAGGACGCATGTGAGATGACAGGGCCACCAGCTCAAGCTGAATTTTCATCCTGGAATGGGGCTCTAAAGGATGTATAGGAGTTTTCCAGTGAAGGGAAGAAGGGACAATTCCACTCAGATGGGGACACATGTGGTGTCACAAGGCATGGTATGACTGTGGAGCAAGTGGCTTAGTGACAAGTGTGCAGGGCATGGAGGGGGGAGGACAGAGGCAGAAGGACAGCAAGGGACCCAGAAGACCCCGGTGTAGGGAAATGGCCCACCCACGCTGGTCCTGTGTTTTCAGAGAATCCCCTTCTGGGCCACCTAGATTACATAATAAGATCATGTTTCTCCAAATTTGGATCCAGCTTAATCTGGTGTAATTTAATGCAGACTTCTCAAACTCAAGTCTGCAAACATATTCTTTGGCAGAGAGAAATTGGTGAATTCTCAACAATTGTTTTAAAATTCTGCCTTCTCACTTTGATAACCTTGCAAATCCTGCTTGTTATGATGCCGTAACTTCACAAGGTATGAAGGCAAAATTTCTTGTTCACTGTGATAATGATTGCAAGGAACATTCGCTTTCTAAGTCAGGTTTTCTCAAACTTGGGAAGTCGCCAAGAATATTGTTTCCTTTCTAGGGGACCCTGCACATCACTTATTTGAGAACTCTGCCCCACGCCCATTCATAACTATTGGTTCTGTGTCTGGAGTCAGTGTGAAGTCCTTGGACTATTACAAACCTTATCATCAATGATGATAATTTTGGAAACCCAATCATCTCAATTGGAAAAACCAACAGATCTTCTACAGGAAGCCTGGTCTGGAGTGTCAACGGCCCAGAAACTGACGCTACAGAGGAAGCTTACCATACTTGGCAAACTTCCATCCTAGGGACATGGTCCCGGGGGCTTCATGTGTCTCACCTGGAACGTGGTTAACTGATGGATCAGAGCATTTCGGATCGTCTGGATCTGGGAGGAGATCACGGAGAGCACAGAAGCATCGATTCGATTAAACTCATCAAAGCAGCCCCAAGCCCCGCACTGTGCCAGGCCAGAGAAAATCTTCCCCACGGCCTAGGAAGAAAGACATGTCAGGACAAGGGCAATTTTCATCTTTAAAACTGCAAGCAACACATTTATGGATATATTTTCTAAATTAAAGCAAACAATGAGATCACTGATTGGCAGAGAAGCAGGTGACCAGCCACTTGACTAGTGGATTTTTCTGGCAGGACTTCCAAGGCCCCTCATGGGCTGGCTCCTACTTGGGATTTTACAAATCCAGATTTTTGTGTAAAACTCCATTTCTCTTCTCTTCTCTTGAAATGTGGGAAAATCTAGCAATGCTGGGTCCACTTTCCCAAATGGTGATTATGAACCAAAGCTGGACGGGCACCCTCTTTAGATGGACTTTTGCTCTCCAGTTAGCCACAGATCCCACCACTCTCTTGTCTGCTGGCCGCTTTACTCACGTACATTATCAACCTGACCCTACTAGGGTAGTGAATCCGGGACTCTTGCTCTACATCCTGCTAACAAAGCAGGGTCTTTAAGCAGACACACTTAGGTTCTGGGGCTGTGGTGGTGGAAGGTTTTCTACTAGCTTCTTCCACTGTCGCCATGTCAAAGACTAGGAGGTGAAATGCCATGTCCTGCTTTAAGCTCTCTGCCTAATGAGCCAGTACCAAAGGTGACAGCCAGGCCTTACCCTGTAATCCATGCCTTCGCCACAGTTGGTGACAACACAGAGCAAGCCCAAGGCTTTCGCCAGGTCCTTGGTGGTCTCGGTTTTGCCGGTTCCTGCTGGGCCGGCGGGGGCCCCACCTAGATACATGGACAGCGCCTGTTATAAGCCAAATGCAAAACATATGTTTTCTGGTGCACAGAAGGAAGTGGGTGTCATTTCCAAATTCATCACTGTGACTATAGGTGCAGAATAGAGAAAGAATGTGGTGTTTGCTTTCATGTGTCAACTTGACTGGGCCACAGGATGCCCAGGTAGCTGGCTAAACATTATTTCTGGGAGTGTCCATGAGTGTGTTTCAGGAAGAGATTAGCATTTGAGAAAAGCAGATGACCCTCCCCAAAGTGGGTGGGCCTCATCTAATCCATTAAAGACTGAACAGAACAGAAGGATGGAGGGAGGTTACATTGGTGCTGCCTGATCATCTAATCCATTGAAGACTGAACAGAACAGAAGGATGGAGGGAGGTTACACTGGTGCTGCCTGACTGACTGAGCCAGGGCACTGGGCTTCTACCCTTGGCACTTCGGGTTCTCAGGCCCTCAGACCCAGACACGAGTCTACACTATTGGCTCTCTCACTGTCAGAACTTCAAATGCTACTGGCCTTCCTGGTCCTCCAGCTTGCAGATGGCAGATTGTGAGAGTAATCAGACCCTATCATCACATGAGTCAATACCTCATAATAAATCTCCTCCTAAATATCCAGATAGATAGATAGATAGATAGATAGATAGATAGATAGATAGATAAAATAGATGATCGAGATGATAAATAGACAGGATGGATGGATGGATAGATAGATAGATAGATAGATAGATAGATAGATAGATAGATAGATAATAGGATGGATGGATGGATAGATACATGGATGGATGGATGGATGGATGGATGGATGGATGGATGGATGGATGGATATGTAGATGGATGGATGCACGGATGGATGGATAAGATAGATAGATTAGATAGATAGATAGATACACAGACAGACAGACAGCCATCCAGCTAGCTAGCTATGTCCTATTGGTTCTATTTCTCTGTGGAACCCTAACCAATACAGATAAGATGACACTCTTTTTCTCAAAAACAAAGGACTTTATCACTCACAGCACAGGAGGCAGCAGGGGCTTCCTGTTCTCACTCATTCCCTTTATCCTTGTCCCCCCAAATCCCATGGTGTGATGTGGAGACGGGCCCAGGTGCATGCCACATCCACAGTGGGTATGAGTCACAGCTGAGAAACTGTGAGCCTAAGAGACCACCAATGTAGCCAGGTGCAGCAGTGAATGCTATAGTCCTAGCTACTCAGGAGGCCAAGGTGGGAGGATCACTTGAGGCCAGGAGTTCAAGGCAAGCCTGGGCAACATATCAAGACCTCATCTCTAATTTAAAAAAAGAAAACTAGCAAGCATCTGACAAACAGTCTTGGGGGTTGCTTGCAAACCTTCCCAAGCTCTGCCTGGATGGAAGTGTTATCTTCATTTCCTGTACAACAAACAAGTTTACCCTCTGTCCTGGAGGGAGACACTATCTCTATCATCCAAGGCCGTTCACTTGAACGGATATATTCTGGAATAAAAGCTGTCACAAGACGTGCAAAACCACATCACACTTGCCCTAACAGTCACCACCTTTGACATTCCTGCATTTTCGCATTGGCCTCTACCAATACCCCTGACACACCATTACCTAGGGACCAGTGTACCAGTGGCTAAGCACGGCCACACTTACATGCCAATCCCAAATGGTGACAATCTGGTCACATCCCAAATGGAAAAGCTTTTCGAGATTTCAAAGCAATGATCTCCCCTGCTATTTCAATCACTGCAGTCATCACACCTCAAGCTTAGAGAAAATGCCCCGCCCCAAGGTAAGTGGTAACCACAAGTGCCAGGCTGGCAGTCACCTGGGTGAGCGTCAGGTAAATCCGATCGGTGAGGGGCGTGATGACCAGCCTGCCGTTCAGGCCCATGTACTCGTAGCCGTAGCCAAAGGTTCCCGTGCACTGGCGGATGTTCAGCTCATCCGGCTCCCGGTCCCAATAAAACCGCAACTGACTTTCCCAGTCAAACTCTCGGGCCTCCAGGATACTGGACGGCAAGAAAGGTGGAGGAAGTGGAAACCGTTGAGACAGATCAGCGGACCACAAAGGGTCCCTTTTGAAATGCCAGTGACCCCGGAAAATGCTCACCTGCCTCTTATGAAAGAATCAACTATGTCTCTGGCATGCACATCAATGATGAGAACAGTGTTGTATTTTTTCCTGTCGTTTTTGCTTAGCGGCATGGTGATGCGCGTTACCAACTCATCGATCTGCCGGTGCATTTTCCTGCCATAGTTCTTCATGGCCTGCTTCTCCCCTTTTTGCGCTTTGTGGAAGACGTCTTCCACCTCCCAGGTCCACCACACCTGGCTAGCGGCCAGCACCACCATGCCCTGGTACAGGAGCATCCAGTCGACTCTGCAGAAAACGCACACCTGTAAGAGGCTCTGATCAATCCGGGGACTGGTACCCAAAACAGTCCCTTCAGGAATTTATTTCTTTGATCTGGAATAGGGAGGGCAAAGTAAAGGTTTTAGGTAAGCAAGTGCCTGTATTTGTTTACCTAAGTAAGTCAGAGGAGTAAGACTTAGGTGAGAGTAAGATGTTACCTATCTCCGACTAGGTAGTAAAATTCCAGGCCGAGGGTGCCTCTCTCCACAAAAAATGTTGCAGGTACCTGACTGCACAGAAAGATGCCAGATCACTTTTTAAATGTTTGGGGCCAGTCGTGGTAGCTCACGCCTGTAAACCCAACACTTTGGGAGGCCAAGGAAGAGGATCACTTGAAGCCAGGAGTTCAAGACTAGCCTGGGCAACATAGCAAAACCCTATCTCTACAAAAAATAAATTAAAAACTAGCCAGGCATAATGACGCATGCCTGTAGTCCCAGCTACTCCAGGGGCGCTGGAGCCCAGGAGTTGGAGGCCGCAGCCAACTACAATTGTGCACTGTACTCCAACCTGAGTGACAGAGCAAGGCCCTGTCTCTAAAAAATAAAATAAAATAAAATATTTGATTATAGGTTTTCAAACTTACTTAGTATTTGAGGTTTATGTAAGAAGTAAAACAATATTCCAGGCTGGGCACGGTGGCTCACACCTGTAATCCCAGCATTATGGGAGGCCAAGCTGGGGCAGATTGCTTGAGCTCAGGAGTTTGAGACCAGCCTGGGCAACACAGCGAAACCTTGTCTCTACCAAAAATACAAAAATTAGCCAGATGTGGTGGTACATGCCTGTGGTCCCAGCTATTCAGGAGGCTGAGGTGGGAGGATTGCTTGAACCTAGGAACTCAAGGCTTCAGTGAGCCGAGCTCGCATCACTGTACTCCGGCCAGGGCAACAGAGCAAGACCCTGTCTCAAGAAAGAAAATTAAAATTCCAACAAAGAATTTCATAATCTCTGACCACACTGCCCAGGTTTGCAGGCCAGGTTGTAACACGCTTTTGAATTTTTGCCAGTCTGAAAAGTGAAACAAAACATCTCATCCTCCCTTAATGTACAGATCCTGCTGAGTCGTGGGGTTTCTCCTCTTTTCATGTTTATTGGCCACTTGGATGTCCTCTCCAGAGGCACTAACTTACAAAGCTTGTGATTGCCTTGAGACACATTTAGACAAAGCTTTTTTTCTAAACTGCACTTAAAAAATAATGGACTCAGAGCTGTAAATGCCTGATATGGTTTGGCTCTGTGTCCCCACCCACGTCTCGTCTCAAATTGTAATCCCCATAATCCCCAGGTGTTGAGGGAAGGACCTGGTGGGAGGTGACTGGATCATGGGGGCGGTTTCCCCATGCTGTTCTCGTGATACTGAGTGAGTTCTCATGAGATCTGACGGTTTTATAAGTGGTTGTTAGTTCCTCCTTCTCTCTCTCTCTTTCCCGCCACCTTGTGAAAAAGGTACTTGCTTTTCCTTTGTCTTCCGCCATGACTGTAAGTTTCCTGAGGCCTCCCCAGCCATGCGTGACTGTGAGTCAATTAAACCTTTTTCTTTATAAATTACCCAGTCTTGAGTATTTCTGTATAGCAGTGTGAAAACACAGTAATACAATGCCAATACTGGAAAAGTGACTGCGGATTACTATAGTCATTATCTTGATGACCTACAGTTAATGGCAAAATAAATTTAAAAGAGTAGGAGGCCGAATGCTTTGGCTCACGCCTGTAATCCCAGCGCTTTGGGAGGCCGAGGCCGGCAGATCACCTGAGGTCGGGAGTTCGAGACCAGCCTGGCCAACATGGCGAAACCCTGTCTCTACTAAAAATACAAAAGTTAGCCGGGTGTGGTGATGTGCACCTGTAATCCCAACTACTCAGAAGTCTAAGGCAGGAGAATCGCTTGAACCTGGAAGGCGGAGGTTGTAGTAAGCCGAGATAGCGCCATTGCACTCCAGCCTGGGTGACAGAGCGAGACTCTGTCTCAATAAATAAATAAATAAATAAATAAGTAGGAAAAGCAATAAAAATAACATTGACCTTTGTTGTTTTATTTTAAAATTGTGTGGTGCAGCGAAAACCTAAAGATCACTTATATCCATGATTCCTACACATCAGGAGAGAGACAACAAAGATTACGAAGGCCCAGAGGACGACACCGAAATGATGAACAAAGACGGGCCTTGTAAAGGACGCGACAAACCTAGAATCAGAAACGGAGAGGTGGCAGCTGAGGCCATAGGATCAGAGAAGATTAAATGACCAGGGCAAAGGTGCTTCCTGGGACTAGATACAGCTGGCCCTAACTTCTCAGTGATGCCACACCTATCAGCTCAAATAAAACCACATGCTCATGTCAACTATTCTCCCTGTTGGAAGCAACAAGTTCACGTGCTCAAAGGAGCATCTGGATGAGAAAAAGATCTTTTTCAGTCCATCAGGCTGCATTCCCTTACTCTCTTCCACCAACTCAGCACTACCAAACATAGCAATGCCCTAGCAAAGTGGTAGCTATCGTGAAAATAAAATCAACTGATGCTGGTGTAAACTTCACAGTATTTTGGAGCAGAAAAGATAATTTAAAACATTCAGTGATTAATACATACAGAAGGCAGAGATTTCTGTCTAGTTCAGTTTTGAAATAGCATCTAGCATAATAAATCGCCCAGAGCAGGGGTTGAAGAAATATTAGTTAAATGAATGCTAGGGCCACCTCCTGTCACAAGACTAACTGTCGAATATTCTGGAATTTTGCAAGCTGGTTGTTAAACCACTTATTTCATTTAGCTTTGAAATCAGCCATGGCAGGAATATTTGCACCATGGAAATTGGCAACTGCTTTAAATCAAAGCTTTAAAAAAATTTTTTCCAGACATCCAGTTTTACCAGTTTATCCACTGAACATATCCACATAAAGATGCAAACAAATTTTTGATATGCCTCAGTACCTCGGAAACAGCAGGATCATAATCAAATAAATATTATGCTATTCGCTAATAATTTTTAAGTAGATGTTTTCACTTTGTAAAATCAAAAAGGCAGTGTACAAAATCAAGAGAATGGTGTTCTCATAATAACAAGAAAGATTCTATGTCTGCACGAAGGCCCTGCCAAATATTCTCCAACTTTACGGGGGATCCTGTCTAATCTAATAGAATAAGTTAGCCAAAGAGGCTTTCTGTATTTCTAGTTGGACTGCACTCAGCTGCTAGGAGCAGGCAGGGCTCAGCATGATATCCTGAAGCCTCTCTAGCCACAAAAATCAAAGAATGTTGGAAATTCAGTAAATATTTTAGAAACAACGTTACATACACATAATCCCACTAAACGCCTAGTTTCTGGTGGTTCACTAAGTCAGGGGTTCACACGCTAAGGGTGCTGGGAATCCCCTGAGAGCTTGCAAAAACACAAATCCTCAGGCCCCACCCCCAGAGTTCTGATGGGCAGGTGCAGGGTAAGACCCAAGAATCAGCATTTCTAACAATCCCAGGGGCCCTGTGCTGCCACCAGGGGGCACACTTTGAGAGTACTGCATCGGGTGATCATTGAAAGACTGCTATCTTGTGCTCGCTTTGGCAGCACATATGCTAAAGACTGCCCGGGCTCAGTGGCTCACACCTGTAATCCCAGCACTTTGGGAGGCCAAGGTGGGAGGATCACTTGAGCCCAGGAGTTTGAGACCAACCTGGGCAACACAGTGAGACTCCCTCTCTACAAAAAAGTACAAAATTAGCCAGGCATGGTAGTGCACAACTGTAGTCCCAGCTACACTGAAGACTGAGGTGGGAGAATCTCTTGAACCAGGGAGGTCAAGGCTGCAGTGAGCCATTGTACCACTGTATTCCAGCCTGGGTGACAGAGCAAGATCCTGTCTCAAAAAAATAAAAATAAAGACATCTATCTGTCCACTAATGACCTATTGCAAAAAAACAAAACCTCATTTGGAATGTCAGCCAATCTACTCCAAGCCTTTAAAATTAATCCATTATGACTATGAATTGGATAGAGCAATGCATGTCCACATTCGCAGCCTTACCTGCTTCTGTCTTCACAGTATCTAAAAATAGCCTCTTTGGTAATTAGTCTATTAGTTCTTCTCATCTCATTCAAAACTGCCGTCATCCAGTCCTCCACGCGCCCTTCAGCCCGCAAGATCTTCCGAAACTCCATGACTTCTCCTTCTGCTGAAATCATCGCGGACACCAGTTTTTCTCCACTATCGCCGTCATTAAACCTCAGTGATGCTATGTTGTCGTACATCTGCAAACAGGGAGAGGCAGCCCTGTAAGACCTGCACGGAGTTCTGGAATCAAAGACCAGCCAGCGGTGCTCCATCCAGCAGAGCTGCCACGATGCAAGCAATGGCAACCGGTGAGCCGAGATCGCAGGCAAGATGGATGTCGTTCACCCACCTGTGTGGTCATCCCAAAGACACTTATTGGGGATTTTCATTTACTCTGTACTGTGCAAAGATCTGTGGAGGATTGAAAAGAGAAAGAAAAAGCAGACTCTGTCCCTAACCCTGCTGGAGTGGGGAGGTATCTGGACATAGGAGCCAGTGGAACGTGGAGGAGGCGGAAGGGTGATTAACACCCCAGGCTGGGGAACAGAGACCTGTGATGGAATCCCAGATTCCCCACTATCCAATTGCGCAACTATGGGTGAGTTGCTCCTCCTCTCTCTGCCTGGAATAAACACAATCATGGCACTTAACAAGGTGGGCTTGGGAGAATCAAATGAAACAATCTGAGTCAAATGCTGGCATGTTGTTAAACACTTGGCATTTGTTGACTATTATCATTGTTATTAATCAGAATAACATTTAGGACAATGAGTCCTTTAGGGCCCACCATATACAAGGCACTCACAAATCAGAGAGGAGAGGAAGGCAACAAACAGGCTTTAAAGAATAAAAACAGAGGTTTGCAAAAGAGGCGAACAGTAAATGAAGTATTCCTAACACTGTATTTTTCTACAACAGTAAAATATGTGTTTACAAAGTGGAAGCAGAAGGCCAGGCACAATAGCTCATGCCTGTAATCCCACCACTTTGGGAGGCTGAGGCGGGTGGATTGCTTGAGCCCAGGAGGTAGAGGCTGCAATGAGCTGTGATCACACCACTGCACTCCAACCTGGGCAACAAAGCAACGCCCTGTCTGAAAAAAAAAAAAAAAAAAAAAAAAAAAACTGGAAACAGAATACTGAAGAAGCCTCCCCTTTGAGAAAGGAAAAATATGCAGTCGAAAATATGAATCTTACTTTAAGAAGGAAGTTAGCATTGATTAAAGGGAAAGTAATAGGAGAAAGCACTCGTTCCTAAGTGCTCTGTTAATTTGGAATGGAGGAATTACCGTGCAACACTCATTCTCAGCCGGGGATGATTTTGCCACCAGGGGACATTGGCAATGTCTGGAGATGTTTCTGGTTGTCATAACTAGGGAGGGGGTGCTACTGGCATCTAGTAGGTTGTGGTCAGGGATGCTACGTAATGTCCTGTAATGCACAGGACAGCAGCCACAGCAAAGAGTCATCCAGCCCCAAATGCCAGCAGCGCCGAGGCTCAGAGCCCCTGCCCAGGCTGACGCTAGATAAAGAGCTTTGATTAGCAGGCCAAAGATCATGTCTGGCCAGCCTCTGTTCTCTATCACAAGGGACAGTGTTCTCTGTTGTTTCCCGCCATTCAGGAAATGGTTCATGGATACATATACATTTATTTAAAAAGTGTGAAATTGTGGTCTGGAAGGAATCATAACAAATTCATGACAGTGGCTGGCGCCTGTAGTCCCAGCTACTCGGGAGGCTGAGGCAGGAGAATGGCGTGAACCTGGGAGGTGGAGCTTGCAGTGAGTGGAGATCGCGCCACTGCACTCCGGCCTGGGCGACAGAGTGAGACTCTGTCTCAAAAAAAAAAAAAAAAAATAGAAAAGAAAATAGAGGAAGTATGAATGGGGATGGGGACAAAAAGTATTGCAAATTTGTACAACTTTACAAAAAAAAGAGACAAACCAAATATGACTAAATGGTAACAAGTGCCAATTCTGGGTAGTGGAGAGGGTTATTTAGCCAACATTGAAAGGTAGGCACTGTTCAAAGTACTTTATAAATAGTAACTCATTTCATTTTTACAACAGCTCCACTGAAACAGGTAACCATTGGGGTTATGTCCATTCACAGATGAGGAAACTGATGTCCAGAGAGATCAAGGAACTTGCCGAAGATCACACAGAAACTCAGAATAGAGCAAAGATTTGAACCCCAGCAATCTGGTTCTAGAGTCCATGTGCTAAACCACTATCCTCTAATGCCTCCCTATTTAATATATTAGTCTTCATATATTTCTGGTTTTTTTGTTTTTTTTTTTTTTTTAGTTTATAAAAAGAAAGGTTTTGGACTGTGGAAAAATAGCTGAATCTGGTGTGATTTCAGACTCAGTGAATATCATCAGGCTTACACTTCAAATTAAAACTCGAGGGCTGAGTGTGGTGGCTCACACCTGTAATCCCACTTTGGGAGGCCGAGGTGGGAGCATTGCTTGAGCTCAGGAGTTAGAGACCAGCCCAGGTAACACAGTGAGACCTCATCTCTCCAAAAAATATATAAAAATTAGCCAGGCATGGTGGTGTGCACCTGTGGTCCCAGCCACTCAGGCAGCTGAGGTGGCAGATCACTTGAGTCGGGGAGGTGGAGGCTGCAATGAGCCATGATTGTACCACTGCGCTCCAGCCTGGGCAACAGAGCCAGACCCTGTCTCAAAAAACAAACCAAAAAACCAACTCCAGCAGCATTTCAGTCTTAACCCTCTGGGTTGAACCTCATGGCAAAGGGAACCAGGGAGGACCGAAGGCGGTTCTAAGGCTTACACGGGGAGCCCCTGCACACCCAGAGGGCTGACCTTGATCATGTGCTCCTGGACGCAGAGTGGGTCGCTGCTCCCCAGAATGCTAAGCAACTCATCGTCAGAAATGAAGAAGAACCTTGGGAAAGCATTTCTCTTCGAATCTAAGTAGTCGTTGAGGCTTTTCTGGCATTTCTCCAGGCCCTCGCTGACGTTCTGTAGGTCACTGAGGCGGTTTGGGGCTTCACAGCACCTCTTGATCACGGGGTCTTTTAAGGTCTCACCCATGATCTGGACCAGAACAGAGGACAGCCGTCAAGCAGGGTGAGCAGGGAGAGCGGAGACACTGTTCTTGAGCCCAGAACAGGCACTCACCAGAGCCCAGGCACGGCCGAGACAAAACTGACAAGCTGCCCAGTGCCATTGGCTTTCAGGGGATCCATTTATCATTTTTAAACATGCATATCCTTAGCACCTTCTAATGTACTACATGTAACTAACTGGTTTCTGGTTTTTCTTTTCGTTATCCCGTAAGAAGGCCAGCTGCGCAGGGAAAGGATTTTTTTGTTTTGTTCACTGATGAGCCCCACCCCACCCTACAGAAGTGCTTACACACAGTAGGCGCCCATTCAACACTTGCTGAGTAAAGGAAGCTGGCAATTCCACTGTGAGCAATTTGTATATACAGAATATTCACTGCAGCATTCTTCATCATAGCAGAAAAAGAAAGAAATAGCCTCAATGTCCAGCAACAGGTCAATCATCTGCTGTGAGTGATAATTTCAATGTTTATTTATTGAAATAGGTCAAACTGTTCAATAAAAATAGCCAGTGACATTGGTAAGAATGATTCTATTTTCAAGCCTGTAATCCCAGTGCTTTGGGAGACTAAGACAGGAGGATTAGGAGGATTGTTTGAGACCAGGAGTTTGAGACCAGACTGGGCAACAGAACAAGACTCCATCTCTACTAAAAAAAAAAAAAAAAAATTTTTTTTTTTTTAAGTTAGCCGGGTGTGGTGGTGCATACCTGCAGTCCCAGCTACCTGGGAGGCCAAGGCGAGGATCATATGAGCCCAGGAGTTGGAGGCTGCAGTGAGCTATGATCACACCACTGCACTCCAGCTTGGGCAACAAGGCAAGACCTCGTCTCTAAAAAAAAAAAAGAACAATCATATTTTGTAGAATGTTATTTATTTATTTATATCTATTTGTATGTTTATGCAGGAATAAATGTTCTGGAAAGATATATGCTCAACTATTAAAATGGTTACCCTGGGCAAGGGGATTATAGGTATTTTTTTCTTCCTTTCTTTTTTTTCTTGGCTTTTTGTAATTTCTAAAGTATTCTGTAATGAATTGATATTTGTTGTATAATTCTTCTTTTTCTTTTTTCTTTTTTTTTTGAGACAGAGTCTCACTCTGTCACCCAGGCTAGAGTGGTGTCACGATCTCAGTTCACTGCAACCTTCACCTCCTGGGTTCAAGCGATCCTCCCACCTCAGCCTCCCGAGTAGCTGGGATTACAGGCATGCACCACCATGCCTGGCTAATTTTTTTTTTTTTTTTGTATTTTTAGTAGAGACGGAGTTTCACCGGCTGGGCACAGTGGCTCACATCTGTAATCCCAGCACTTTTGGAGGCCAAGGTGGGCAGATCATGAGGTCAGGAGATTGAGACCATCCTGGCTAACACGGTGAAACCCCGTCTCTACTAAAAATACAAAAAATTAGCCGGGCGTGGTGTTGGGCACCTGTAGTCCCAGCTACTCGGAGGCTGAGGCAGGAGAACAGCCGGAACCCAGGATGTGGAGCTTACAGAGAGTCAAGATTGTGCCACTGCACTCCAGCCTGGGCGACAGAGCGAGACTCTGTCTCAAAAAAAAAAAAGAGAGAGAGACAGAGTTTCATCATATTGGCCAGGCTGGTCTCGAAATCCTGACTTCAAGTGATCGCCCACCTCGGCCTCCCAAAGTCCTGGGATTACAGGCGTGAGTCACCGTCCAGCCTGATATGTGTTGTACAATTCTTTTAAGTTTAAAAAAAGAGCTTATGCAACAATTATATGAAACAGTTATAAACTCTAGTGGATAAAAGAGATCAAAACATGAACTGGCCACCTATAATTAAAGAACACAGCAGCAAAGCTAAGTAGCAAAATACCCGGGCTTTGAGAGCAGGAGAGCTGGGTTAAAATCCCAGCCACACTAACTACAGTCACTGTGATGACCAGTCCAACCCTTTTTGGAAATGACTTTAAAATACACACACCCTTTCACGGGCAATTTGCTTTCTAACAATCTATCTTAAGACATTCACTCTAACTATGGAAAAAGCATTAGGCAAGAACCTGTACATTATTTATGAAAGCAAAGAACTCTGTTCAAACAAAATGTCAAATTACTGGAGAGTAATCAACTAAACTAATGTCAGCCCACTCCCTGGAATATAGAGAGCCATGAAATTATTTTCTCAGATGACTTCCTAATATGAACTGTTTCTCATAATATTAAGAGAAAATTATGATATAAAGTTGTACACAATATGATTACAATTATGCTTTTTAAACTTATACACATAGGAAAAAGATAAAAGGAATATATTGACATGTTAAAGTGGTCCCATTAAAGTGACAGAACCATGAGAGATACATTTTTCCACTGTTCTACACTTTCAAAATATTTTAAACAAGCAAATATTGCTTTTATAATAAATGTAAAAAAGATTCAGTGTCATATGCCAGCAGCTAAAAATCAAATGGGAATTTTTACTAGACAGATTAGGGTCATAAATAATGACACGAAAAATTCAGAAGCTACTAGTGGGCCAGGCAAGGTGACCCACTCCTGTAATCCCAGTGCTTTGGGAGGCCAATGTGGGAGAGTCAGTTGAGGCTAGGAGTTTGAGACCAGCCTGGACAACATAGCAAGATCCTATCCCTATAAAAAATGTTTTAATTAGCTGAGCATGGCAGCACATGCCTGTAGTCCCAGCTGCTTGGGAGGCTGAGTTAGGAGGATCTCTTTAGCCCATAAGTTCAAGGCTACAGGGAGCCACGATCACATCACTGCACTCCAGCCTGGGCAACAGAGCAAAACCCTGTCTCTAAAAAATGAGAGAGAAGCTACTAATGGAGAAAATACAATGTGCAAATAAAAAGGTACAAATATCTCAAATCGCTGCCCTTCTTTCATTACTAAAATAGAAGCGAGTCACTTGCCCTTTTAAATACTTTATCGATGTTGTCAAACTTTTTTGCCTCTTCCGGAAGTTGTGATCTTATATCTCCACCAATAAAAATACTTTCAAGATACATCCATTTTCTCTGAACCAACATCCAAATCTGTAAATGTACAAAAGGTCAGTGTCAGCAGGGGTTATCAGATACCTCCAAAAGTGGATGGCAAAGCCCCATCCTGACATGAGACAGAACCAAATCAACTCAGGTGGGAGGACCTTCCAGGCAAGGTGACAGAGTGAGCATCTGCATGGCCAGCTCCCCTCCACTCCAAATGAATGGGAATGCTGGGGAAAGCATAACTAACGGCCACACTCAAAAGCAAAAGAAAGCTCTCCATGCAGCCCAGCACAGGTAGGAAAACTTCTAGTTATGAGAAGAGGGTGAAGCCTGTGACCCACAACAGCGAAGGACAGGCCATGCCAGACACTCAAAAAGTGAGCCAAGTACCATGTGCCCAGCAATTCCGCTCCTAGGTATTGACCCAAAAGAATTGAAAACAGGGACTCAAGTAGTTGTACATGAATGCTGACGGCAGCACTGTTCACAATAGCCAAAAGGTGGAAACAACCCAAATGTCTATCAGCCAATGGATAGAAAAACAACATGTGATCAATCCACATGATTTAATATTATTGGGCCATAAAAAGGACGGAAGCACTGACACATGCTACAACATGGAAGAACCTGGAAAACATCACGCTAAGTGACAAAAGCCAGACGTAAAGGATCATATATTGTGTCATTCCGCTTATATGAATTATCCAAAATAGGTAAATCCATTGACACAGAAAACAGACTGGAGGTTGCCAGGTGCTGGGGGAGGAGATGGTAGGGAATGACTGCTTAAGGGGTACTGGCTTGTCTTTTGGTTTGATGAAAATCTGGAATTAGAGGTGGTGGTTGCACAACACTGTGAATGTACTAAATGTCACTGAATTGTGCACTTTACAATCACTAGTTTTATGTTATTTAAATTTTACCTCAATAGAAAATTTTTTTTGACTGAACACAGTGGCTCATGCCTATAATCACAACACTTTGGGAGCCCGAGGTGGGCAGGTCACTTGAGGTCAGGAGTTCAAGACCAGCCTGGCCAACATGGTGAAACCCTATCTCTACTAAAAATACAAAAACTAGCCAGGCATAGTGGCACATGCCTGTAATCCCAGCCACTCGGGAGGCTGAGGCAGGAGAATCACTTGAATCCGGCTGGCAGAGGTTGCAATGAGCCGAGATGGCACCACTGCACTCCAGCCTGGGTGACAGAGCAAGACTCCATCTAAAAAAAAATTGTTTTTTACTCACAAATTAAAAAACAGTGCTATATCCCACATAAGAGCTTCCACTAACACAAAGTCATAGACAAAACAAACAAACAAAAAAGCAAGGAAAGGAAGCCCAGGCATGATGGAGGCCTGATCACACAGTTGGCCAGTGAACCAGGCCTGGCTTCATCCCACCCAAGGCTTGGATTGTGGCCAAAAACAAGGTGCTTGCCTGTGGTCTGGGGAGGAAAAAAAGGCAACTGCACAAAAATGGTGCAGTGAGCCTGGGTTGCTCACAGAGGTCTGGATAAGTATTGCCCAAAAGGAAGAAAGCCCCAAACCACCTACTATAAGACCTTGCTACTTCCCAGTGTGACAGGCCTCAGGTTAAAGAGGCTGCAAAAACAGATGACAAAGTGAAGCAAACACAAGAAAAAAACTACATGTGAGATGAGCTAGAAAAAAAAATCAAAATCACACAGAGGAAAATCCACCACCACAAGAGAGAGTCAACAGACATTTTTTTAAAAAGTGTAGAGAAATCGAAAAGGAATGTAAAATAAGTATGTTTCTAATTTTCAGTGTCATCAAGGAGGCAAAAGCATCCTTGCAACAAGAACAGGACAGTATCAAAGAAAAACAGAGATATATGAAAAAGAAGCAATTAGGAATCTTGGAAATGAAAATCATTCACTAAAATAAAAATTCAGATCAATTCCTTTGATCATGCACTCTTGTCCTCAAAATAAATCAAGACAAAAAAGTATGAAAGAGGATCATTTGTTTCTAAGCACAAAATATCCTCATATAAAAGTTCTAAGCACAAAATATCCTCATATAAAAGCCACTGCTATGCACTGGCTCTAATCCATCTTTTGTTCATCTTTTCTCTCACCTCAATGACTTCCCCTATTAGAGAAAGCGTTTTTTCCCATTTGTGAACAGTTTGCAGAAAAGGCCCCACAAATCTGCTTCCTGAGATGCTCTGCAGGTTGAAAGTGTTGTCATCAAGAGACTGAATAATTTCGTCAACAGAACCCAGGATGTAGCCTCGCTCCTGTGTGCCTTTGCAATACTTGACTACAGTGAATTTCATATTTTCCCACGTGTCTAGGATTTCCTTCACAGCCTGTTCAGGAATAGAAAAAGAATGATTCAGGCACACGAACTGAAAGGACCGAGCCCCAACCCAAAAACACCTTCCTTAGCTTGCTTTTGGCCAACAATGCAATCGGAGTCCTGGGTCTGTTTCCTGAAAAGTTGGGATTCTGTCATGGTAATAATTGCCACTTATCAAGCATTCGCTATGTGGCAGGTAAGCATGTCACATACACGATCTCATTCAGTCCTCAAAGCAAATACCTCAAAGTATATTGGTAGGGATTATTATCACCCACATTTTACAGAGATGGCAACTGGGGCTCAGACATGAAGCTCAGCTACTGAGCCCCAGAAACAGGGTCTAAACCCCACAGTCTGCCCCCGAAGTCTGCACAGTTATGAGATTCTGCCCCTGTGCTTACTCTACTGTCACAAAAACCAAATTACAAAATGATATGCCTCTTATGATTCCATATTCAAAACAAAAAATCTATATTGAGGCCGGGTGCGGTGGCTCATGCCTGTAATCCTAATACTTTAGGAGGTCAAGGTGAGCAGACTGCTTGAGCCCAGGAGTTCATGACCAGCCTTGGCAACATAGGGAGACCCTGTCTCAAAAAAAAAAAAATCTGTATTGATACATATGTATATGTGTATACATACGTACATGTGTACATTATATGTATATTATGCGTATCTTTGGTATATTGTGTACACTGTGTGTATATGTATACATGTGTATATACTATGTGTACCTGTGTATATTGGGTACACTGAACATTGTGTGTATATGTATATGTGTGTACATTATATGTACGTGTGCATACTAGGTACACTGTGTGCACATCGTGTGTATACGAATACATAGTGTACATTATGTGTACATGTATATATTAGGTACACTGTGTGTACATTATGTGTATATGTATACATGTATATATATTATGTGTACGTGTGTATATTAGGTACACTGTATGTACATTATGTGCATATGTACATGTGTGTATACATTATGTGTATATGTTAGGTACACTGTGTGCACACTGTATGTATATTTTGTGTGTTTGCATGCATATGTGTCTACATGCATATACGTGTGTATACATGTGTGGTGTACTATGTACAGTCATGTACTGCATAAGGATGTTTCATTCAGTGATGAATTTCATATATAATGGTGGTCCCATAGGATTATTAGACCATATTTTGGCCGTACCTTTCCTTTTTTTTTTTTTTTGAGACAGAGTCTTGCTCTGTCACCCAGGCTGGAGTGCAGTGGTGCGATCTCGGCTCACTGCAGCTCTGCCTCCTGGGTTCACACCATTCTCCTGCCTCAGCCTCCCGAGTAGCTGGGACTACAGGCACCCGCCACCACACCCGGCACCACACCCGGCTAATTTTTTTTGTATTTTTAGTAGAGACGGGGTTTCACCGTGTTAGCCAGGATGGTCTCGATCTCCTGACCTCGTGATCCACCCTCCTCGGCCTCCCAAAGTGCTGGGATTACAGGCGTGAGCCACCATGCCCGGCCTTGGCTGTACCTTTTCTATGTTTAGATACACACGTACTATTAGGTTACAATGGCTGGCCGTACTCAATGTAGTTCCTTGCTGTACAGGCTTGCAGTCTAGAGCAATAGATTCTACCCAATAGCCTAGGTGTGCAGTAGTCATCCCAGCTAGGTTTGTTTGCACAATCACGAATCAACTCAGGACACATTTCTCAGAATGTGTCCCTGCCATTAGGTGACACCTGACTATATACATATATGTGTAGGGATATGTGTATGTGTGTACCTGTGTACGTGTATGTTAGTGCATACAAATGCATGGGTGTATGTGCACATATATGAGTAGTATGTGTGTATGCATATGTATACATGTGTGCATGCATTTTTAAGTAGGCAAAGAAATACACTAAAAAGTTAATAATTATTTTCAGGTAGTGGGATTATGAATTTTTTTTCAATTTTCTACCATGAACATCCATTACATCTATTTAAAAATCAATGGCAAAATAAATAAATAAGAAACAATAAGAAAAAATTTTTTTAAACAATGGAAAATGAAACTACAATTGGGAACAACAAAAAATTTAATTAAGGAAATTCTATTTCTACAACAAATAATTCTTTATTACTGAAGTACAGCAGGTACTAGAGCAAATATGTTTTCTCTTTTTTGTTTGTTTTTCTTCTTTGAGACAAGGTCTCACCCTGTCACCCAGGCTGGAGTGCCATGGTGCGATCACAGTTCACTGCAGCCTCCACCTTCCAGGTTCAAGTGATCCTCCCACCTCAGCCTCCCAAGAAGCTGGGAGTAATGGCATACCACCACGCTCAGCTAATTTTTTTTTTTTTTTAGTATAGATGAGTTCTCCCTATTTTCTCTTTGAATTAAAAAAAGACTGTTTTCTCCAGCCTGTTTTTAACTGAAGTCTTACCTTCTCAATGGCAACCTCCTTGATTGCTGCTGTGACAATCTCATTGAGAACATCTGTGTGTTTGTGCAGTTCCATAGCAAACATATTTTCCAAGGTGAACGTTTCGGTCATTTCAAAAAAGACAGACGTTTTTTCCATAAGTTCTTTCCAATGCCTGAAAGCACATCAGCATTCAAATCTTTATGCTTACTGAATTTAGTGAGGAGTTCAATTACTCCCATTTAAATCACAGGACAAATCTCATTTTGTAAACTTCTTATAATGAAATTCTGCAACATGAGGACATCATTAGAAATATATTCCCAAAGTTCTCCAAAATCCCACTGGCCTCCAGAGTTAAACCGGAAAACAACATCTTGCAAAATACTGTATACACTATACACTAGTCTTCACGGCCTTCTCATAAAATACACAACTTTTAATTATTGGGAACGGCTTCTGTCATAGTCTCTCAACCAATGACCTCAACCTCTGTTGAATCACTCAGCCTTTTTGAGAGCCTCATGTAAATTATGAGCTCTCGTGCATTTGATAAATATTTCAGTGCTGACTCCGTGCCAGGCAGTGGACTGGGGTACAGAGTTATCAAGGGCAAGGCTCCTAGCTTCAGAGAACCTGCCACTTACTTGGGGAGACAAACAACAAACAATCAACAAATCTATAAATTAAATAATGACATAGGGTTTTGAGTACTATGAGAAAACTGCAGTGTGCCAGAGGAGGTATGAAGGGGCCCATTCAGACGGGACAGTCGGGGCAGACTCCTGTGCACACAGACACAACGGGGGCAGCTCTGCTCTTCACCTGACTGGCCTTCCTTTAAGGTTTTGCATTTGGCCTGTGAATTTGCCCATGTTTTAGTTCTGTGTATATGGAATGGGTGTGAGTAAGGCAGCTAAGCATGACGCTAGACAGCAGAACGCCACGTACCCAGCACGTGAGCAGCAAGTGTTGAATCACTGAGTGTTGTAAACACACACACACACACACGGCCATGGAAATGGTCAGAAAGGAGGCCCTACTGGTTCATCGGTCTCTGAACCCCCTGGCCTAGCACAGCACGGACAGGAAGGAGGGTGTCAGAACTGAAACTGAAGGGTAAGGGTCATCAGTGCCTGCTCTGTGGCTTATGGTCACTTGCTTTTTATTTTTTTCCCCCTTTTCCCATGAAGCTGAAGGTCTCACCACTGAACGCTGAAACTTAACCTTCACTGGCTACTATGGATAACATTCACAGGCCACGATGGCGATGGTGACTTTGGTTGTTTTTCAGGAAGTTGAACCAACTCCTCTGTCCAGTTCCAACTGGTTGAGACCACTGACCTTTCAACTGGGCCTGTGCAAGTGCCCCAGAGGTGGCCTTTTTGACGTTGGAAGGCCAAACACTCTACCCTCAGGCCATGCCGATGCCCCCACTTTCTGTGCCTATGTCCTGTGAAATGCTGTGAACCCCAGCTACACTTGCTCAGAATGAACCTGTTACTTCCTTTTTCCCACCACCAACCACCTTCCCCCTCAACTTCGACCACCCCACTCCCCTAATGCCTAAACATCCCTAAGCCTTATCTTCAGGAAGGCAGATGTGAGGGCTGCTCACCTGCCTCCTTGCTTGGCGGCCTTGCAAATAAATCTGTTTCGCAAAACCCATGTCACGGCGATTGATGGACTGCATGTGGGCAGAGCGGACCTGGGGCCAGCCTGTGACATAACCCTGGTGGTGGATTAGAGGGTCCACACTCAACATAACTCAGCCCTGAGTCACTGGGAGAGAGTGATTCCCTCTCCAGTTCCCGCCCAGTCCTTTCAATTACAGTAAATTACATCGAAGGGAAAGTCTCCTCTTTGTGCTTCTGTGTGACAGAGCAGGAGCAACCTCATCTTGGACAAACACCACCACTTTAAGGTCCAGCTCCCTTTCCAGCCCATGCATTTTAAGGAAATCACTTATCTTCTAACTACAAGCCACCAGAAAGAGCAGACAGGAAAACATAGACAAGACAGCTCAGGCACAGAGGGAGGAGAGGAGGAAGTCTCTTGGGTAACTGCCAAACTTCACCCTTATACAATGGGTCCCAGTAAAACAGTGGACCTTAATAAGAACATTCCTTTCCCTTCAGGTGCACTAAGATAGGGGAGCTAAAAGCAGACTCGGCGAGTATGCCTGCTGCTGCAGAAAAATGAATGGGAATAGACACACAACTCTCCCTCCCAGATAAGCACAACAGAGAGACACAGAAGCAGTCCAAGCCTCAGATAAGCTCTCCCACCCTAAATCCTTAAAAACTCTTAGTCTCTAAGAGAGTGTGGCTCTGACCTAACTTGGCCAGAATCCCCTCTCAGGTTTGTTTTCTCTAAAATAAACCTGTTTTGACTGGCAAGCCACCTTTTGTGTTTCTTTCCTCTTTCTTTAATTCTTACGCTGTGTCCTCAGTCCCTCCCCAGGGTCATTCACCTTTCTTAGAGCGAAGGTCTCTGGCTCAGAGACAGGCGACTGTTTTGAGCTAGTTTTTTTTTTTTTAATAATTACTTTCTATTTCTGGCAAGAGCTTTTGGTTTTCTCTTTACAGTGGTGGTGGAAGTTTATTTTTAGAATAACATTCATTTCCATAAAAAAGAAACTGATAGGAAGAAAAATATAAAGCCATGACAGCATAGATGATACTCAGATCTGACAAAAATGATGAGACAGGACCAAAGTTTGAGAAACACTGGGTTATGGGATTATAAAACCGAGAACTTTAGCTAGAAAATGCCTACTTCTACCTAGTTTTACAGATGAGGAAACTGAAGCCTGCAAAGGTAAAGGTGAGTGCTCCAGGGAAGCCAGCAGACAGTGAAAAGAGGGCTAAGACTCCACGTCACCAGGGCCTGAGGGCTGCCTGCTCCTTGTTGAGAGGGAGAGACAGATGTAACAGGTGTTGAAAACAAGCCAGCACTTACGAGAGACTTTCTCAGTGTGAACTCAAGGATAGGAAGGGAACCAAAGAAGGGATGACTTTCTCACTAGGGAAAATGAAGTCACTTGATGTCATGGCATGACTAGATGACCACACTTTGGAAAACATGACCGAGGAATAGAGGAACACGAGCAGAAGCATAACTCACAAATGAGGACTGTAACTCCTAATTCGTGTCTGTGTGGTGCCATCACCAAATAAACACAGACCCATGCCCCCTCTGTCCCACCCACAGGGCTGGCTATCCCATCAGTATGGTGGCCACAAGCCACGCGTGTCTATGGAGCACTTGAAACGGGGCAAGCCCAGGTTGAAATAGGCTATAGATATAAAATACACATTGCACTTTGACATATTTTTTAAGAAGAATGTAAAATATCTCATGAATAAATGTTTCATGTTGATTACATGTTGAAATAATGTTTGGGATATATTGAGTTAATTAAAATATACTATTAAAATTAATTTCACCTGTTTTTACTCTTTTACTGTAGCAGCTAAAAAACTGTAAATTACATATGTGAGTTCCGTTTGATGTCTGCTGGATGGGGCTGATCAAGGTCACTTACTATAGTTTTTTAAATCTTCGAGAAAAGCAACTGCAAACGCCCACTTTGCACCTGCTGGGATCTTTCTTTTTTAAAAGAATCCTGTGGTTGACAGTTTTACAGACACTTTACATAGAAACAACATTATAGAACTGTGTCGTGCCCATGTATAGCCCTGCGGCATTGTTGAAATTGTGTGCTTCATCATCAGACCAAAGATAATGTACTGAGGGAAACAATTTTAACTAAAAGCTCCTCCCACACTTTTACATCTGCGGACAGAGGACAAAACAAACCTGTCTCTTAGTGCCTCGTTTTTCAAGTCAAGAAGTAAAGGAATCGAGTCTTTGAATGCCTTCATTTTTGCTTCCAAGTAGTAGGTCACTGATAAGCCACGGACTGGCCGAGGTAGCTTTCTGAGAGCCCTGAGAAAACCTTCAATTCCTTCCTGGAGAATCTGCACATTCAGGTTGATCCAAAGGGTCTGAGACCATTCTTCTTTTGCAACCTGGAAACGTGCAAGGAACAGCTCCATCAACAAAGACCCCTTTGGAAATGCAACAAGGAGAGCAAGTTCTTGACTCTTAGTCACGTTCAGATATTTTAAAGTATTACCCATCTATCTACAACTACCTGAAATTCACAAACAAGAGGTTGACTACAAGGATCTAAAACAACAAGAAAAGAATTCCACTTTTTGTAAGCTTTTGCAAAAATAATGCTGTATCTGAGGATGTGTGGGATCCAGAAATACATCTTCCCTTTCTAAAGACAAAAGTGAGAGGTATAAAGTAATTAACAGGTGTTTTTTAAATCAGGGAGTTGCGTGGGTCTTAAAGGATGTACTTCATTCAGGTGCTGTCATAGCTTGCTTCTTTTCCCTGATGAAAGCAGCTAAGGTTACAAAATATTTACACTCTAGATCACTAATCCAAGAATCTGTTTACAAACCATCAGGTTGAGGCTAAGAAGTGAGGAAAAACATGTTCCTACTTGATGATTGTAAAGAGAAGATTTTCTGTGTTATATTTTCCTGAGATTTAATGTAAAAATTATTATTTTTATTTTTTTTGGAGACAGGGTCTCGCTGCCACCCAGGCTGTAGTGCAATGGTGTGATCACAGTTCATTGCAGCCTCAACCTCCTGGCCTCAAGTGATCCTCCCATCTCAGCCTCCTGAGTAGCTGAGACGACAGACATGCACCACCAGGCCTGGATATTTTTTATTTTATTTTGCAGAGACAGGGGGTCTTGCTAGGTTGCCTAGGCTGGCCTCAAACTCCTGGGCTCAAGCAATCCTCCTGCCTTAGCCTCCAAGTGCTGGGATTACAGGCATGAGCCACCACACCTGGCCTGTTTTTCTAACAGCTTTATTGAGGATTAACTGGTATATAATAAGCTGTCCATAACTAAAGGTACAATCTGCAAAGTTTTGACAGGTGTGCATGCCTGTGAAAGCACCACCACAATCAAGATAGCAAACTCATTCATCACCCTCAAAAGCTGCCCCATTTCCCTGTGTCATAACCCCTCCCATCTCTCTCCTCCTGTCCCTACCCCCAGTTAACCACAGATCTGTGTACTGCCACCATAAATTCGTTTGCATTTTCCAGGGTTTTTTATGAATGGAATAATACAATATGCATTCCTCTGTATCTGGCTTCTTTCGCTCAGCATGACGATTCTGAGAGTCGCCCATGTTGTTGCGTGGATGCGCTGAGAACTGGTTCAATCCTCTACCTTGCTGAGTAGTAGTATTCCGTGGTGTGGATGAGCCACAGCTTATTTATCCATTCACTTAATGGGCATTTGGGTTGTTTCTAGTATTGGGCTATTACCAACAATGCTGTTTATGAACATTCATGCAGAAGTCTCTGCAAGGACCATGCTTTCTCTTCTCTCAGGTAAACACCTTGGACTCGCTCCATTTAGGCTTCCACGGCCACACTCCATTGATTTTTTTCTTGTTGCAGTCACCAGTGGCCTCCACAATATGCAATACTGTGATCAATCTTCCATCCTCTTCTCACCTGATCTATCAGCAGCATCTGGTGCAGTTGGCCAGTCCTACCTCCTGGAAACACGTTTCCAAGATGTCACACTCACCTGTTTGTTCTCCTACCACCTGGGCCACTCCTCCTCTTCCTCGTCTTTCCTTTTTTAGGGACGTATTCTCATGGCATTTAATGTTGGAGAGACCCAGGCTCAGACCTCGCTCCTCTCCTCCACCAACCCCACTCCCAAGTGTACCGGGCTGAATAGCGTCCCCCAAAAATGCACGTCCACCCAGAACCTCAGAATGAAGCCTCACTTGGAAAGAGGGTCTTTGCAGAGGTAGTTAGGGTGAGGTCATACTGGATTAGAGTGGGCCCTAAATCCAGTGACTGGTGTCCGTATAAGAAGAGAAAACAGACACAGAGGCACAGAGGGAAGACAGCAATGTGATGAGGGAGGCAGAGACAGGAGCAACACAGCCGCAAGCCACGGAACGCCAGGGACAGTCAAAAGCCACCAGGAGCTGGAAGAGGCAAGAAGAAGCCTCTTCTGCAGCCTCCAGAGTGATCGTGGCCCTGCAGACACCTTGATTTTGCACTCCTGGCCTCCAGAACCGTGAGGAGATACATTTCTGTTGTTTTCAGCCTCCTGGTCTGTATTCACAACCATGTATTCATAATCATTTGTTCTGGCAGCCCCAGGAAACGAAGGCACCAGGTGAGCCCATCTGAACTGGTGGCTCAGTACCTTCCGCACCTGGACACTCCCAATTCACACCTCCAGCTCTCCTCTGAGCTCCAGACAAATACATCCAAGTGCTGCTTCCTCAACATCACCACAGGAACGTCCAGCAGACATCACCTTGCCCTGAATTCCAGATGTTCACCATCGTCCCCAAACCTTCTTTTCCTGGAGTCTTCCCTTAAGAGTGACTCCACTCTTCCGGCTCCTCAGGCCAAAAACCTTGGAGTCTTCCTTGTTCTCTTGCTCTTACATCCCACATCCACACCTCCAGGAGGTCCCACTGACTCTACCTGCAAACCAGATCCAGAATCCACCCATGCTTCCCAACCTGCACCGCTGCCACCCCAGGATCCCCTGGGATTATGATGACAGTCCCCTGCCCAGCCTCCCAGAAGCCACCCAGTGTGTCACTGAGACTCTTCTCAGCACACAACTTTGAAAAGCAATTGCTAGGAAAAAATAAATTTCAAGGAGAGTGGAAGTCACTCTAGGTGATGAAATGTCCCTTAACATCCACAGACCAGAGTAGGCTGGGGGGACCAAGCTATGTCTCAATATTGGATTTTTAAAAATGCTTATTTTGCTACAGAAAAAAAAACCAGAAAGAATGAATAAGACCTAGTATTTGATAGCATGGCAGGGTGACTATAGTCAATAAAAATTGTATATTTTTAAATAACTAAAGGAGCATAATTGGATTGTTTGTAACACAAAGGATAAAAGCTTGAGGGGATGGACATCCCATTCCCCGTGATGTGATTATTACACATTGCATGCCCGTGTCAAAACATCTATGTATCCCATATAGACACCTACTATGAACCCAGAAAAATTAAACATTTTAAAACCACTTATTTTGACATGTGTGTGGTTGTTCTCAGTTCTCATGATACCTTTCCTTTTAAAAGCTGACGGTATGTTTTTAACTTTATGAATTTTTTGCCTGGTGCAGGCACCAGGTCTCATCACTTTCCACCCCATCTCTGGAATCTTCTCTCCTCTCTATTCCCTCTATAATTGTCCTAAAATGCAAGCTCCCATCCCTTCTGCCAGCACTGGGGCAGTGACCTCCTAAAGGACCCCCTGCCTGCAATCCCCCGGCTGCCTCCGGAGTCCCTTCTCACGGCTTCATCTCCACCGGCCGCTTCGCACATCCCAACCCCATTTCCTGGTGCATCCATGGTTGGTAAAGCCACCAGTCTGGATGAAAGGTTATGGACACAAGACACAACTTCAAATCTCCTGTCTCTGCTCCTGCCCAGCGCTCTGCCTGGAAAGCCTTGTTCTGCACCAGGCAAAAGCCTGCTCTGGTTCTGAGCCTCACTCCCAGGCCACCTCCTCAGCAGCATTCCCTGGGCCAGTGGGCCACTCTCCTTCCTCCTCTGCAAGCTCAGGACTCTGTCCACCTCATTTCCAGCACATATCTTGGGGGCGTGGTTATTTGTTCACATATCGGTGCAAAGGTGAATCCTGTGTGTCAAGTGGACGCTGGTGTTTTGTGAGAGATACTGAGTGAGATGAGCGTTTGCATTGGGGGACTGAGTAAAGCAGGTGGCCCTCCCCAACATGGATGGCCTCACTCAATCCACTGCAGGCCTGAATCGAACAAAAGGCTGAGGAAGGTGGAATGCAACCTCTGTGCCTGACTGTCTTCAAGCTGGGACGTCAGTGTTCTCCCGCATTCGGACTTGGACTCAGACTAGAATCTATACCATCAGCTCTCCAGGGTCTCTAGCTTGCCAACTGCAGACCATGGGATTTCTCAGCCTCCATAATCACAGGAGCCAATTCCTCATCACAAATCTCATAGATATAGGTATAGATTAGACACAGATATATAGATATACATTAGATATAGATTAGAAATAGATATGTAGATTAGATACAGATAGATATAGATTAGATAATGTAATACAGATGTAGATTAGATATAGATACAGGTATAGATACAGGTTATAGATACAGATTAGATATAGACAGATATAGATATAGATACACATATCTCCTATTGATTCTGTTTCTCAAGAACCCAGACTAACATAGTCAGTCTCCCTTGGGGACTCAAGAAGGGCAGGAACGGGCAAACATGACTCCTTTTCTGGACCCCACACTCCAACCAGCACAGCACTGAGCTATAAAGAACTAAGTCAATAGATAAATGAATGAATAGCATGAATTTGCATGGGAAACATACCAATGAGAGGCACCCAAATGACATGACATTTGCAACTTTTTTATTTTTATTTTTTGAGACAGAGTCTCACTCTGTCACCCAGGCTGGAGTGCAGTGGCGCAATCTCAGCTCACCGCAACCTCCACCTCCTGGGTTCAAGCGATTCTTGTGCCTTAGCCTCCCAAGCAGCTGGGATCACAGGCATGTGCCACCATATCTGGCTAAGTTTTGTATTTCTTAGTAGAAATGGAGTTTTGCCATGTTGGCCAGGCTAGTCTCGAACTCCTGGCCTCAAGTGATCCACCCGCCTTGCCTCCCAAAGTGCTGGGATTACAGGTGTGAGCCACTGTGCCCGGAACTTTTTTTTGTATTTTTTAGTAGAAACGGGGTTTCGCCTTGTTGCCCAGGCTAGTCTCGAACTCCTGGCCTCAAGTAATCTGCCCATCTCAGCCTCCCAAAGTGCTGGGATTACAAGCATGAGCCACCACACCAGGCTGACACGGCAACTTTTAATCTCCGCTTGCAACTAAACAGTTTACCCCATGCCTTAACCAAGCCCTTGACCTCCAAAGAGAGTTCTTTTCTATGATGACAGTAAAATACATAAAAAAAAAATTGTCATTTTAATCATTTTAAAATATGTAATTCCAGGCTGGGTGCAATGGCTCATGCCTGTAATCCCAGCACTTTGGGAGGTCAAGGCAGGAGGATCGCTTGAGATCAGGAGTTCCAGACCAGCCTGGGTAACACAGTGAGACATTGCCTCTACTAAAACTAAAAAAAGAATAGCTGGGCATGGTGGTGCACCTCTGTAGTCCCAACTGCTTTGCAGGCTGAGGCAGAAGGATCACTTCGACCCAGGACTTCGAGGCTGCAGTGAGTTATTATCACACCACTGCACCCCAGCTTGGGTGTTAGAGCGAGACTTTGTCTCAAAAATAAAAATAAAATGTACAATTCCGTGGCATCAAGTACTTTCACAATGTCACACAGCCAGCGCCACTATCTATTTCCAGAACTTTTTTTTTTTTTGAGATGGAGTTTCGCTCTTGTCGCCCAGGCTGGAGTGCAATGGCGCAATCTGGACTCACTGCAACCTCCACCTCCCAGGTTCAAGTGATTCTCCTGCCTCAGCCTCCTGAGTAGCTGGGATTACAGGCACCTGCCACTATACCTGGCTGACTTTTGGATTTTTAGTAGAGACAGGGTTTCACCACGTTGGCCAGACTGACCTCGAACTCCTGACCGCAGGTGATGCACCCGCCTTGGCCTCCCAAAGTGCTGGGATTACAGGCGTGAGCCACCGCACCCAGCCTATTTCCAGAACTTTTTCAACACCCCAAATGGAAACCCTGTACCCATAAGCAATCACTCCCCATCCCCCTTCCCTGCGGCCAAAATGAGCGTTTCCACAACGTCAGACCCAAGCTCATTATTATGGTGGCATCAAAGTCTGCAGGGCTTAAGTAATTCCTACATCCCCTTCAGTGAGCCTGAGTCCTTCGCTTTCAGGGAGATGCTCACCTTTAGTCCTTCATAGAGCTCGTAAATCATCCTCAGCCCACTCATTTCCTTCTGCACTTTCAGCAGCTCTGGGTACATTGTAATAGGAAGATCGAAAAGTTTCTCAGCGTTAGCCAGTTCCTGACGGCTCTTTTCATGTCTTGCCAGCTCTCTTTCATAAACACCTAAAAGCTCTACTCCTAGTAAATAAATACACCGATGAGTGAATAAATACAATTTTAAGGTGTACAAAATTGAATAAGAAATCATGCATAATGTATCTCAATTATAATTTCATCCTCATAAACCACACGGGAAGACAAATTTAGAATCATGGCACCATTCTAAGTAAAACCAAAAGACCAATGACATCTGCAGTCTCCTCCAGTTAGAAAATTGTGCCTAATTCTCACAACCAGGTCATTCAGAAAGGAGACTATTTTAAGGGAATCTGAGGTGGTCTATGTTGTGGTCGACATCACCATCCTTTGCCGCCCCCTTGAGAACATCATCATCCTACTGATAACTCCCTTACCACTCTAACTTCCCAGTTCTATGCTTCTCCCCCAATTCCAATGACCACTACCACTCTAGGTCACTACGTCCCTGCTCACAATCATCTACTCAAATGCCACATTTCCCAGATGCCTTTTTTGAGCATCCTTAAATAAACGTCACCCATTTCTTTGGAAGCCACAGCAGTCTTTGGTTTGTCTCATGGTATTTTTTTTGTCTCATGGTATTTACCAAATTCTCTTTAGAATAAGAATTTTAGGACTCGGCTCAGTGGCTCAGGCCTGTAATCCCAGCACTTTGGGAGGCTGAGGCGGGAGGATCACTTGAGGTCAGGAGTTCAAGACCAGCCTGGCCAACATGGTGAAACCCTGTCTCTACTAAAAATACAAAAATTAGCAAGGCATGGTGGCATGTGCCTGTAGTCTCAGCTACTCAGGAGGCTGAGGCAGGAGAATCACTTGAACCCAGGAGGTGGAGGTTGCGGTGAGCTGAGATTGTGCCACTGCACTCCAGTCTGGGTGACAGAGCGAGACTCTGTCTCAAAAAAAAAAAAAAAAAAAAAACAGAATTTTAGTATTTTTAACTTGTCACCATTTTAGCCTATGTGATGTGAAGGGCAGAGGACAAGCATCTGAATCCAAAGAATAAATGTAACAGGCATTAGAGAGGCAGATGGATGGATAAGACGCTGCCTTTGTAAAGGCAGTCGCTGGTGTTTAAGATTTCTGAGCTGCGGCAGAAACCTCTGTATCCCCCACAGGAGTGGAGGCTGCTCCTTGGCACTTCTCTCAACACCTTCGGGTAGCAGGCACTCAACAATCAATGAGTCGCATTAATCCAGCTTTTTTTTTTTTTAATGTGACCACTAAAATGAGCCAAGAAAAAAGTATTTGAGGAAGAAATAAATATTTTAATCACGGCACCATCATCACTTGCCATAAAACTCTTAAGCAAAACATACTCAAACATTTGCTACTCAGATCGCTCAGTAAGACCAACAGGAACATTCTTACCTTTATCAAGATCATCACCAACAGAACCAGGGCCTTCACTGTAAAAACGCTTTGCAAACTCCTCTATCTGAACTCTGTAGTTCATTATTTCGCCTCGAGTAAGCTGAGAAAAACGAGGTTACATTAATTTAGCCCAAATACGTTTTTCAATGTCTTTACTCAGGAAGTGAAATTTAAAAGGTACCTCTGTGAAAGTTCTCTTTATGTCCCCAAGAGCATGCTCCACATTCACTGAATCATTAAACAGATTGGACCATATGCTCTCAATCTTATCAACCAGTTCTTTCTCTGCATCAGGAGGCTAATTAGGAGAAACAAAAAACAGAATAAACAACAAATGATGAGCAATTTGGAATTGAAATTGATGGTCAAAGTTACCTCCCAGGGACTTCTGCTTGTGGCAACAGGAGGCTAGGTAATTCAAACCAACTCAAAAGCTGATTGAAATATTAAGGCCAGACATGGCCAGACTGGGATTACATGGCTCATGGCTGTAATCCCAGTACTTTGGGGGGCTGAGGCAGGAGGATCCCTTGAGCTCAGGAGTTTGAGACCAGCCTGGGCAACACAGTGAGACTGTATCTCTGTAAATATAAAAAGAAAAAGAAATTTTAAAAAGAAATATTAGGCTGGGCACAGTGGCTCACGCCTATAATCCCAGAACTTTTGGAGGCTGAGGCGGGTGGGTCACCTGAGGTCAGGAGTTCGAGACCAGCCTGGACAACATGGTGAAATCCCTTCTCTACTAAAAATACAAAAATTAGCCAGGCGTGGTGGCAGGAGCCTGTAGTTCCAGCTACTCAGGAGGCTGAGGTGGCAGAATCGCTTGAACCTGGGAGGCAGAGGTTGCAGTGAGTCGAGATCACACCACTGCACTCCAACCTCGGTGACAGAGCAAGATTCTATCTCAAAAAAATAAAGTAAAATAAAAATAAATATTAAAGTTGAATTTTATAATTAAAATAAAATCAGTATAAAATCATTTTTAAAAATAAAGAGATAGAGGCTGGGTGCAGTAGCTCACGTCTGTAATCCCAGCACTTTGGGAGGCTGAGACAGGCGGATCACCTGAGGTCAGGCGTTCAAGACCAGCCTGACCAACGTGGAGAAATGCTGTATCTACTAAAAATACAAAATTAGCTGGGGTGGTGGCGCATGCCTATAATTGCAGCTACTCAGGAGGCCGAGGCAAGAGAATCACTTGAACCCAGGAGTCGGAGGTTGCAGTGAGCCAAGATTGTGCCATTGCACTCAGCCTAGGCAACAAGAGTGAAACTCCATCTCAAAAAAAAAAAAAAAAAGAGAAAAAGAAATAGAGATATTACAGAGAGATAAGCCCTTCATAAACTAAAGCCCAGCTTCAAATCAACTTAATCTCTGATTAGAATAAGTTTAGCTTAGCTTGCTAATGTACCCAGTTATGGTGTCTGTTAGAAGCAAAAATAAATCTCCTCTGATAAAATATAACATCACCCAACGCCTCCAATCCTCTCTCTCCAATTTATCACACAGGCTGTTAAGAACTCAGTTAGAAATGCCAGCCATATAAAGACACGAAAGAACTTAAACAAAACCAAGAGATTCACACACAACATAAATGATCACGACAGAGTTATAAGACACACAATTTAAAATAATTTTATTTAATAGAGTCAAGGAAACAAAAGACAAAAAATTGAGAATTTTGGTAGAGCACAGGAAATTGTTTTTAAAATGGAAATTCTGGAATGGATAATGACAATACCTGAAATCAAGCACTCAAAGGATTGTTTAAGGAACCGGGAAAAGCAGATCAGACATAAATAAATAGAAAATTAATGAACTTAAAGTTTAGGACAAAGTATTAGAATAAACCACAGAAAGAAAAGGCAGAAAGGAATGTAAGATGTACAGGGTATTGTAGAAAGGTCCAACATATGTGGAATTGGAGTCCCAGAAGGGAAAAAAAATAAGGCAAAAACTGTTAATTTTCCAAAACTAGGTAAAGACATCAGCCTGCAGATTTTGAATGTACTACAAATCTCAATCAGGAAAAAAAAAAGAAGAACAAAACAAAACAAAAGAACCTAGTTACATCATATTACAACTGCTGAAAACCAAAGACCAAAAAAAAATTCTTAAAAGCAGACCAAAAAAAAAAAAAAAAAAAAAGTTAGACTGGACTACCTTGAAAGGGAGCAACAAAAAGATTAACAGTCAACTCCTCCGTCAAAACAATAGAGGCCAGAAGATGATGGAATAATATCCACACATAGAAGGGATAAAAAAAACCCAAAGTTGGTGTTTCCAAAAGATCAACAAACTAAGTATTTGTAAGGAGACGGAGCAACTGAAACCCTTATTCGTGCTGGTATGGATGTAAAGGGGTACCATCACTTTGGAAAATTAGCAGAATCTAGTGAAGCTGAACACGTGGATTCCTGTAACCCAGCAACTTCACGTCTAGGCCTATACTCAATAGAAATGCAGGCGTAAGTCCCATAAGGTTGTCCTCACTTCAGATGCCAGTTGCAAGTATTAGGTGCCCAGGGTACACAGACTTCTGTCCAACCTGGCTACAAAATCAGGGGTTCCCCCACACACGTCTCCTTCACATTTGACCATTTGCTGAAATGGCTCACAGAACTCAGAAGGACACTTTACTTCCCATCACTGATTTATTATAAAAGACACAACTCAGGAACAGCCAAACGAAAGAGACGCATAAGCTAAGGTATGGGGTTGGGGGGTGCACAGAGCCTCCACGCCTTCTCTGAGCACACCACTCTCCCAGCACCTTGGTGTGGTTAACAACCTGGAAGCTCTCCAAATCCCATCATTTAGGGATGTTCATGGAGGTTTCATTATACAGGCATGACTGATTAGATCACTGGCCTTTGTTGATCTCCAATCTCCAGCCCCTCTTCCCTCCCCAAGGGTGGCAAAGATGGGCGCCTGAAAGTTCCAAACCTCTAAATAATTTATGGCTTGATCTTTCTGGCAACCAGCCCCCATGCTGAAGCTGCCTAGGGCTCCCAGCCACCAGTCATTTCACTTGCATACAAAAGACACTCTTGTCACTCCAGAGTCCAAGGATTTGAGAGGCTGTGCGCCAGGAACCAGGGACAAAGAACAATATTGTAACAAAAGATGTTCCTGTGACCCCTATCACTCAGGAAATTACAAGTGTTTTGAAAGCTTTGTGTCAGGAACCAGGGACAATGACCAAAGACAGTCATTGGTCTTTTGTCAAAGATCAAAGAGCAACAAAATGATGTTTTGGGCCAAAAATTGATTGCATATATGACAGTATTCCCATAAGATTACAATACTGTATTTTTACTGTACCTTTTCTATGTTTAGATACACAAATACTTACTGTTATATTACATTGCTTATAGTATTCAGTACAGTACATGCTGGACAGGATTGTAGCCTAGGAGCAATAGGTTCTACCATATGGCCTAGGTGTGTAGTAGCTATATCATCTAGATTTGTATAAGTACATTCCATGATGTTTGCACAATTATGGAATTGCCCATTGACACATTCTCAGAATATATCCCCATTGTGTTAAATATACACAACTGTATATTTCTCTTATTGTATTGGAGTTAATCTAATAAACCACACAGCAATTACCATATTTAATGATACAGTGCCAAAAGCTTTTCCTCTGAGATCAAGAACAAGACACGGATTTCCCCTACCTCCCCTTTCATCCAGCCTCGTACAGGAATTCCTAGCTAGAGTCATAAGGTGAGAAAAAGAAACAAAATATTTAAAAATTAAAATGAAACTGTCAATATTCACAGTTTATAAAATGGTGTGCCTAGAAAATCCAAAATAATCTGTGGATAAATGATTAAAATTCATAATTACTGATCATAAAAAAGTAGAATGCAAATATCAATTGTCTTTCTATATAACAATAAAAAATAAAATAATTAAAATAAAAATTAAAGATACCAATTACAAGAGCATCTAAAAATACCAAGTACCTAGGAATAAATCTGGCAAAAAATAGGTAAGGCCTCTATGGGGAAAATTATAAATCTTTACGGGGAGACATTAAAGACCTAAATAAAGAGAGAGAGAACATGTTCATGGATAGGAAAACTCAATACTACAGGATGTCCATTTGTGCAGATTAATCTAAAGGATCAATGCAATCACAATCAAAATCTCAACTGTTGTTGTTTTGTTGTTGTTGTTGTTGGAATTTGACATTCTGATTCATTTTTTGTGTGTGACCCATTGCACACTTAGTGCAAAATCCTTTGTTACAGTGATTCTTCTATTATTTCTGTGACGTAAACCAGGGAAGCAAAGTCTGACAAAAATCTACCTGGCTAGGCCGGGCGCGGTGGCTCATGCCTGTAATCCCAGCACTTTGGGAGGCCAAGGTGGGTGGATCACAAGGTCAGGAGATCGAGACCATCCTGGCTAACATAGTAAAACCCTGTCTCTACTAAAAATACAAAAAATAATTAGCCGGGTGTGGTGGCGGGTGCCTGTAGTCCCAGGTACTCGGGAGGCTGAGGCAGGAGAATGGCGTGAACCTGGGAGGCGGAGCTTGCAGTGAGCCGAGATCATGCCACTGCACTCCAGCCTGGGCGACAGAGCGAGACTCCGTCTCAAAAAAAAAAAAAAAAAAAAAAATCTACCTGGCCAAGGGAGAAATACAAACTAGAGAAGAGAAACAAATTGCTATGAATAAATCAGGATTTGCATGAAGTTTGTCTTTCAGCATTTCTATTGCTTGACTGCTTCAAACACCAGGACCCTTGCAGCCTAGTGGTTAGGATGTGGAGCTCACAAATGCCCTTGCTGAGCAGTAGACCTGGGCCAAAAACTTGACTTTCTTTCATCATCAGAAAAATGTACAGTATGTAAAATTTCCATACAACTTCAGGGGGAACCCAGACCCCCTAAAACTCATCCATGACTTTGAAAGATCCTGAGAACCCAAATTTAACAACCCTAAACAAAGCAAGACTAATTGAATTATCTTCTACCAGTTTCTTTTATTATCTTAAATCTTTCACTCTCTTCTTATCATTTTTGCAAGAGCTCTTTATCTATTAAAGGAAATTAACACAAAAAAAAGAAGAAAAGAAAAGGGAGAATGGAAATGGTATAGTTACAGATCAATCCATTTGAGCCATACAGATTGAAAAATACTCTATATTTTCATTATTCTAAATAACAGTGGCATTGCTTTACATTTACAATGTATTACTTAAAGTCACTTATTTGAAAACAAATCAATGGCAGTATACTTGAGAAGCATTTCTGAAAAGGGTCGTTAGTGGTCAATCCAATTGTTAAATGAATAAGAAAATACAAGTTGACTTACAAAGAGGTTATACATTGCCATGGTACGGTATCGCTCCTGGACGTCCCTATATCTGAGTTCCATGACTAGAGATTTACTTCTAATTTCTGCAATTGTTGCAAGGACAAACTTGAGATCTTCAAGGGTATTGGGGATCTTCCTAAGGTTTTTGGCCAGGTGCTATAACAGAAAGTACAAAGAACACTAAGCAAACACAGAAAAAACAGTAATGGCGCAAATGAAGACCCAACTTACACGAAAAGTAGTTTCAATTACACACAGCGATTGAGTACCTCCATCTCTTCATGGAGATTATAGAGCTCCTCTTTTGCTGACTCATTGAGAAGTTTTCCAAGCGAAATCACCCAGGACTTGGCATTTTCCTGCACTGTGTTTGCCAGATGCCTGAGCTGAAGTCTGATGCAATGCTCATCCTTAATTAGAGGGTGGCGCATAACCTCATAAGCTATCTTGGAATAGAACTGCAACTTTTCATCATATGCTACACAAGGAGGTTTCTTGGCAGCAAATTTCTCCATCACAATAGCTTTGTCCAATTTCCAGAGAGGTCGATACCGCTTCCATTTTTGTAGATACTTCATAAGATTGATCAGAATCCTGTGGACATTTTGGGGGATCATAACAGCTTGTTCAATTATCTGAGGGTTCAGAGAGATATCATTGTAAAAGTTTATTATAACAACTTCCTCTTCCTCCCCCTTCTGAGGTGGGCATTCTATGCAGCTGCCATTCATCCAACGAACAAAATGCTGGCAAAGTAAGAATTAGGAGAAAAGACAGTATTTTAGTATCTATTTTGCCTCCAACGTACATATTAGTATTCAGTAATAAGTCTTGCCAGTAATGGAAAATCACTTTATTATTAATAAATTATTTGAGATTCAAAAATTACCATAATCCTTTGTTCCTCTCATCAAGAGATGGAGCCTATTTCCCTTCCGGAGCAAGCCTTGTGACTTAACTTGACCAATGGAAAGGGGCGGACATGGTATTATGCAAATTCAAACCAAGGAGTCAAGAAAGCCCTGCAGCTTCTGCTCTCATGCTCTCAGAACCTTGCAACCACCAGCTCGAGCTGGTCTACTACACCACGAAAGGCCATACACAAGAGAACCCCAGCCGCCACCCATCAGAGCTGTGCTTGAGGTCATCAACTGCTAGACACGAGTGAGCCCAGCCAAGACCAGAAGAACTGTTCAGCAGAACTCAGCCCACAGAACCCAGAGCTAAATGATTATTGTTTTATGCCAGTAAGTTTTGAAGTGGCTTGTTATAACATAAAGGCCAACTACACCATGGATGAATTAAAAAAACTTTTATTTCCATATTTACAGAGGAAAAAACACACATTCAGGCAAATTGACTGCTTAGTGTCCCAGAACAAATCTGCTAATTTGACATCTCCCTGCTGTAGAGTTAAGGCTCTGTTTTTTGTTTGTTTGTTTGTTTTGTTGTTTTTTTTGAGACGGAGTTTCGCTCTGTCGCCTAGGCTGGAGTGCAGTGGCGCAATCTCAGCTCACTGCAAGCTCTGCCTCCTGGGTTCACACCATTCTCCTGCCTCAGCCTCCCGAGTAGCTGGGACTATAGGCACCCACCCCCACATCCAGATAATTTTTGGTATTTTTAGTAGAGATGGGGTTTCACCGTGTTAGCCAGGATGGCCTCGATCTCCTGACCTCGTGATCCGCCCACCTCGGCCTCCCAAAGTACTGGGATTACAGGCGTGAGCCACTGCGCCCGGCCAAGGCTCTGTTTTAATCAAGCGTGAGTCATAACAGCAAACCATAGGTATGTGACACATTAGTTCTCTGAACAATATGCTCACCATCTGTAAAATGTGAATAACAACTACTATAGGTTGGTGCAAAAGTAGTTGCAGTTTTGCCAATACTTTTAATGGTAAAAACCACAGCTACTTTTGCACTGACCTAATACTTCTGCTTCCAATATTACTAATAACAGTAATACTAACACTAGGCGGGGCGCGTTGGCTCGCACCTGTAATCCCAGCACTTTGGGAGGCAGAGGCAGGCAGATCACGACATCAAGAGATCAAAACCATCCTGGCCAAAATAGCGAAACCCTGTCTCTACTAAAAATACAAAAATTAGGCCAGGCGCAGTGGCTCACGCCTGTAATCCCAGCACTTTGGGAGGCCGAGGTGGGCGGATCACAAGGTCAGGAGATTGAGACCATCCTGGCTAACATGGTGAAACCCCAACTCCACTAAAAAAAATACAAAGAATTAGCCAGGCGTGGTGGTGGGCTCCTATAGTCCCAGCTACTCGGGAGGCTGAGGCAGGAGAATGGCATGAACCCGGAAGGCGGAGCTTGCAGTGAGCTGAGATTGCACCACTGCACTCCAGCCTAGGCGAAACAGCAAGACTCTATCTCAAAAAAAAAAATAAATAAAAATACAAAAATTATCTGGGTGTGATGGCACATGCCTGTAGTCCCAGCTACTCGGGAGGCTGAGGCAGGAGAATCACTCACACCCGGGAGGTGGAGGTTGCAGTGAGCTGAGATCACAACACTGCACTTCAGCCTGGTGAAAGAGCAAGACTCCATCTCAAAAAAAAAAAAAAAGTAATACTAATACTAATAGCTAACATTTATTCAGAGCTACTGATTGCCAAACACTGCACTAAGCTGTATACACGTGTTATATAATTTAATCCTCCCAACAGCACGCACTAGAAGGTGAATGGTATTATCATTTCCACTTAGTAGAGGAGGTAAAATTCAGAAACTAGTTAAAACTTTGGCTCATTATTTTTTGCCACGAAATAGGAATCCTGAAGATCAAAGAGTTCAACCATATTAAGTGGCCTAGCCATGCATGTTCATTTGCCAAGATCTTTTTAATGAAATACATTTTTAACCTTATCTAAGAGAATAAGTAAAAATTATTTTCATTTAAAAGAAAAAACTTATGAAGCTAAAATAATACAGGCTTCACCAAGAGCCTCAAATCCATCTATTAGTAAGGAGGAAAGTTAAGTTGGCATGGAATATTGTGATTAATATTCATAATGTTTTATAGGCCAACTTTCCTATTTATTTACCTCTTAAAAATTGCTGTTTCCCTTACAAAGGAAACATACATAGCACCTATAACATACAGCACCTATAAGAGAATTTATGTAACAGAGACTTAATAAATAACTGTCTTAGCATGGATTATAAAACATGTACCGTTTATTCAACATTTTTTTTTTTTGAGACGGAGTCTCACCCTGTCGCCCAGGCTGGAGTGCAGTGGTGCGATCTCGGCTCGCTGCAAGCTCTGCCTCCTGGGTTCACACCATTCTCCTGCCTCAGCCTCCCAAGCAGCTGGGACCACAGGCGCCCGCCACCACGCCCAGCTAATTTTGTGTGTATGTGTGTGTATTTTTAGTAGAGACAGGGTTCACCATGTTAGCCAGGATGGTCTCAATCTCCTGACCTCATGATCCACCCACCTCGGCCTCCCAAAGTGCTGGGATTACAGGCGTGAGCCACCGCGCCTGGCCTTATTCATCAATTTTTAAGTACTGTGAAATGAAATTCCCTATTCTGATTTCTAAACTTATTTTTATGCCCCTAAAAATGCCGGAAACATGTCTGACTTGCTGAACAAGCCAAGTGAAGAGGAAGATGCCAGTGTGCTGGGGGGTGATGCCCCATACCCACAAAGACAGCTCTATTTTCCAATTTGGGGTAAGACATAAACCTTGGGTTTTCTGCCAGCAGATGTTCATTCAACAAACATTTACTGAGAACCAACTATGTGCCAGATGTTCTTGGTGCTGGGGATTCTAAAGGGAACAAAACACTCAAGGTCTGTATTCCCATGGATCTTACATTCTAGTGGCCTGAAAGGATCAATAGATAAATAAGCAAGGAAAAAAATAAGAAAAGGTCGGAGAGTGGTACGTGGTAGGAAGATGGGAGGGGGGTGACGGGAGAGAGAGGACAAGAAGGTCAGGGGAGCAGAATGTTCCAGGTGAGGGAACAGCTATGGAGATCCTTGCAAGAGGAACCCATGGTGCCTGCTGGAGGCACAACCAGGCAGCCAGTCAAGCTGCAGCATGAGGGAGCATGATCCTCGTAGGACTGAGATCAGAAAGGCAGCCAGGGGCTAGAGCATGGCGGCCTCACAGAGCACACAAAGATATCTGGATTATGTTCCAAGTGTAATTAAGTCATGGGGTGGGTGGGGGCAGTTTACAACAGGGATGACACGAAATGATATGTTGTTGTTGTTGTTGTTGTTGTTGTTTTAGAGACACGGTCTTGCTCTGTTGCCCAGGCTGGAGTGCAGTGGTGCAACCATACCTCACTGTACCCTTGAACTCCTGGGCTCAAGCAATCCTCTGCCTCAGCCTCCCAAGTAGCTAGGAACACAGGTGTGCACCACCACGCCTAGCTAATTAATTTTAGTTTTGGTAGAGATGGGGGGGTCTCACCATGTTGCACAGGCTGGTCTGGAACTCCTGGGCTTAAGCAATCCTCCCACCTCAGCCTCCCAAAGTGCTAGGATAACAGGCGTGAGCCACTGCACCTGGCCTGATTTGTATTTGTTTAAGGTAATTCTGACCACCGGTGGTGGAGAATGGATTGATGGAACGTCACTGCAACAGTCCAGGAGAGGGGTGATGGCCACTTGGGATAGGAAGGTACTGGGGGGACAGGAGAGAAGAGGACAGATGGGAAGTATGTTTGGAGGACTTACTGATGTGAGCCGGGCAGGGCTGGGTGAGAGAAGAAGAAACAAGGACGAGTTTCTGGGTCAAGCAGTTGGTTTGATGTTGGTGCCATTTCCTGAAGTGGGGAAAACTGGGGGATGACTGAGTCACAAGGCAGAAGGTCAAGAATTCCACCTTGGGCAGTGGCTCACGCCTATAGTCCCAGCACTTTGGGAGGCGGAGGCATCCTGAGATGCCGTCTGAGCAAGGACACAAGCACCTCCGCTCTCACCTTGGTGATCTCCACGCAATTCCGGACACAATGGAAGCACATCTTGTCGATCTCATTTGTGTTGGGATGAAGGATGATCTCAGGTGCCGTCAGAATGGTTTCAGTGTGGAACAGAGGGACATTTCCAAGGATCAAAGAATTAAAAGACTGCAAGTTCCTAAGAGGGGTTGATGAGAAAGACTCAGAGTGTATCTCACTAGAGTGAAATACACCAAGCAATTGATGGAAATGACCAGGGCCACAAAAATCACAGGTACAGGCAATGGCACACTGTGAGGCTGTCCTAGACAGGCTGGGGTGAGTCTTACTTAAAATACTCTTTTTTTGCACTAAATTTATACAAACAGTTCATTTCCACTTTTGGAAAACTGAAGACCTTTTGGTTGGAAAATAGTTAAACAATAATGACTTCCAAAACCTGCTCAACTCTGGTAAGGAAAAAGGAGCACTCACATCCCCACCCAGCCTGCCCTACTGGCTCCATCCTTTCCAGGATGAAAGTAGATGTGACACCCAGGGATGGAACTTCATCAGCCTCCAGCCCAGTCTCCCTGCTTCCCCCTGCCGGCCCAACCCCATCCAGTAATTCACATGGCAGCCAGAGACACTATTTTAAAACATCTAGCGGGGCGCAGTGGCTCACATCTGTAATCCCAGTACTTTGGGAGGCTGAGGTGGGAGGATCATTTGAGCCCAGGAGTTTGAGACCAGCCTGGGCAACACAGCAAGACCCTGTCTCTAAAATAAAAATAAATTAGCTGGGCATAGTGGCACACGCCTGTGGTCCCAGATATTCAGGAGGCTGAAGTGGGAGAATTGCTTGAGACAGGGAGGTTGAGGCTGCAGTGAGCCATGAACATGCCACTGCACTCCAGCCTTGGTGACAGAGTGAGACCCTGTCTCAAAAAACAAAACAAAACAAAAACATCTAACTCCTCCCTCTCCCTCCTCCCGTCTCTCTCTCCCTCTCCCTCTCACTCCACCTCCCTCTCTCACCCTCTCCCTCCCTCCTTCTCCTTTTCCCTCCCCTTCTCTCTCCTCTCTCTCCCCTCTCTCTTCACCTCTCTCTCCCTCTTCCTGTTTCTCTCTCCCTCTCCAGGCTTCTCCCTTCCTCTCTCCCTCTTCCCCCCTCCTTATCTCTCTCTCTCTCCCCCTCTGCCTCTCTCTCCACCTCTCTCTCTCGATCCCTCTCCCTGTTTCTCTCTCCCTCCCTCTCCTCCTCTTTCTCCAGTTGAAAACACTCCAGCAGCCTCCCATGGCTGTCAGATAAAATGCAAGCTCCCTGCCGTGGCTTCCCAGGCTCCCTGTGACCTGATCCACCCCTGCCACCCTCTCCAGCTTCATCCCCTCCTTCAATCTCATCTTTCCTTCTTTCTGTTTCTTCCACTGACCAAAGGCCCACCTGTGGGTCTTCACAGCAGTTTTTGGCTTCCCCCAGAAAGCTCTTCCCCGTTTCAGCTCACTCCTCATCTTCAGGTCTCTACTAAAATGTGGAATTTCCGGGGTCTTTCTTGACCACCCAATTACAGCAGCATCTCCATTCTCTCCCCAGAACACTAGGCTGCTTTGTTTCTTTTACAGAACTCATCTCTTTTATGTCTGTTTCCCTGTGTCCTGCCTTCTCTATGAGGTTAGAGAAACTGCAAGGATACAGGGGCCTTGTCTGTGACCAGAGTCTAATCCAACAGGCAGCACAGGGCAGGCTTTACTCAACCTTGGATGGATGGATGGATGGATGGATGGATGGATGGATGGATGGATGGATGTGGGGATGAATGTGTGGATGGATGAGTGAATGAACAGATGGATGGATGGATGGATGATGGATGGATGGATGAACAAATGAATGAATGAGTTAATAAATGGATCAAAAGAAAACATAGCAGGGCCAGGCGCGGTGGCTCACGCCTGTAATCCCAGAACTTTGGGAGGCCAAGGCAGGCAGATCACGAGGTCAGGACATTGAAACCATCCTGGCTAACACAGTGGAACTCCGTCTCTACTAAAAATACAAAAGAATTAGCTGGGCGTGATGGTGGGCACCTGTAGTCCCAGCTACTCAGGAGGCTGAGGCAGGAGAATGGTGTGAACCCAGAAGGCGGAGGTTGCAGCGAGCCAAGATTGCGCCACTGCACTCCAGCCTGGGCAACAGAGCAAGACTCCGTCTCAAAAAAAAAAAAAAAAACATAGCATATTAGTAAGGGAAACACTATAGGAGGTAGCTCCATGTAAGGGACTGCTTTAGGAATCTAAATTAAAAGTAGTAACAGAGAATAAATGAAATACACAGAAAACAGAGTTATTTAAAGGATCAACTTAGAGAAGTTTGCGAAACTGGGTCCAGAAAACAAGAAGACCAAAGGTTTTTGTTTTATTTTTCAGTGTATTATTCCAAAAGAGATTTTTAGCAGCTCACAAAGATACTTTAACTGCAGTAAGAGATCCTAAAATCAAAGTGAGGTAAAGTAAGGAACGAAGAAGACACTAATCAGACACCATTTCAGGAAATGATACTGGAGTCAGACTGCCCAGGTTCAAATCCCAGCCCTTTCTCTTACTGGCTGTGTGGTCCCGGACGAGTCACTTAACCTGCCAAGATTCTGTATCCTCCTCTGTAAAACAGGGATGAGAATTGGAAAGAGTCCAGCACAGAACATGGTGCAAGGTGAGCTTTCCTATGTGTTCAGATGAGACTAAAATGTGAATCATAGATACCTACACACTTGCTGCATTTAGGCCACAAATTTGGTTCTAAGCTTCCTAGCAGCCAACGTGAAAGGGAAAGCTATGAAGTTAACAATCCATAGAGTCCGTATCACTTAAAAACCAAACAAGAAAATGAAAGCAAAAAACGAAAAAGAAAAATGTCAGGCGGGGTGGCCGGGCGCAGTGGCTCACGCCTGTAATCCCAGCACTTTGGGAGGCCAACGCGGGCGGATCATGAGGTCAGGAGATCAAGACCACCCTGGCTAACACGGTGAAACCCCATCTCTACTAAAAATACAAAAAACTAGCCAGGCGTAGTGGTGGGCGCCTGTAGTCCCAGCTACTCAGGAGGCTGAGGCAGGAGAATGGCATGAACCCGGGAGGCGGAGCTTGCAGTGAGCCGAGATCATGCCACTGCACTCCAACCTGGGCGACAGAGCGAGACTCTGTCTCAAACAAAAAAAAAAAAAAAAAGAAAAGAAGAGAAAAATGTGAGGCTGGGGTCAAAGAAGGAACTAGAGTCATTTCTTCTGGAGTTCCCCTTCATAAGGAAGACACTGCATGATAAAATGAACACTACTCTTGACAATATAGACGTGACGGTAACGGTGATGGATTTCACAGGCTGGTTTCCTAGAATGATCCTAAACTGTCAGCCTCACACCCCAGAACAGTCTGTGGGCCACCAATGCGATGGGGTCCAGGCACTCAGCTTCCAGCTGGTCTGGCTGAGCTGCTGAGGGTGAGGCCCAGGAGGGAAGGGACAGAGTCTGGCGTGTCAGAGGCTGGCACATGAAACAGGCATTCAACACGCACAGACCGCGCTAACTAGGGGCTGACTTGAAATCAGCAAGGAATAGGCCATGTGTCCTTCACGTCTGTCACTCTCAACATGAACAAGGAAGTCCTCTGGGATTCTAGCCAATATTGAGTGACAGCGATTCTCTGCTGCCAGCTGAACACAGGCTCACGATGGCTTTCAGACAGTTGAAGTGGGGAGAGGGATCCTTTCTTTTTTGGAATGTTGAGGGGCCTAACAAGATCATGAAGGTCATCCCCCCATTCTGTGAGTGCCCTTCTGCCAGAAAGCCTCTGACCATCCAACTGATTTTCATTCTCTACCTTGCCACCCCCTCTAACTGTCCATATTTGTCAACTGTTTTAATCTACACACACCATTTTAAAGCATGCAACAAGATGAACTTACTTCAGGATGAGCTTTGTCAGGACCTCATAAATTTTCTTTTCCCAGTATTTGTAGTAGGAGGCCAGCTTGGGGGCCTTGCCTGTGTTGGTGTGGACGACCAGGCCCTCAACTTTGGTCAGCAGTGGTCCAATGGCAAGATACCACCGGACCATGTGGTCCACGTCGCTGGCCCTTTCTCGCTCAATGTGTTCAAAAAATTCCTTCACGCCTGGAGAGAAAGATGTCTGTTAGAGCTGTCCACGAACACAGGGAAGGACAGCACTCAAAAGGCAATCCAAACATGAGCTGTGTGTCTTAAAAAAACCAAAACCAGCCTCCAACCTCAGCCCAAAGCAGAACATAAGTCAATATCAGAACACACACTAAGCAACAAATAAATGACAACCAGTTACGCACATCTAGTGGCTTTTATACCTTTGGGCAATCTTGTTTTTCTTCAATTCATTGTTGACATATCTTGAATTCCTTGTTGACTAGTCTAAGACCACTTAAAGTATCTTTTTTTTTTTTTTTGAGACGGAGTCTCACTCTGTCACCCAGGCTGGAGTGCTGCAGTGGTGCGATCTGGGCTCACTGCAAGCTCCGCCTCCCAGGTTCACGCCATTCTCCTGCCTCAGCCTCCCGAGTAGCTGGGACTACAGGTGCCCACCACCACGCCCAGCTAATTTTTTGTATTTTTAGTAGAGACAGGGTTTCACCGTGTTAGCCAGGATGGTCTCGATTTCCTGACCTTGTGATCTGCCTGCCTCAGCCTCCCAAAGTGCTGGGATTATAGGCGTGAGCCACCGAGCCCTGCCTAAAGTATCTTTCTTTAGCAAGTAAATGTGAGCCCATAAAAAATACAACTAGCTTTACTGTTACAAAGTTATCAACAAAGTACCACAGGCTTTCGCAGATGAGGTGGGAGGATCACTTGAGGCCAGGAGTCCAAGACCAGCCTGGGCAACATAGTGAGCCCTCGTCTCAGAAAAAAACAAAACAAAAACAAATAAACATGAATTTGTTAAACTAAGCAATATATAAAACATGACAAAAAGTAATAGCTACCCGTGATTCTTTCAAGTAAATGACTGAGAGCATTAGAAATGGTTTGATGCCATTCATGGAACATACAAATACATATGTATATTTATAGGTACATATATACACATGTATGTATATACAATATATGTTCTCATTAATTCCATAACTGGAGAACCCAGAAGTCAGATCTACCTGGGAGTTCTTCCTCACTTTTAGCGGCTGGATATTTAAAGAGATTTATGGCCTCTATTAATGTCAGCCTGGAAGAAATGTCATCTGCATTCTTATGAATCTGGTGGACGAGAGACTCAAATTTCCCAATGGCCTGTTTGCAACCAGTTATATAGTCACCGATACCTTTGAAGAAAGAAAGAAAGAAAGACATTTGGCTTCCAACTCTGTCTTTCCACATCCCCCCACCAACGTCTGTGATGTTAATACTGGCATCCCTTTGCAGGAAAGACCCTGCTCATTCCAACCCCTTGGGTCTTTGGGCTGGCAAAGATCCACTTTGAACCCTAAGGGACTGGGACAAGGAGTCCTGAGCCCAGAATCAACCAAGCAATGCATCTCTTCTATTCAAATGTTAGCACGGTCCTGGCTGGAGCACCATGGGGAGAAAGGGACTATCAAGCCTAGCTGTCTTCTCACTGCTGGAGCTCCCTGAACCTCCACTCTGCACCACCTGCCCGCAGCCTCCTCTGGCCTGGAGCTTAGACGAACAGCAAGAACATGAACAGTAAACTCGGGCTAAGTACTTACGATCGGTCTCACTTTATGAAAATAAAAACCCCAAAGTGGATCACAGACTATACTGGGAAACATCATACTATAACATTTTTAGAAACAAAACACAAGGAGAGAAAAAAACTTATGATTCTTCGACTTGACAGCAAAAGTAGAACCCATTAAAGGAAAAATTGATACACTGGACTTAGTTGAAATTTACAGTTTTTGCTCTACCAGAGGCCCTCCTACGAGAAAGAAAAGACAAGCGACAGAGTGGGAGAAAATAGCTGCAAACCACACATCCAATAAAAGACGAGTATCTAGAGTATACCAAGGATGCTCAAAACTCAACAGTAAAGAAAACAAACAATCTAATTAGAAAATAGGCAAAAGACATAAAAAGACGTGTTGCTGAAGAGGCCATACACATGACATATTTGTGCTTATTAGCACATGAAAAGATGCTCAACACCATTAGCCATTACAGAAGTCAAATCAGAACCATGAGATATCATTACACAGCTATCAGATGGCCAAAATTAAAAAAAAAAAAAAAAAGTGACAGCAAAACTGGCCAGGATGCAGAGAAACCGAGTCACTCATATATTGATGATGGAAATGTAAAATGGCACAGCCGCCCTGTAAGACAGCATGACAGTAAAACAAAAACAAAAACAAAAAAAGGCCACACGTGGTGGCTCACGCCTGTAATCCCAGCACTTTGAAAGGCCAAGGCGGATGGATCACTTGAGGCCAGGAGTTCAAGATCAGCCTGGCCAACATGGCAAAACCCCATCTCTACTAAAAATACAAAAGTGAGCCAGAAGTGGTGGCAGGTGCCTATAATCCAAGCTACTCGGGAGGCTGAGGCAGGAGAATCGCTTGAACCCAGGAGGTGGAGATTGCAGTGAGCTGAGATTGCCCCACTGCACTCCAGCCTGGACAACAAGAGCGAAACTCCATCTCAAAACAACAACAACAACAACCTTAAACTAAACATGCAACTACCGTGCAACTCAGCAACTGCACTCCTGGGCATTTATCCCAGAAAAAGTGAAGACTCCTGTCACACAAAACCCTGTACACAAATGTTTATAGCAGCTTTATTCCTAAGAGCCAAAACCGGAAACAACCTAGTTGTCCTTCAAAAGGTGAAAGGCTGAACAAACTATGGTACATTGATACCGTGGGGTATGCTTCGAAAATCCACAGACTGTTGACACATCCAACAAGGGCAGATCTTTGAAGACTTAGGCTGAGCAAGAAGAGCCAAATCAAAAAAGGGCTATGTGTTATCTCATTTATATAACACTCTGAAATGACAACATTACAGAAATTGAATAAAGATTCATGGTTGCCAGGGATTAAGGAGAGGGCAAGGATGGGAGGGAAGTGGACTTGACAGTACTCGCTGTGGTGTTGAAAATGCTCTCTATCTCGACTGTATCAATGTCAATATCTTGGTTGTGATCTTAACTAGTTTTGCAAGAAGTTACTACTTAGGGAAAATGACTAAAGGGTACGAAGGCTCCCTCTGTCGTAATTCTTAACAACTGCATGTGAATCTATAATTACCTCCAAATTACATTTTTAATTAAAAAAATAAAAGTAAAGGTGATTTTCTTTTGGGAGAAATGTGCTTTGGGTCTGCAGAGTGTGAAAATATCACCCCTCTTATCTTCATCCCAACGACAGCCTGGAGATCAGTTCTAAGTTCCGCAACTTGTATTTCTTAACCCTCAAAAATTGTTAATTGTCTCTATAAACATATGAAAATGGTAATTCAAATAAAACAACCTAAAAGAATTACTTTGCATCCCAAGTCTAAAAGGCAATCAATAGATGAATGACGTTACCTAGTGAGTTCCAGTTCAACCTCTTATATCCCGACCTAAACACTCGGAGCAGTTCCTGGGAATGATCTTTGAGAAGCACAGACTCCGCATCGTTTAACGTTCCTATGAGCATGTGATAATGATCCAACATGCGCTGTATCCCAGCTGTGTACCTGCACATGACAGGAATGTCATAAACCTGAGGAGAGCACCTTTAAGCTCATCAAAAGCTTTTGCGGTCAAGAGATTACAAAAGACCGTGGTCTCAATCAAGACCAACCTTGATCAAGAGATTTGCAGAAATTTAAAACATCACTCTTCTCATTAACTTTCTTTTTTGGAAAATATTGGTTACTTCTCATTAAAGATGTTATTTATATTACATGAAATAGGTTTACTATTGTTGATCCCTATTTTAAACTTTTCTTTTTTTTTTTGAGATGGAGTCTCGCTCTGTCGCCTAGGCTGGAGTGCAGTGGCACGATCTCGGCTCACTGCAACCTCTGCCTGCCAGGTTCAGGCAATTCTCCTGCCTCAGCCTCCCAAGTAGCTGAGACTACAGGCATGAGCCACCATGCCCAGCTAATTTTTGTAGTTTTAGTAGAGATGGGGTTTCACCATGCTGGCCAGGCTGGTCTTGAACTCCTGACCTCATGATCTGCCCGCCTCGGCCTCCCAAAGTACTGGGATTACAGGCGTGAGCCACCACACCCAACCCCATATTTTAAACTTTTCTTAGCTTCAATTTTTTTTTCTTCTTTTTTTTTTTTTGGATACAGGCTCTCGCTCTGTCTCCCAGGCTGGAGATAGAGCAATCACGGTTCACTGCAGCCTCAATCTCCCAGGTTCAAGGAATCCTCCCACCTAAGCCTCCCAAGTAGCTGAGACTACAGGTAGCACCACAACGCCCAGGCCTTAGCTTCAATTTCTAATGTGGTAAGAATTCATAATTATAAAATCCACAAAAATGAAAGCTTTTGGAGGGGTCCTCAATAATTTTTAAGAGCGTAAAGGGGTCCCAAGAACAAAAAGCTTACTGCTAATTTAAAAGAAGAATTTTTTTACCTAAGGAATTTGTCTTCCTGGAGAGCAACATTTCTTGCTAATTCAGGGACAGTGAACCCCAGCTGCTCTAAGTACTTTGTTTCATTAATAATCTCTCTGAGAGCCGGTGAAAAGTTGATTGCAAAAACAGCTCCCCTTTCTAAAGTCGAAGGCTCCTCTGTGGCGATGGAAGACTGTGGAAGAGACATTCCATCAGCGCGGCCAGGGCAGTCCAAGAGACAGTTGGATCAACACAACCCACACCAAAAGTGAACATGAAAAAGATCAACACTGGGCCCTTCACCAGACGGGGGTGCTGGCTGGAACTGGCTGGAATATGTATTTTGTTTGGTGAACGGAGATTTTGAAGAATCAATTCAGTTGCCGGCATTTGAAAATGGAGCAATTTCACCTAAAAATTCCTTCTGCCTTCCCTTGAAACACTGGAAAATCTGACATGGAGCAGTTGCCTCTTTGGTCGGATCTGAGCCCACCTGTTCCCTAGGGGTCCCACCTGGCCCTCTCCACTTGCTTTGGTCCCTACGTCAGGATTTCAGGAACCAAAGACCTAAAACTGCCAGGCTGCATCTTTCCTCCCTAACGGCAGGTGTTCGTTTATCGAGCATTCACCAAGTGCGGGGCCCAGAGCTGAAGAAGAGGATGAATCAGGTGGAATGGCATTTTTCTGCAGGTTAAAGATGGCCAGCTGTCAGCTCTGTTTCATATATGATTCAACCAACCCTTTGCTTGTCTACATCATCTGATTTATAAAACGCATTTCATAAATGGGGAAACGGAGGCTTGGTATTCAGCCACTTGCCCAAGAAGTCAGTAGGGCTGCCCGTTTCCAGCCCGCGTCCTAGCCATGGCATCGTGCCATCTCCACTCTTTCCTTTCTCCTCCTCCCCTAGCCCTTCCTTGTCTTTGATTCTGGAAACTGACCCAACTTCATGAATGTCAACAAATCAAGCCTTGAGAAAATGTGGCAGACGCCATCGTCTCACGCGGCAATCGGGAATGAGGGCGTGGGCAGCGCACCTTGGTCAAAAGGCTCTTCTTCATGAGAGCTGGCAGCACCTGCTCCGTCACCTCCATCCACTGCTCATACTTTCTGTCTTCATACTCCTTCATTGTCCTACCTACTTCCAAATATTTTTGTTTGACCTATCAAAGAATTCAAGCAACCGTCATTTTGTCCTTGAAAATAACATTTTTCATCTCGCTCTACACAGATAATTTATACAAATTATAAATATAATATATAAATTATTATAAACATTATATAATTTTTTTTTTTTTTTTTTGGAGACGGAGTCTCACTCTGTCGCCCAGGCTGGAGTGTAGTAGCGCGATCTCAGCTCACTACATCCTTCGCCTCCCGGGCTCAAGCGATTCTCCTGCCTCAGCCTCCCAAGTAGCTAGGATTACAGGCACATGCCACCACACCCAGCTAATTTTTGTATTTTAGTAGAGACAGGGTTTCACCATGTTGGCCAGGCTGGTCTTGAACTCCTGACCTCAGGTGATCTGCCCACCTCGGCCTTTCAAAGTGCTGGGATTACAGGTGTGAGCCACTGCACCTGGTCATTTTTATATAATTATATATAAACATTTTTTCATATCTTTCTACATAATTTTGTATACATACATTATAAATATAATAAATAAAAATGTTAATATAATAAATAATATATAGTTATATAATATTAAATAATATAATATAAAATAGTATTAGATATAAACACATTTTGAAAAAGGAAGTCAATAGATTTTCCCAAAGCTTGGAGAGTTGGTCTGCGATGGTGATATAGCACAGATCTCTGTCCTCCCAAATCTCATACTGCATTGTAATCCCCAGTGTTGGAGGTGGGGCCTGCTGGGAGGCAACTGGATCACGAAGGCGGAATTCTCGTGAATGGTTTGCACCACCTCTCTTGGGACTGTCCTGGTGATGCTGAGTGAGTTCTTGGGAGATCTGCTCAAGTGAAAGTGGGCAGCACCTGCCCCTTCACTCTCTCTTGCTCCTGCTCCCACTGTGTGAGGTACCTGCCCCCACTTTGCCTTCCACCATGATTGGGAGTTTCCTGGGACCTCCCAGGAAGGCTATGCTACCTGTACAGCCTGCAGAACTGTGAGCCAATTAAACCTCTTTTCTTATAAATTACCCAGTTTCTTTATAGCAAAATGGACTAATATAGTTGATAACTTGAAATCTAGGTTGACTGGCAGCCTTCTGCAAACCACAGTCCATGAACTGCCTTGGTCTCTACCCATGAACTAAGAACAGCTTTTACATGAAGAGAAGGAAATGATTTAGATGATTAAAAAGAAATCAAAAGAATAATAATGCTTTGTAACTCAAGAAAAAGATATGAAATTCAAATTCAGCATCCATAAATAAAGTTTTATTGGACACAGCCACGCCTGTTCAAAACGTATTATCTGGGGGATACTTTATTGCAGCAACGACAGGTTGAGTCGTTGCAGAGAAATTGTCCAAACCCCTAAAATATTTACTATCGGGATCTTCAAAGAAATGGCTTACCAGCCTCTGCTATATAACATATAAAAATCCATGGGTGGGGGGTGAGATCATATCGAAAAGATGGTAGGCATCCTCCAAAGAAGCTGAAAATTCAATACAGGAAGAAGCCCACATGACCACATTCTGGAAGATGTCTTCTGTATTAAGATGCCAAAGAGAAAGAACACAGGCCAGGTGCAGTGGCTCACGCCTGTAAGCCCAACACTTTGGGAGGCCGAGGTGGACAGATTGCTTGAGCTCAGGAGTTTGAGACCAGCCTGGGCAGGCAACATGGTGCAACCTCATCTCTACAAAAAATACAAAAATGGGCCAGGCGTGGTGGCCCACACCTGTAGGCCCCGCTACTCGGGAGGCTGAGGCAGGAGGATCGCTTAAACCCAGAAGGTCAAGGCTGCAGTGAGCTGTGATTGTGCCACTGCACTCCAGCCTGGGCAACACAGCAAGACCTTGTCTTAAAAAAAAAAAAAAGAAAAAGAAAAGAAAAAGAAGGAACGCAAAAGGCAGTTTACTATGAGCATGAATGCAAGGACAACAGAAAGACCCTCTAACTCACAGGCATGGGTCTGAAATTGAGCTGCTTCTCAAATGGGCCACTCTACATAGCGTGCTGCATGGCGGCAGCAGCCTGATCTAATGCTTCTCCTGGATGGGATCGGGGAGGGCAGCCAGTCTAGGATTAAAACATTAAATACAGGGCCGGGTGCTATGGCTTACGCCTGTAATCCCAGCACTTTGGGAGGCCCAGGTGGGCAGATCACGAGGTCAGGAAATCCAGACCATCCTGGCTAACACGGTAAAATCCCACCTCTACTAAAAATACAAAAAAATTAGCCGGACGTGGTGGCACATGCCTGTAGTCCCAGCTACTTGGGAGGCTGAGGCAAGAGAATCGCTTGAACCTGGGAGGCGGAGGTTGCAGTGAGCCGAGATTGCGCCACTGCACTCCAGCCTGGGCGACAGAGCGAGACTCCATCTCAAAAAAAAAAAAAAAATCAAATACAAAAGGAGCCAATTCTAGCAAGAGCAACATACCTCCTGTCCTCGATCACTGTCCAGTATCTCTTGTACCTCTTGAAATCGGAGGATGGTATGCTTAATCCGAAAGAACAGAGATCGTTCCCAGTATATTGCACCTGCTACTGGAGGGTGATTCTTATACAGTGGTGGATTTTCAAGGTTCTGGACAAAGATTTTATTAATGATGTCAATCTGAAAAGCAATCAAACAGCTTCTGTAAGTGATAAACATCGCCAGGTTAGCCAAGAAAGATGAGATTTGAATCTTTAAGGAAACCAAAAGTGGAATGTCAAAAAATATTCTAAGATGCAGAATAGTGTTTTCACTGTTTACTTATTATTTACTACTTTTTCTTATGCTCTGTAGTAATCTTTTTGTTGTTGTTGTTGTTGAGGCAGAGTCTTGCGCTGTTGCCCAGGCTGGAGTGCAGTGGCATGATCTCGGCTCACTGAAAACTCCGCCTCCCAGGCTCAAGTGATTCTCTTGCCTCAGCCTCCCAAGTAGCTGGGATTACAGGCGCCCACCACTATGCCCAGCTAATTTTTGTATTTTTGGTAGAAATGGTGTTTCCCCATGTTGTCCAGGCAGGTATCAAACTCCTGACCTCAGGTGATCTGCCCACCTCAGGGTCCCAAAGTGCTGCGAGGACAGGCGTGAGCCACCGAGCCCGGCTGTAGTAATCTTTTCTTCAACATATGCAATGCTCCAAATTGCCTTACAATTACAGAGCATGCACACTGTGTATATTGGCTTGATCCAATTATCAGAAATCCGGAAATCTGTTCTAGACATGACCACAGTGGCAGACCTTTGGTTTTTTTTTAATTTTTAGTTTTTAGTTTTTGCAGGTAAAGTATACATATTCATGGGCTATAGGGCACGTTTTGATATAAACATGCTATGCATAATAACCACATCATGGAGAATGGGGTGTCCATCCCCTCAAGCACTTATCCTTTGTGTTATAAAAACAATCCAATTATACTCTTTTAGTTACTTTTAGATGTATAATTAGGTTATTGACTACAGTCACCAGAACTGTGTTTTTAAAAGAAGCATGTCTGAGCTCTCGTGGGGGTAATTAGGTGTGGCAGGCACAATGATGGCCTCGCCTCCCAAAGATGTCCACGTCCTAATCCCCAGAAGCTGAAAATATGTAATGTTACATGACAAAGGGGAATTATGGTTGCAGATGGAATTAATGTTGTCAGTCAGCTGATCTTAAAATAGATAAATTATCCTGAATTTTCTGGGGAGGTTCTATGTAATCACAAGGGTCCTAAAACAGGAAGGAGGAGGCAGAAAAGGAGGTCAGAGTGATCTGAAGTGAAAGTGGCCACCACTGGCTTTGAAGATGAAAGGGAACCAGGAACTTCTAGAATTTGGGGAAAGCAAAGCACTGAATCATCCCTAGAGACTCCCGAAGGGAACACAGCCCTGCTCACACCTCGATTTAAACCCAGGGACACCCGTGGCAAACTTCTGACCTCCAGTACCATAAGAGAATAAATCTGTGTTGTTCTAAGTCACTGCATCTGTGGTCATTAGTTCCAGCAGCATTGGGAAACTAAGACATCAGGAGACCACCTTAGGCCTTTTTTTATACTACCTTATGCTCACCTAATCATTCCACATATTCTCATTTTGTCTTCTACATAAGATTATAAGCATTTTTTTCTTTTTTCTTTTTTTTTTTTTTTTGAGACGAAGTTTCACTCGTCGCCCAGGCTGGAGTGCAATCGCGCGATCTCAGCTCACTGCAACCTCCACTTCCCGGGTTCAAGCGACTCACCTGCCTCAGCCTCCTGAGTAGCTGGGATTACAGACACCACCACCACGCCTGGCTAATTTTTGTATTTTTAGTAAAGAGGGGGTTTCACCATGTTGGCAAAGGCTGGTCTCGAACTCCTGACCTCAGGTGATCCACCTGCCTCGGCCTCCCCAAGTGCTGAGATTACAGGCATGAGTCACAGCGACTGGCCAGCATTTTTTTTTTTTTTTTAGACAGGGTTTCACTCTGTTGCCCAGGCTGGAGTACAGTGGCAAGATCATGGCTCACTGCAGCCTCAACCTCCATTGGCCCAGGTGATTCTCCCACCTCTGCCTCCCAAGTAGCTGAGACCATAGGTGTGCGCCACCACACCAGGATAATTTTCATATTTTTTGTAGAGATGGAGTTTTGCTATGTTGCCTAGGCTGGTCTCAAACTCCTGAACTCAAGCAATCCGCTGGCCTCGGCCTCCCAAAGTGCTAGGATTACAGGCATGAGTCACTGTGCCCAGCAGATTATAAGCATTTTTTGGTCTATTTCTCCAACTAGATACTGACTTCTTTAAAAGCAGAATCCACGTTTTGTTCATCTCTCTATCTCTGTGCCTAACACCATACTTGAGATATGTGAGCACCAGATAAATTGTTCTGAGTTAATTATAAATACATATATGATCCTTGGACATGGTTAACTATGATTACTATTACTACCATGATTATTACTAACCCACACAGGGCCCACCACAATGTGAGTAAATCATAATATACTTAATTCTTATTGAATTTCTCCACTAAATAAACAAACCCACTTTGTTCGGGTTACGTGTATTACGTAACATGCTAATTTGGGAAAATTCTAGTTTCTCTGAATTCAGATGGGAAAGACAGACAATAGTGGGATTCAATTGTTCACATTTTGCCAAGTGTATTTTTAATGCTATGGCAGCTATCGATTTTTCAATTACCTCTTTACAGTACTGTGCAAGAATATCATTAAATTTCATCATCATTTGTCGATTAACAGCCTCCCGTGAACGAATGTGCTTAAATTTTAAAAGCATGTCAAATGCTGCTTCAGCAGATCGAAGCGTCTTAAAAGATTCATCAATAAAATGTTTTGCTTCTTTCTCAATAACCTGCAAAAAAATCAACAAAACAACCCTCATGCCCCTGTAATTATCCTGCCAAAATAAAGTGGCAAGAAATAAGAAAAAAAAAATCAGTGGTTTGGGACAGATTTCTATGGCATAAGTAATGGAAACTGGTATCCAATTTAAAGTGGGAGATTGGCTATGTTGATTTCCTGATCTCTCTCCCCAACCAGTTCAAAGGTAAAGGAATTTTTTAAAGTATTAACTCATATAAACAAAAAATGCAGGAGAGGACACAACAACAGAGGAAATAGTTCAGGAATTTTTAGTAAGAAAGTAATGAAGGCAGGGCCAGGCGCAGTGCCTCACACCTGTAATCCCAGTACTTTGGGAGGCCGAGACGGGCAGATCACGAGGTCAGGAGATCGAGACCATCCTGGCTAACACGGTGAAACCCCGTCTCTACTAACAATACAAAAAATTAGCCGGGCATGGTGGTGGGCGCCTGTAGTCCCAGGTACTCTGGAGGCTGAGTCAGGAGAACGGTGTGAACCCAGGAGGTGGAGACTGTAGTGAGCCGAGATGGCGCCACTGCACTCCAGCCTGGGCGACAGAGCGAGACTCCATTCCAAAAAAAAAAAAAAAGACAGTAACTAAGGCAGGTAGTTACAACCTAATGCTGAAAATAGGGGGCGCAAGTGAGTCCCTGTTTGTTCCTTGAAGAAACTCCAGAAGGCTTAGCATTTGGAGGCACTGGGCCCAGGAAGGGAGTCAGTGTGCATGAAGGTGAGGGGCAAACAGGGAATCCCTTTCTCACCTTGCACAGCCAGGCCACTCTGCAGCCTCAATCCCTCCCACCCCCACTCCATTCTATAAAAGAGTGGAAGGTTAGTTCTAGAAAAATTAACTCAAGAATAACATCAGACTTCTAATATTGGAAGCTAGAAATCAATTTTAAAAACTTCAAATTTCTAAAGAAAGGTGATTTTCAACCTTGGATTCTATACCTGTTATTTCAGAATTCATACATATAAGACTCACAAAATATATGTCTCATGAAACCTTACTTAGGAAGCTACTAAATGTGCTCCAGCAAAACGAAGGAGTAAACAAGGAAAGAGGAAGAGGTGAGATCTAGAAAATTGAAAATCCAACACAGATGAGAGAAGATAGGAAGTCCTAGGGTCCTAGACTGCTTTGTAACAGGCTCAAAAAGCAAACAAGCTGGCCGGGTGTGGTGGCTCATGCCTGTAATCCCAGCACTTTCAGAGGCTGAGGCAGGCGGATCACTTGAAGTCAGAAGTTCAAGACCAGCCTGGCCAACATGGCGAAACTCTGTCTCTACTAAAAAACACAAAAATTAGCTGGGTGTGGTGGCACACACCTGTAACCCCAGCTACTCAGAAGGCCAAGGCAAGAGAATTGCTTGAACCCAGGAGGCAGAGGTTGCAGTCAGCCAAGATCACGCCATTACACTCCAGCCTGGGCAACAAGAGCGAAACTCTGTCTCAAAAAAAAAAAAAAAAAAAAAAAAAGGACAAAGGAAAAAAAAGGTAAACAAGCTAGAGTAGGAGGACAATGAGCTCTGGGAGGAAGGCCTCTAGGTAAATAATGGCACTGATATGTTTAAGTATTTAGAGGCTATTGTTGATAGGTATGTGGCAGAGATATTAGAGAAGTTGGAAAAAATTAACAATGGGTACATAAATAACCAGGCAAATAAAAAACAAAAGCAATTATTAACTCCAGGAAAACTGAAGGTTGGCCAAGAAAGGTATTGTAGTTATGATGGTCTTCCCAGCTCAGCAATGAACAATATTTGCATAGACATAATAAGTAAACACTAGTCATTAATTTAACTAAAAGTTATGAAGAAACTGTGTTAGATGACAGAGAGGCAAATGGGATTAGGAATGGGACAGTCCAGCCTGTATCTACTCTGAGAAGTTAACAGAAGTCTAAATTAATAAATCAGAAAATAACCACATCGGCTTGTTCTTAAAAAAATATAGGGGTTAACAACAAAAGAAACATCTAAAATTGTGGAAAATGACAGCAAGAATGAGGAAGGAGTTAAGCATGGAGCTGTTTTTTCTTATTATGAATCCTTTAGTATCACTTGATTAAGTGACTTTGATGAAAAGTTCAATTTATTTGGGAAGCTGAGGTAGGAGGATCACTTGAGGCCAGGAGTTCAAGACCAACCTGGGCAACAGAGTGAGACCTCATCTCTACTTAAAAATTTTAAAAATTAGCCAGACACATGCTTGTGGTCCCAACTACTCGGTAGGCTGAGGCGGAAGGATCACTTGAGCCCAGAAGGTTGAAGCTGCAGTGAGCCAGGATCACACCACTGCACTTTAGCCTGAGCAACAGAGCAAGACCCTGTCCCTAAAAAATAAAAAATAATAAAAGAAAACCAAAAAAAGGTTCAACTGAAAAAGCAAGTAACACTTAAAATAGCAGCTAATAATAAATTAGATATAGTTAACATGGCAATGTCTATATAACCAAGTAGAACTGTCTAGGGTTGTGCATATAAAAAGATGCTGTGAGGTTATAAAAACAACTGTGTAAGACATAAATGGGGATGCTCCTAATTACGCTTCCTGCATGAGACTGAAAAGGTGAGCGCAATGGGTCACTCTTCATACTGTGGGAAGTGAAATCTGATTCTCAGCTGCAGCCTCTCTCTGATGGACTCTGCCTCCCCGCACCTCAGGCTATCACCTCCTGTATCATCTCCCCACTCTCTGTTGTTCCCCAGTCCAAAGCAGCCTATACTGTAGCCAGAAAAATCTTCCTGAAGTATAAACCTTGATTTTTTTTCACGTTTTTGTTTTTTGGGTTTTTTTTGAGACAGAGTCTTACTCTGTCCCCCAGGCTGCAGTACAGTGGTGTGATCTCAGCCAGCTCACTGTGACCTCAGCCTCCCAGGTTGAAGGGATCCTCCCACCTCAGCTCCTGAGTAGCTGGGACTACAGGAAGAAGCCACCATGCCTGGCTAATTTTTTAAAGTTTTTTGTAGAGATGGGCATCTCACTAGGTTGCCCAGGCTGGTCTCAAACTCCTGGGTTCAAGCAGTCCTCTCTCCTCGGCCTCCCAAAGTGTTGGCATGACAGGCATGAGCCGCTACACCCGACCTATAATTCTGGCTATATCATTCCTTGGTCAACCACCTTCAATGGCACCCTCTTGCCTACTGAAGTAAGTCTCCTTCCTCACTCCTGTCCTCTTTGTTCATCACCAATTATTTACCCAACCCACCTTTCTAGCTTGATTTCCCTCTACTACCCATATGTGTTATGCCAAACCCCTCTGTTTGCTCTGCCTCAGACAATTCCTGTTTTTCTCATGTCTGTCACCTTCATTCACACTGTTCTTCCCACCTGAAACCCCCTCCGCTGTCTCAGCCTCCTTCCTCGTCCCCATTTCCCCCATCCAAATCTTCCTCAATCCCAAAGGTTGTTTCCAATCAGCTCTCCATGCCCCCGCCTTCTGACAAAACGCAATTCTCAAAAACTCACAGGGCGCTTTGTGATTCTCTTGCCATATCTGGTTTACTTTTAACTTCACTCCTAGATAGGTGAACTTATATTGGACAAAACTTTGTAGAAATGCTACTGTGTCTAGCTCAACTTAAACTTATCCCACCTGGAGAATGGGTGTGAGGACAAAGAAGATGGAGGAATGTTCATTTTTACCTTATGCACTTCTGCATTGTTTTTGTTTTTTATAATTAATAAGCAGGTATTACTTGTGATTTAAAAAAAAAGACTAAGCATCACTAAATAACCCAACAAATTTAACACAGAGAAAACATGGTGTCGACTCCCAAGATGGACTCAATGGACGTGTCACTTGCCAGAACTTCAATCTTGAATTCATCCATCACATATTTCCAGAACTGGGAGGACTTGATGCTGAAGGGGTCAAAGGTCAGGTTTTCCATGGGGGTGACTAGGCCGTCCACTCTGCATAGGACATCATCAATGCGCTTGGGGTCCCCCGTCACTGCCTTTAGTTCTGGACCAAATATGTTATAAAATTCCTCCAAAATCTGTCCAATCAAACGGAACAATGAGGAGATTACATTTGGGTTTTCCTGTGAATATTAGAACTACAAATGGATAGCATATCGAGACTGACCTGGGGGCAAGAATCATGTCACACAGTAACCTCCTCCCGGACTAAGCCCTTCGGTACGATGCCCAAGGCACATAGGATAAGATCCAGGTCTGCACCTGCCTGTTCCTCCCCACATTGCAGCCACCCCCACCCTCCTCCAAGGCCATGTCCCTTTCTGCCTCAGGACCTTTGCACTTGCAGTTGAAAGTGCTTCAGGGAGGCTGAGGGGGGCGGATCACTTGAGGCCAGGAGTTCAAGACAAGCCTGGCAAACATGGCGAAACCCTGTCTCTGCTAAAAATACAAAAATTAGCCGGGTGTGGTGGTGCATGCCTGTAATCCCAGCTACTCAGGAGGCTGAGGCAGGAGAATCACTTCAACCCGGAAGGCAGAGGTTGCAGTTAGCCAAGATCGCACCACTGCACTCCAGCCTGGGTGACAGAGCGAGACTCTGTCTCACATGCACACACACACACACACACAAAGAGGTGAGATGATAAACCACTGAGGTAGTTCTATGCAGCGTTTCCACTGTTCTGGTAACAATGAAATACCCATGCACACACTAGCTACGGTGATTCCACATAGAAGTTAAATATTTTTTGTTTTTGTTTTGGGACAGAGTCTTGCTCTGTCACCCAGGCTGGAGTGCAGTGGCACAATAGCTCACTGCAACCTCCACCTCCCAGGTTCAAGCAATTCTCCTGCCTCAGCCTCCCAAATAGCTGGGATTACAGGCGCCCGCCACCACGCCCAGCTAATTTTTGTATTTTTCATAGAGACAGGGTTTCACCATGTTGGTCAGTCTAGTCTTGAACTCCTGACCTCGTGATCCGCCCACCTTGGCCTCCCAAAGTGCTGGGATTACAGGCGTGAGCCACCGCATCTAGCCGAAAAAGCTTTATATTTTTAATTCTTTTTTTTTTTTTTTTTTTGAAGCAAGGTCTCACTCTGTCGCCCAGGCTGGGGTACACTGGCGTGACCACGGCTCACTGCGCCTCAACCTCCCAGGCTCAAGCCAACGTGCCACCTCAGCCTTCTGAGTGGCTGGGACTACACGTGTGCACCACCACACCTGGCTAATTTTTGTATTTTCAATAGACAGGGTCTTGCTATGTTGCCCAGGCCAGTCTCAAATTCCTGGGTTCAAGGGATCCTCCCACCCCAGCCTCAAAAAGTGCTGGGATTACAGGTGTGAGCCATCATGCCTGGCCTGTTTGAATTCTTTTTACAGCATTTTTTTTTCCTGTCTTTGAGCACAGGGCATCACCTCCCTCTCGGGCTGGGCACTGCCACACCGCAGCCGGACCTGCTTTGTACTCACTATGGTTCCTCTAGCATTAAGACATCTGAGTACCCGGCACACCGTGAGTTCTCCGTGAATGCATTTAGAATGAAGGGGTGGGTGAACCTTTAGGAGACAAGTGCTGTGGCTAATTCAATCAGCCACTAGGCACTTTGTCCATCCGTGGAGCTCTGGGAAGACTGGGCCTGGCTGAGGGAGAGTGAAGAGAGGTCTCAGACTGGCCTCTTGAGGGATTCCAATACTTAAGGGGAAGGCAGAGGAAGGGAGCTTTGCAAAAGACACAGAGAAGGAGTGGCCAAAGAGGTCAAAGGAAAGCCAAAAAGCAGGGAGAGGGAAGAATGTCAGAGAAAGCAACAAAAAGTCGCAAAGCTCTGGTGTACTCTGGTCCATTCTGGTACATTCTAGTATATTCCGTAGGTTCTTTCTTTGAAGGGCTTCTCCCTGCCAGGCCCTTTCTGACGCCCAGCTCCTACCTGACACGGAGGGGGCCACTGTCAAAAGCCAACTGCCTTCTTCGGGGCAAATTCCGCCGGCCTTCGCCCAGCCCCTACCTGCAGAACGTCGGAGAGGTCCTGGCAGATGGTGGCCATATAATCCGTCCTCTCGAACAGCCGCTTCCGGTCAAACTCCCACCGATCTTCCCTCCCCGAAGCCTCTATCTTGGCCCGGGTGTCAAAATAGGCCTTTTTCCACAGCCTGAGGGTGTTCCTGGCTTCCAAGGTTTTGCTTTGGGCACTCGCTCGATTTTCTCTGCGAAGCCAAGAGATGCCGTGATGGGAGGAGGGCGGAGCTCCGGGTCCGAGCCGCACTCCCCGGCTGGGGAGCCAGTGTCCCGTGAAGCTCTGACCCGGGCGCCCCCCCTGGTTTCACGGCCTCATCGGAAAAGGCAGAGCGGGCAAGCGGCTGCCCTGTCCCATGTGCAAGGGCGGGAGTCCCAAGCTGCGAGGTTTCCGTTGCAGCCGCCAACCTGCGTGCAGGGCTGGGGCTACCTGGTGACCTCGCTCCCTACACCAGAAGGGGCAGGTGGCCTTGGCCCCAGGCCAGAGGTCAACAGCGGCAGCTGCAACACGGCGCAGGACAATGCCTCCATTTGGGTACCTACTTCACCTATGCAAATAGACAGAAATGGAGATCTAGCTATGCAGGTAGATAGAGAGAGAGAGAGAGATGTATATAAATAGATATGGATACATATAGATATAGATATCTATCTATAGATAACAAAAAGTCATATAGTGTCTGATTCCATTTATATGCTATCTATATAAATACATATACATAGATAGACATAGATACCTATCTGTATAGATGGATATAGACATAGATACCTATGTATAGATATGGATAAATATAGATATCTATCTAGATACATATAGATAGATCTACATAGATATCCAGATAGATCTGTCTATCTAGATAGATCGCTAGATGATGATATAGATACAGATATAGACAGGTGCAATCTCGGCTCACTGCAACCTCCACTTCCTGGGTTCAAGCGATTCTCCTGCCTCAGCCTCCTGAGTGGCTGGGATTACAGGCGCCCACCACCACACCCGGCTAATTCTGTGTACTTTCAGTTGAGACAGGATTTCACCATGTTGGCCAGGCTGGTCTTGAACTCCTGACCTCAAGTGATCCGCCTGCCTTGGCCTCCCAAAGTGCTGGAATTACAGGCGTGAGCCACCGCACCCGGCCTCATCTATATAGATATTTTTTAAGAAAGTGAAAAAAGTTATCTGTCTCCCTTAGCATCCTCCATCATCTCCCTACACCCTCAAAGGTGGTTCCACCTCAGCCTCAGTCTCTCCAGGTACAACTGGGGAAGAACATTGCAGTTAAAACAAAATTTCATGTAGATATATGTGTGTGCACACACACATATATGTATCTGAAACAAAATATATCTCCATACAATGGAATATGATTTAGCCATAAAAAGGAATGAAGCACTGATCCATACTACGATGTGGATGAACCTTGAAAACATGCTGCTAAGTGAAAGAAGTCAGTGATAAAAGTCACATAGTGTCTGATTCCATTTATATGCAAAAGACAGCACGCTGTATGGTTCCCAGGACTTGGGCAATTGGGGAGAGGCGAGGACTGACTGCTAAAAGGCACACGTTTTCTTTTGAGGGATGAAGAACATGTTCTAACATTGATAGTGGTTACGGCTGCACAATTCTGTGAATATACTAAAAAAAAAAAAAATGAATTGTACTTTTTTTTTTTTTGAGACAGAATCTCGCTGTGTCGCCCAGGTTGGAATGTAATGGTGTGATCTCCACTCACTGCAACCTCCGCCTCCCAGGTTCAAGCAATTCTCATGCTTCAGACTTCCATGAAGCTGGGATTACAGCCCACCACGCATGGGGTTTCACCATGTTGGCCAGGCTGGTCTCGAACTTCTGGCCTCAAGCAATCCGCCACCTCGGCCTCCCAAAGTGCTGGGATTACAGGTGTGCACCACTGTGCCCAGCCATAAGAGCCAGTGAATTGTACATTTTAAGTAAGAGAATTATATGTGAATTATAGCTCAATAGAGCTGTTTAAGATCTAAAAAGTAAAAAGTGAAACAAAACAAAACAAAAAAATGAACGCCATGGCTTCTTACTTGAACAAAGTCCGCAGGTTGACCACTCGGCAGACTCTCTCAGCGATTTCCCAGGCGATGCGCTCCATGAGCGGAATCATCCTCTCGTCTTTGTTGTAGTGTCGGGAGATGATCCACACCATCCGCAGGGCACTCATCATGGCGGGGATGGTGTCCAGGACCACGTGGAAGCCAGACCCGTGCGTTATGTTCTGACCAAGAGAGGAGAGAGCCACGCAAGAGCCCTTAGCCTTGGGGTCCAAATAGTTTCATAAAACAGTAAGCATGCAAGAAGTTTCACTCTTTTTTTTTTTTTTTTTTCCTTGAGACCAAGTCTGGTGCCCAGGCTGGAGTGCAATGGCACAAACATGGCTTACTGCAGCCTCGACTCCCCTGCGGACTCAAGTGATCCTCCCACCTCAGCCTCCCAAGTAAGCTGAGAATACAGGCATGCACCACTACACCGGCTAATTTTTTATTTTTATTTTTGTAGAGATGAGGTCGCACTATGTTGCCCAGGTGAGCAGACTTTTTTTAATCTCTTATAATAATAACTCAAATAAATAACGGGCAAAAGATTAAAACAGACATTTCACCAACAATATGAAATTGACAATAAGCACATTAAGTACATAAAAAGTTGTTCAGTCTCACTAGTTGTTAAGGAAATGCAAATTAAACCACAATGGCTATTATCAGAAAGACGATAACAAGTGGTGGTGAAGATACGGAAAAACCAGAACCTTCGTGTATTGCTCTTCAGAATGTAAAATGGGACAACCACTTTGGAAAACAGTCTAGAAATTCCTCAAGAGGTTAAACAGTTACCATATATGACCCAGCTATTCCACTCCTATGCATAATACATGAATAATTAAAAACACACATCCACACAAATCCTTGTACAAGAATGTTCGTAGCAGCATTCTTCATAATAGCCAAAATGCAGAAACAACTCAAATGCCCACCGACTGATGAATAGAGAAACCAAATGTAGTCTATCCATGCTATGGAATATGATTCTGCCACAGAAAGGAGTGAAACACTAACACGCTCCACGCTACAACACAGGTGAACCTTGAAAACCTGGTGCTGAGTGAAAGAGACTGCACACAGGATCAGTCCTGCATGACTCCCCTTATATGAAGTCCCTAGAGTAGTCAGATTTACAAAGACAGAAAGCAGAACAGAAGTTACCAGGGACTTAGGGTAAGGAAGAAGGGGGAGTTAGTGTTTAATGGACACAGAATTCCAGTTTGGGAAGATGAAACTGTTTTGGAAATAGTGTAATGGACACACAGCATTGTGTATGTATTTAGTGCCACTGAACTGTATGCTTAATAGTGGTTAAAATGATAATATCATGTCATGTCTATTTTATCACAATTTTTTAAATTCTGAGGTTTTTTTTGAGACAGGGTCTCGCTATGTTGCCCAGGCTGGAGTGTAGTGGCGCAATCTTGGCTCACTGCAACCTCCATCTCCCAGGCTCAAGCAATCCTTCCACCTCAGCCTCCTGAGTAGCTGGAACTACAGGTGCACACCACCATACCCAGCTAATTTTTGTATTTTTTGGAGAGACAGGGTTTTACCATGTTGGCCAGGCTGGTTTCCAACTCCTGAGCTCAAGCGATCTGCCCACCTCAGCCTCCCAAAGTGCTGGGATTACAGGCATGAGCCACTGCTCCTGGCCAAATGCTGAACATTTTTAAAAGGGAAATTAAATCATATGAAATCTCTTTGACAGAGCTGACTGCAAAGTGCAGCACACCCAGCATACCTTGAAATAACGCTCCACGGTGGAGAGAAAGCGCACATTGTCTGAGGCCTCCGTGTGGAACTTGAATAACTCGGTGAACACTGGCTGCAGATTAGCCACAAGCATGGAGTCGGATTCCTTGATCACATCCAAGACTTTTCTGACTATTGGAAGCTTTGTTTGTTCATGCAGCGCACTTAAGGTTGCATTTCTTTCCCTCCAGAATTCAATTTCAGCCAGAGGGCCTTTACCCTGAGAGGTGAAATGAACACACAAAGAACTCTCATTATTAGGGTGGAGCAGACACTTATGGTGGTTTCTCCAGCATCCGTTCTTTCTGTCCAACTGCTCCAATCCTTCAGGGTCTTCAGGGGTGGGCTCTTGACCCTGGGTGGTCCAATCATAGTGAATCTCAGGGCTCCAGCTGAGAATGCTAGAAACACACTCTGCCTTTCTCCGGACAACTGAGGTGTACAGAATGTGAGGCCAGAAACTGCTGCAAGGAAGCCAGCCTGAGGAATGAAGCTCTCCAGCCCCTAGAAAGGGGTCTAGAACTGAGAGATTCAGAAATATAGCCAGAGCCCTGATCAGACTGGACCTGAAGCCAACCCTGCCTCTGGACTTTTCCATTATGTGAGCCAAGGAATTTGCTTTCTTAGTTGATCGACTTGAGTTGGGTTTCCTGTTTTTGGCAGCCCAAGCTTCCTGACTGATCCAAAGTGTTATCTTTATCAATCCAGGCAGTAACCTGGTAGCACATTAACATCAGAAAGCCCAGAAATGATATTTTGGGTGTGTTTATTTTGATGGCTTAAGGAAGTCATAAAACAGTAAGAAAAGATGCCAGATGATGCAGACCCCAGACTCCGGGCTCTTTCCCAGCATGGTAAGCATGACCTGGATCGGGGCTCTCTGAAAGCCCTGCACAAACTACCTGAGGTGTCTTCTTCAGTTGGGCCTCAACCGCTGTGGATATCTGATTCAGCCAGTTTATCACACACTGCTCCAAGATGTCAACGGTTTCCGGGTCAGCTGCCAGGTCAGACACCTCTCCCTCCACACTGATGATTGGCATTTCTAACTTGATCTCACCTAGGAAAATAAAAGTGATCAGTCAGTCATTCGTTCAGGAAAAATGATTACAAAGAGAAACATTCAAGTTCACCGGCTGGGTCGTCTCTCAAGCTTCATCAGTATAATAAGGTCTGACGCATCCCCTGTCCTGATAATATCTGTATCTCATTCTCTTTCATTAGAATGTAATTCAAACATTTTAGATAATTGTTCCGGTGTTAAGCTTGATCAAAATGATTTAGTTATTTAAGATGTTCCTGAGTTTATAACCTAGTGACTTCAATTTTTAAAAACTTGAACAAAGAGCCAGCAGACATTTTAGATAACCACCAGCCTGAAACAGTCAGTCAAAGATAAATCAGGGGAAAAATGACATCAGGGGAAATTGAAATAATGTAAAGAAAAGGAGAACAGGCCAGGCACGATGGCTCACACCTGTAATCTCAACACTTTGAGAGACCAAGGCAGGAAGATCACTTGCAGTCAGGAGTTCGAGACCAGCCTGGCCAATGTGGCAAAACTCCCTCTCTGCTAAAAATACAAAAATTAGCTAGGCATGGTGGTGTGTGCCTATAATCCCAGCTACTTGGGAGACTGAGGTGGGAGGATTGCCTGAGCTCCCAGAAGGTTGAGACTGCAGTGAGCTATGTTTGTGCCACTGCACTCCAGCCTGGGCGGCAGAGTGAGACCTTGTCAAAAAAAAAAAAAAAAAAGAAAGAAAGAAAGAAAGGAAAGAAAAGAAAGAAAAGGGAAGGGGAGGGGAGAGAAGGGGAGGGGAGGGGAGGGGAGGGGAGGCAGGGCAGGGCAAAAGGAGAACATTTCCAAAAGGAAAGCCCAACTATTTGTCTCAGAGATTTGAGACATATAGCATCCATCAAACAAGAACAGGATGCTATGAAAAAAGATACAATCAGAGAATCAGAGGTCTTAAAAATTAAAAATATAATAGCTGATATGACTATCAATCAAACGTTGGTAACATAGAAGTTGAAGAACACTCCAGGAAAGAATACAAAGACAAAAAGATGAAAAATACAAGAGAAAAGATAAGAAATAGAATCTCTAGACATCCATCCAGCAGGAATTTCAGCAAGAGAAAACAAATAGTGGAGGAAAACGTCAAGATGATTTTTCAGTCTTTGGACTGAAAACACCCACTGAGTGTTTAAAAAATCAATGGAAAAAATTCCACACAAAGGCCCATCATCCTAACACCAAAACACTAGGGATAACCAGATGCTCTTAAAAGCTTACGTAAAGGGGGAGGGGAGAAAAATTAGAAGAACATTCAGTTTCTCATCACTGGATGTTGACTACTAGAAAACAATGAAGAAAAATGTATTCAAAAATCCTGTGCTAGGCTGGGCACAGTGGCTCACACCTGTAACCCCAGCACTCTGAGAGGCCAAGGTAGGTGGATCACTTGAAGTCAGGAGTTTAAGACCAGCCTGGCCAACATGGTAAAACCCCGTCTCTATTAAAAATACAAAAATTAGCTAGGTGTGGTGGTGCACACCTGTAGTCCCAGCTACTCGGGGGGCTGAGGCAGGAGAATCCCTTGAACCCAGGGGGCGGAGGTTGCAGTGAACCGAGATCTCACCACTGCACTCCAGCCTGGGCAACAGAGTGAGGCTCTGTCTCAAAACAAAAAATCCTGTGCTAAAATGATTTTTGCCAGCCTGAGCGACAAAGTGAGACCCCGTCTCCACAAAACAAACAAACAAAAATGTTCCAAAAGTTAGCCAGGCATGGTGGCATGCACCTGTAATCCCAACTACAGTAAATTAATCATTCTTAACTAAAAAGGAGGAAAATGAAACCTTACCTTCAAGTTGCTGCATGGTTCTTTGAATATTACTTGCAAATTTCTGCACGTTCATTAAAAATTCATCCCGTATTAATTGAATACTGTGATATTCTACTGCCTCCCCAGGCATGGGCGGCAGGTCTGATTCATGCTCAGAGGAATTAGAGACTTCTCCAGATGTGACTCCCACGGTTGTACTCGTCCTGTGCTGATTGAAGGACAATGCTGGCAAAAAAACCTGAAATGCCAATTTTATGAAATACATCATATGAAGTCATTTTCAATAATTCATGTATTCAAATTGCCTCTGGTTTTGAATATTCTTTATTCAAATTGCCTCTGGTTTTGAATATTCTTTTTTTTTTTTTTTTTTTTGAGACAGAGTCTCACTCTGTCACCAGGCTGGAGTGCTGTGCACTTGGCTCACTGCAACCTCCACCTCACCAGTGCAAGCGATTCTCCTGCCTCAGCCTCCCAAGTGGCTGGGATTACAGGCACACACCAGCACACCCAGCTAATTTTTGTATTTTTAGTAGAGATGGGGATTCACCATGTTGGCCAGGCTAGTCTCGATCTCCTGACCTCATGATCCACCCCCGGCCTCCCAAAGTGCTGGGATTACAGGCGTGAGCCACTGCACCCAGCCTGAATATTCTTTTATATTGAGATACAAATATGCAAAGTGAAAACCACTCAAACCGGAGCACAGACCTAAAGACAGAGAGATTACATTTGACTTAAAGTGATCCAAGGGCATCAATTTTAACCAGGCCTGACACAACTGCCCCAAAAACAGTGCTGTTATTTCTGTATACCACCAGTAACTGAGAAGTTACAAACTGTGGCACAGGGAGCTGGCTGCGGTGGCTCATGCCTGTAATCCCAGCACTTTGGGAGGCCGAGGCTGGTGGATCACTTGAGGTCAGGAGTTCGAGACCAGCCTGGCCAACATGGTGAAACCCCATCTCTACTAAAAATACAAAAATCAGCTGGGTGTGGTGGTGCACACCTGTGGTCCAAGCTACTCGGGAGGCTGAGGCATGAGAATTGCTTGAACCAGGAGGCGGCGGTTGCAGGGAGCCGAGATCGCACCACTGCACTCCAACCTGGGCGATAGAGCAAGACCCTGTCTCAGAAAGAAAGAGAGAGAGAGAGAGAGAGAGAGAGAAAGGAGGGAGGGAGGGAGGGGAAACTGGCACAGGGAGGTAAGAAACTGTGTTAAACCATCAGCTCAGGACCATCTTGTTCTTGAAAATTAAGTTCTTGAGGACATAGTTTCTTCAAAATGTAGCTAGAGAGAGAAGCATGCATTTATGAAGTCACCTGAATACAATTACGAAACAACTTAGCCCCCAGCCCACATAAAAAGTGATCTATAAATGCCTGTGGGTTGATTAAGTTGGTTGGTTGGTTGGCTGAGTTTTGTTTTTGTTTTTTAGTTTTGTCTATATTTCTTAAAATTTTGATACATCTTTTTATGACTCTTTGAATCTATATGTATTTCCTGCAACATACTGAAGAACCCAGAATGTTGGATTTGTAGAGCTGCCCAATCCAAATTTTGCTGACTACACACTCACTGTGCAGTTGAAGTTCCTCTGTGATGTGTATTTCCTGCAAATTGGCAGCTGGGACCAGAGACTTGACCAGGGTGTATCTTCCATCAGGAATCAAATTCTTGGTTTTGGTTTTGTTTCTCTCTCTCTCTCTCTCCCCCACCCCCAGGTCCATTAATCAAGTGGGGGTTCCAAAATTGAAATGTTCTAAAATGTCTGTTTATTAGCTGAGATGCTGATATAAAGACGCCTCTCACAGCTACTGCTAGATGATCCCGTACATTTCATATGGGGAAGGCAACATAAATGCTTGACTCCTCTTTATTTGCCCAATTTTTGAAATAGTACAGTGGTCCCCTATCATCCTCCAGAAATGACCCATCAGGACTTTTAAAGATCATTATAAATTCATGGATTTGAAAAGCTGGGCATGGTAGCTTATGCCTGTAATCCAGCACTTTGAGAGGCCAAGGCGGGAAAATCTCTTGAGCCCAGGAGTTCGAGAACAGCCGGGGCAACATAGGGAGACCCCATCTCTACAATTAAAAGAAAAAAATTAGGCCGGGCACGGTGGCTCACACCTGTAATCCCAGCACTTTGGGAAGCCGAGGCGGGTGAATCGCGAGGTCAGGAGATCGAGACCATCCTGGCTAACATGGTGAAAACCCATCTCTACTAAAAATACAAAAAATTAGCCAGGTGTGGTGGCGGGTGCCTCTCTCTAGTCCCAGCTACTCGGGAGGCTGAGGCAGGAGAATGGCATGAACCCGGGAGGCAGAGGTTGCAGTGAGCTGAGATCGCACTACTACACTCCAGACTGGGCGACACAGTGAGACTCCGCCTCAAAAAAAAAAAAATGAGACAGTCTTAGTGGTGTGCACCTATAGACCCAGCTACTCCGGAGGCTGAGATGGGAGGATCACTTGAACCTGGGAGTTTGAGGCTGCAGTGAGATGTGATTGTGCCACTGCACTATAGCCTGAGCAATAGAGTAAGAACTGTGTCTCTTAAAAAAATGTTTTTAACTCATGCATTTGAACATATATATTTTTTTTCTTTTTTTTTTGAGATGGAGTCTCTTTCTGTCACCCAGGCTGGAGTGCAGTGACATGACCTCAGCTCACTGCAACCTCCACCTCCTGGGTTCAAGCAATTCTCCTCCCTCAGCCTCCCAAGTAGCTGGGACTACAGGTGCATGCCACCATGCCCAGCTAATTTTTGTAATTTTAGTAGAGATGGAGGTTTCGCCATATTGATCAGGCTGGTCTCGAACTCCTGACCTCAGGTGATCCATCCACCTTGGCCTCCCAAAGTGCTGGGATTACAGGCACGAGTCACTGCGCCTGGCTGTATTTGAATATATTTTCTATGCTTCAACCCACTGCAATTTTATCCTTACTGAAGGTCAAAATATCCCATCTGTGGCTGGCATGAGCCTCTTCAAGTTGAGCCCTGTGTCCTTTAGACATGACTGGTTGTCATAATGCATATAACCACTAAGAATTAATTATACATCATGTTTTGATGTCATCTTATTTATTTTTCATTTTTTTTTTTTAGAGATGGAGTATCTCTCTGTCACCCAGGCTGTAGTACAGTGGCATGACCACCATGCACTGCAACCTTAAACTCCTGGGTTCAAGCGATCCTCCCACTTCAGCCTCCAGAGTAGCTGGGACTACAGACACCCACAGCCATGCCCAGCAGATTTTTCTTTTTCTTTTTGGTAGAGATGGGGTTGATGTTATTTTGTTATTTTAGAATGAAAAGTTCAGTTTGCATAAGAAGGTAGCCAGTGTGGCCAGATATGGTGGCTCATGCCTGCAATCCCAACATTTTGGGAGGCCGAGGAGGGCAGATCACT